>NC_000014.9:45861713-46486713 GCF_000001405.40 Homo sapiens | reverse complement strand
GCTAACTAACTAAACAATTTTGCCCTGCTTAGCCTTTTAGTCATTCATAGGAATCTCACCGGGTGCAGATAAAAAGTTCACAACAATTAGTTTTCAACTAATATTTTAGCACACTATAGCACAATGATTATTTTGCAATAATCAGCACCAAGATTAGAATACATAATTTATCCAAAGCTACAAATTAACTATCTCACATTTTTTTTCTCCCAACAAAATATACAGTAATCCTGAATTCCCTATTGAACTACTTAAAAGTTCTGCAATTATACCAACAGAGGCGAAGGAAAAAGTATCAACATCTATGCATACTTTTGCTGTGTAGTAAGAGCTGTTTTTATTCCCTAACCTTTGTCTCATACTTCACAGCAAATATGTGAAAATACTACCATTAATAAGCTTCTTGGATCTTTCTTTATTTGCTTTAACTTTTTTCTTTTATCTCTCTCTTTCAATACACATTTTTCTGAACACCTGGTAAATGTGTGGTATCTTTTAGGTGATAAGGATACATAAATAAAGGCAAAGTTATGAAAAATGCTGGACATCACTAATCATTAGAGAATTGCAAATCAAAACCACAATGAGATACCATCTCATAACAGTTAGAATGACTGCTACTAAAAAGTCAAAAAATAGCAGATGCTGGCAAGGTTGCAGAGAAAAGGGAACCCTTATACATTGCTGGTGGGACTGTAAATTAGTCCAGCTGCCCTGAAAAGGAGTGTGACAATTATTTCTCAAAGAACCTGAAACGGAAATATCATTTGACCCAGCAATCACATTACAGGATATATACCCAAAAGAATACCCAAAAGAATATATATTGCTCTGCCATAAAGGCACATGCATGCATATGTCCGTTGTAGTACTATTCACAACAGCAAAGACATGGAATCAACCTAAATACCCATCAATGGTAGACTAGATTTAAAAAAAAGTGTTTATATATATATATATATATATATATATATATATATATACCATAGACTACTACACCACCAGAAAAAAAGAATGAGATCATGTTCTTTGCTGTAACATGGATGGAACTGGAGGCCATTATCTCAAGGAAACAAATGCAGAAACAGAAAATCAAATATCTCATGTTCTTACTTATAAGTGGAAGCCAAACAAGAAAACATGGACACAAAGATCAGAACAATAGACAACAAGGCCTACTTGAGGGTGGAGGTGGGTAAGAGGGAGAGGGTTAGAAAAATACCTACTGGATACCATTCTTACTATCTGAATGATGGAATAATCTGTACATCAAACCCCTAGGACACGCAGTTTACCTATATGACAAACCTGCACATACACCTCTGAACCTAATCCAAAAGTTATAATGAAGAAAAGAAAAAGAAATGCAGAGTTGGCTCCTCTCACAAAATATCCATAGTCTTAGAAGGAAAAAAAGGAATAAAGAAAGACTTGAAACCAGTTATAATTCAAGCTAATATATGCTAAAATGGGGGCACATATAAGTTTGTATCTATCAAAATAAGAACAAGCTCTTCATGTTTTCTAGGAAAATTTAGGATGGTTTTATAAGGTAGGTTATGTACTGACCCCACATCTTACCCCTTTTGAATAGGTATAATCAAATTGCTCCCAATTGTGGGAAAAGCCAGACTTTTATTTATTTTTTTATTTTCTCATTATTTACATAGTCAAACATTTACTTAGTTGTCTACTCCACATTTATTCATTCTGAATAATACTCTGAATATTATTTAGTTGTATGCTAAGGGGTTGCCCAGAGTTTACTTTTAACTCGAGGCTAGACTAAGATAATAATCTGGATTTGTATAGTCGGTTTCAATATTAATGGGTCCTTGAAATTTTTCTTGAAAGAATAGTTAACATTTGAACAACTGAATTGGAAGCTATGAACATGGTTTTGTTTTAAAAGAGCTTAAAATGTTTCAACCTCCTTAATTAAACTTAACTTTAGACACAATTATTGATAATAGTTCTTTAGTATAATACTTCACATGCATTTAACAATTCGTTTCTTTTCCTTCACAGATGGAGGAATTAAATCCCAAGCATCTTCTAACTAGGGCTAGCCATTTTGAGAAACAGTGTTTTTATTTTTGTTTAATTTGCATTCAGTTTATGAGATATACTTCTTGTCACTGCTGTTAATCATTTTTATTAAGAAAATGCAGCAAAATGCACAAATAATTATACAGATACTGTTTTTTAGATAAACATGTTGACAGATTGGAACTAAACTTTTTGCTGGCAGGCAGTGTTGGTATATGTGAGGAAATCAGTTTGCCCCCTCCGGATGGGTGCTGTATTTAGATTGGCATAAAATTATTTCTTCTAGTCAGGAGAAAAATTTCATTATCTTACATTTACTAGTTGTAGTAAGACATAGAAAGTTGAATTTAAAGTAGAATTTATCCCCCAAAACAAAGAAAAAATTATGTACATTCAGATGATTTTTACTGCATAAAATAAGGAATAATGAGGTTAACAAAAAGTTCGTGTGTTAGAAAATAACTATTTTCGTCACTCCAACATCATATGATCTTAGAATATTTCTTGTTAATGTAATAGCAGATAATAAAAAAATTAAGCAGAAAATTTCTGTAACTTTAGAATTCACTTAACAGACATTAATTCAGTGAATGCTATATAGGGATTGCGCTGAACAACAAGAACATTTCTCTGTCCTCATTCTCAAAGAAATTTCAGAGTATTGAGAGACACAGTCAAGTGCTAGGATTATGCATTCTTTGCCATAAGAACAAATGGAGAAACTTCTCACAGTGGCTGAGATGAAAAGGGGCAGAGGTTTTCACAGAGGCCTATCTAATGATATTTATTTAACTAAACTAAATTTACTGCCCACAAGCAGTATATGAGAGTGACAATTTCCCCACACCATTGTATATTATTGAGAAATAATTTTCTGTTTTGGGAAACTTCCCAAGACAGTAAATATTTATTGAGCTCTTACTGGAGAAAATAAATGTAATAAATAATAATATAAATTGTAATAAAGGAATATGGGCCACAGTATTTGCTCTCAATTTCAAAGTCTATTAAGAAATTAGAGATAATTATCCCAAAAGTTAAATAATTATACAAAAGGAAGCTAATGCAATATAAATAATGAGAAGGACTGTGGCAGCTTTTAGGTGACAAAAATTTACAGAAAATGAAGACCTTATGAACAAACAGATGACAAAACTTCAGAAAGAAAAGCCCTATCTGCAAAAATATGATGGGTGTGGCTGTAATATATGGGACATACATTGATAAGGTCATAGGAAAGATGGAGGAAAGCCAGTAGGACACCATGGTATTAAGTGTATATGAAGCATATTAAGATACCTAAAGGAAATGTGCCTCTTCAGAACACTGCATTCATTTTCAAATTCAATCCATAAATATCAATAGAGCATGTTACTATGTGCCAGGCACTTGGGACAGAGAGAGCACAGAGCGAATGATTGCAGCCCTTGATATTTAGAACCTAAATATTTTCCTACAAAGAAATTCGACACAAAATATATATGCAACAGAATTATTCAGTGCCCTTTCACAGGTTCAAATTAAAATAATCTACATATGTGCATCTACACATGTACATATATGTATATATTTACATTATATATGCTTTGTATATATGTAAATTGTGTATCGATAAGTAGATGAATGAATACAATGAGGCTAATATTAAATAATGTATTTATCAACCAATCATTAAATAATTATGCTATACCAAGTACTGTACCAGTTACTTTACATATGATACTTTATTTGTAGTTTCTACGACTATAAGAAATAACATTGTTAGAGTGATTTTATTAACAAGGCTATCATTATACTCCTGCTATCAAGAAGAATGAAAAAAATCACTTGAATGATATTGTCTACTTTTCTGTATATTGAAATGAATGTTTTGTTGATAACTAAAATCTTAATTTTTTTCACAGAAAATGCTTTCAGAATATGCTCAGAACAATTTAAATTTCATAAAGATGTAGATGAGTTCTTACAATACTGAAGTTTGTCATACTGCCATATTTCATGTGCATCTGAGTTGGAATTTAGAAATTATAACATCAAATTATATTCTTTAATTAATTGGGATATAAAATAATTTTAGAAGTTAAAATACTTAAAAATCAACAAATTCAAGTAATATAACCTATTTGGATTCTTTTTATTAAAATTTGGTCCAGTTTCAAATAATTTGTAACAACTATTCCTAACAGACATTCTGTGATTTAGTTAGGTATTTTCTGAACTTTGATAGTTTACAGTTTGGTGTTAGGCATGGGTCACTGCCCTCACTATTACTATTAGGCAGAAGTGTGGTGAAATTTGATTATTTAACAGCAGCACCAGAAGGAACAGTTATGAGAAGATTCCTGAAGTCATGTCTCCTTTATTTTCACTCCTGAAAATATAAATGTGTTTTTTAAATTGATATTAAAACCACTGAAATTACTTTTCTGCCTTTCTTTTCACTCTTCCCTTTTCTCTCCTTTTCTGAGACAATAATAATTCTTGTTCATTTCATCATGCCCATCATTCTTACTGCCTAGCTCTTTTTCCTTCATTATCAACTTATCTTCAAGTTGTATTACAATCACTTCCAAACATGTCTACCTCTCCATATTTTCAAACAGAAACAAAACAGTATCAATGACTATACATTTTCTCCTATCTAAATTTTGTACTATCTGTCATCATGACAGTTTCAAATCCCTCCTATGCTACCCTTTTGTATTCTCTCCTTGATCCTTTCCTGAAAAGATCCTTTCCTGGAAAGATAATTCTCACATGTACTGTCGTTTTTATTCTAAGCCTTTATTTGGTAAACAATTCTAAAGAAGATGAATTGTCTGAAAAAATTGTTTTCAATTATTTAAAATCTAATGCCTTTCTCTTCAGAAGCACTTTAGATATTCTATTCCTGAAGACAGGAGGTATTTTACGTGATTGATTTTTCTATCAAGAGCGTTCAATGCTGTGAAATTTAGTATAAAAATAAAATTAGCTAGCTCTCTGCTATTCATTAATCAGAATCAAATTCATTCTTTGAGGAAGATACAAGTTTTTTTTTTTTATTATTTGGGCTGGCTGAATACCTGACTGCTTTAAAAACATTTTGAATAAATGAAACCTGTAACTTCAATGGGAAGTGATAGCCATATAAACCTTACTCTGTCACAGTTAGCATTTAGCTTTGTTCTGCAATGCTATGAACCAGCACTATCTCTCCAGCTCCCTTTTTTCCTATCTCTCTCTTTCTCTCTTCCCCTCCCCTCTTATTACTTCCTTAGTTCCCATGAACATTTTTTTTTCTGATAGCAAAAGCAAAGGATCTCAATTTAGAAGTAAGGTATTTTCTATTCAAGTCAAGAGAAAATTTTGTAAATATCTGAATGGCACATTGGCAACACTTTTAGAATTCATGGTAAGCATTTTATTGAATTTAACAATCTTGGAGTGCCAAGGGGTAGCCTTTTAAAAGTCTCTGACTAGGGAAGTTTGAGATTCAGTGAGAATATTCACAGCAACTTAAGTGCATAAATTTTCTAACTGGAAAGAATTTTAGAGAACTGCTATAATAATCACGTTAGAGATGAGATACTGGAGGGGCAGGAGGGAGGGGTAACTCCCTCGTTATCTCACTCACCAGTGTCAACATCTACTGGCAAGCAAGACCTGGTTTTGTGTCCATACACAGAAGGGAAAGGTTTACACAGCCTCTGTCTATCACAGATACTCCTGTTCTTCAGGTCACAGTTCTTCCATGCACAGAAGCTACTCAGTGAAGAGGTTCCAGAAACGTACTCTGAGCACCTTGATTTTCAAACTTGTCCTACATTCTGGGTTAAGTATACATAAAAGAGGGCACTGTACTGGCAACTCTTTGGCTTCTATAAAATCTCCAGTATGAAGCAGCTAAAGGAAATTAGCTTATTTATGGAAACTATGAAGATTTTAAAATAGTGATTCATCAGCTGTTCTTATAATCAACCAGATAATAAATTTTACAAAATCTTTACTTAAAAATAAATGCCAAATTAACTGCAGTTGGATAGATGTGCACATACCTTCACTGAAATGAAGTCAGATATCAGTATATTAAACGAAGTTTTTGGATTTGAATCCTGCTCTGTCACTTAAGATCTGGGTGAACTTGGGCAAGCAAAACTCTCTAACTCAATCTTCTTAGCTTTAAAATAAGGATAATAAATGTGCCTTTATCTTTGTGGCGTTGTGAGGATAAAACAAGTCAATACATATTGAACTCCTTGAATAGATTCTGAAACTTATTAAGGCTTCAAAGATGGAGTTCTTAATGATTGAATGTCATATTAAAAGTATCCTTATTGTACATGCCTTGTCACGTATGGTCTCACAGTCATTCCAGTCAATGCTCTGCTTACTCCATTTTTCTTGCAGTCCCAGGATAGAGATAAGTATATAAGAAATTTGAGCATCTGTAAATTTTGCTATCTTCAAGCAGTCCTGGAGCCAATCCTCTCAAGGAACCCAAAGGATGATTGTATGCTAATATATCTAAATTCTTATATAAACATGTACAATATTTTTTCTTTTGGGAGATGAAACCCTTAAGAAATGAGTAATCCACATGTTCTAGGAATGCCCACAGAGAGGCCTAACACTTGATATGAGAGAGCTTGTTTTAACCATGTAAATATTTCATGTGGCATAAAAGTTACTAGTTACTTCTACAGTCACCTAAAGTTAAATCTGCTGCTTTATTTCATGTTCCCCATAGGCATGCCCTTGGCAAACACCACAAGTCTAGTAATTCCAGAAGAAATTATCTCTAAGGAAGAATTATAATACTGTATGTTAAGACTCAAATACTTTCTCTAGCTAAAATCATGTTTGATATTTGGTTATGAGAATGTGCTATGTGCTACAATGAATTGATCAGAACAGAAGAAAGGAGAAACAAGCTAAGAGAGCAAGAATAAAAGAAGTAATTAAGAATATTAATTATTCTCTAGAGCACACTCTCAAAAACCTAGACATTTAGACATGGTCTCCAATTGTCCCAAAGAATCCAAACTGCAACGTGTGTGTGTGTGCATGCACACCCTGTGTGTGTATTCCACTTAGAGAACTAGTTTCTTACCTCTCATTCATCATTATCACCACCAAAGACAGAGAGGGAGAGGAAGAGGGAGATTAGGTGAGATTTGTTGCCAGACTTATTCTGAAAGTAGCTTGGTGATAACTTCACAGGTACTAGTACCAACAAAATATTAGTAATACGAATTTGCATGTTTAATATTGCTCTTTATTTTTTGTATCTTTTGGAATGACTGCCTGAGATTGCAACTGTTTTTCTTGCAGGACATAGAATTCACTTTTCCTTATAAAGAATGGATCAACAAAATTAAGTAAATATCAACAAATTGCTTCTTAAAAAGTTTGTTATTTTACCTTCCAACTAGTATAAGACTTTACCTGTCTCATTCAATCTTTAAATATTAATATCGTTGTTAATTATTTCTAATTTGACAGTTAAGATATTTCATTTTTGTGTTGTTGTGTTTATTTTACTACTACCTTGGGCACGTTTTTATAATTTTATTAATCCTATATATTTCCTCCTTTGTGAATTTTTTACGGTCTTTGTCTATTAATAGTGGGTTTTGACTTATTTTTATTTTTTTTGGAGACAGGGTCTCGCTCTGTTGCCCAGGCTGGAGTGCTGTGGTGCAATCTCAGCTCACTGCAATCTCCACTTTCCATGTTCAAGTGATTCTCATGCCTCAGCCTCCCAATTAGTTGGCACTACAGGTGCCCGCCACCACACCTGGCTAATTTTTGTATTTTTATTAGAGACAGGGTTTCACCATGTTTGCCAGGCTGGTCTTGAACTCCTGACCTCAAGTGATCCTCCCGCCTTGGCCTTCCAAAGGGCTGGGATTACAGCCTGAGTCACAATGCCTGGCCTGACATTTTCTTTTGAATGTTCATTTGCTATAGATACTATCGTATTTCCTTATTTTTTAATAGTTAATTTTTTTTCAGCTGTAGTTTTAACTTTTTGATATTTAGATAAAATTGTAATGTGTTGAGGTAAAATCTATTAACTTTTTTATATTTTATTATTATTATTATTATTATTATTATTATTATTATTATTTTTGATACAGGGTTTCACTTTTGTCACCCAGACTGGAGTGCAGTGGCGGGATCTCGGTGCACTGCAACCTCTGCCTCCCCAGGCTCAGGTGATTCTTTCACCTCAGCCTCCTGAGTAGCTGGGACTACAGCCATGCACCACCATGCCCGGCTAATTTCCTGTATTTTTAATAGAGACAGGGTTTCACTATGTTGTCCAGGCTGTCTCAAACTCCTGAGCTCAAGTGATCTGCCTGCCTTGCCCTCCTAAAGTGCTGGGATTACAGGTGTGAGCTACCGTGCTCAACCCTATTTTATTACTTTTATGCGCAGAAAGTGATTTTCATCCAGAGATGAGGCAAATTTTCACCTGCATTTTCATCTAGCTTGTTTATTTTCACATTTAAGCACTTCAGAGCAATTACGTTTCTTGAACGTAGGAGAAATAGACATATTAATTTATTGCTGATACCATAATTTCTCAATATATTTTATCGTACAAATCAAAATTTCACCATTCTATCATAATATTTATTAAATATCAAATGTGAAATCACAGAAGAAAAGTCATGTGCACCCAGCAGTCAAGTCAAATACCACCAGGAGAAGGCTATCATGTTGCCTCCCAAGACTCTTCCTAGAAAGGCTATTCCATGATAAATTTACTCTAATACAGGGACTGGCTTTCTGACTGCCATAGTCTGAATCATGATTTGTCAATACATCAGAAATAGACTTTTCTAGTTTACACTCCCACCAACAGTGTCGCTTCTCCACAACCTCGCCAGCATCTTTTATTTTTTTCACTTTTAATAATAGGCATTCTGATGGTGTTAGATGTTATCTCATTGTGGTTTTGATTTGTATTTCTCTACTAATCAGTGATACTGCTCTTTTTTTCTCATATGATTGTTGGCCACATGAATGTCTTCTTCAGCCATTGTGGAAGACAGTGTGGTGATTCCTCAGTGACCAAAAGACAGAAATACTATTTGACCCAGTAATCCCATTACAGGTATATACCCAAAGGAATATAAATCATTCTATCATAAAGACACATGCATGCACATATTTATTGCAGCACTACTCACAATAGCAAAGACATGGAATCAACCTACATGCCCATCAATTATGGACTGGAAAAGAAATTGCGGTACATATATATCATGGAATACTATGCAGCCGTAAAAAATGAATGAGATAATGTCCTTTCAGGAACACAGATGGAGCTGGAGGCCATTATCCTTAGCAAACTAATGCAGGAACAGAAAGCCAAATACCACATGTTCTCAATTATAAGTGAGAACTCTTACTTTTAATGACAAAAACTGCAATTGCTTTTGCACCAACCTAATAAATGATGAGAACTCATGGACACGTAGAGGGAAAAAACAAACATGGTAGCCTATCGGAAAGTGGAAGGTAGCAGGAGGGAAAGGATCAGAATAATAACTAATGGGCACTAGGCTTAATACCTGAGTGATGAAATAATCTGTACAACAAACTCCCATGATACCTATGTAACAAACCTGCACTTGTACCCTTCAACTTAAAAGTTTTTAAAAAAGAAAGAGTCCAGAAATAAACAACTCACAAGTTTCCAAAACAAAATAAAGAAAATAATATATGTATATTGTATAAATATACAAACATTAAATATTGTACACAATAAAATAAGAAAATTCCAACACACCCTTCTCTCTTGCCAAACTCAGTGTATATTCTAGAGGTAGCCAGTTTTTGGTACTTTCTCTCTCTCTGATTTTTTATTCCTGTCACACACACACAAACCCACAAATACATGTGTATGCACATACAGACACACACAGGCACATAGACACACAAACACATCTACCTTGGAAATTTAAAAATCAATATTATAATTTTAAAAATATATAAATTAATTAAAAAACAAAACACTAAGTGCAAATGTACAAAACATATAAAAGTGTATTTGCTACAATTTTTCAGCAGATAATATATCTCATCTACCCCTAATTCACCAAGTTTTTTGTTTTGCCTGTCTTTTTTTCTTAAATTAAGAAGAGTTGTTGCATTTGGTAAAATATTTTTTATGTTCATGAGGTGAATTACATTGATAAATTTATGTGATGGTGAATGACATTATATTCACGGTATTTGTACTACTTTATCCTGATATATAAATTCTAGTACTCTGCTTCATTTTGTCTGAAAATATTTTGTATTCAAATTTTTAACTGAAAAAATGTTTGCAAATTTCTTGTATTTTTTCCAATTTTGGTATAAAAATAAGTTAGATATCTTTCCCATTTTATGTGAAATATTTCATGTAAAATAGAAACTAACTTCCTCTTGGATTAGTAAACATACCAATAAAAAGTGTCCTTTATAAAACTGTTTTACTACAGATTCAATTTATTTAATGGCTATATTTTATTTGTTTGCTATAAATTCATGAGTTAAAATTATTAATATATTCCTATAAAACTATAAGTTACATTTCAGTCTTTGAATGTATTGGCATGCAATTTATCCTGGTTATTGTTTTACATATATTTCAATTTCTACTACATTACAGTTTTGTTTCCTTTTTTATTCCTAATTTTATGTTTTTTTAATTCCCTGTGATTTTTATTACTAGACATTTGTGTAATATTTTATTTTTATTATTTTGGAAAGAACAAGCACCAAAAATTAACCTCTGTTTTTGGATCAATTTAAGCAATATTTCGTTTTATCAACATTAATTGCATTATTAAATTTACTTTTAATTTGTTTTAGTGTACATTACTTTTTTTAAATTGCCGTTAATTTTCCAAATGTATTTTTGATAGTATTTGTTGGTATATATTTACCTATAATTTCTATCAGTTTGACAAGATTTCTCCTAAATACTAGTTTAATTGGTATTACTGTTGCTGAACTTAATAAATTTTTATATATATTTTTCTGAAATTTCATATTTTCAGTCCTTCTGGGATCTTTTTACTTACAGAAATGTCTCTTTAAATAAAGAATAAATATTAAGAACTTTATTAGTGATAAAGTACAGTCAAAAGAATAAGGCTGAAGACAAGTAAAAAGTGAGTGATAAATGAATTGGTAAGTAATGGCTCAATCTTAGTGAGGCAAACTGATATATTTTTTAGATACTTTAAAAAGTTAGTGTATACAAAATCACAGAGTTCATTTTTAACTTTAAAAGTATAAATACTTCAAGAACGAAAAAGAATGCAGTCTTAGATGCTCCTGACGTACCTACTATGCACCAACCATGTTCAATTATTCTTTAAATTTTCTGCAAGGAATATGGAATTATCATAAATTATCAGGCCACCATCTTACCATTCTCCTAATTTCTATCCAAATTGTTAAATCAGAAAGCAGATCACTGAAAACAAATTCAAAAAGAAAACAAATCTAGTAAGGGAAGTATCATAATTGCACAAGAACACTATAGGTAGAAAATGCAAAACTCAAATGAAAGAAAAAAATTGCTTTAAGTAAGAAACTCATTCATTTCCCAAACATTTACTTACAGAAACTGTAAATATAGGACTAATGTGGTACTTAATAACGTTCACCTAACAAAAGAATTTAAGCATAAATTATAAAGAATAATGACCAGATATTCTACATTCAGAAAAAAAAAAAGACTAGTTTCATCTGAAGCAGAAAATCTTTATTACGTTGTATAATAATGATCTTCGCTTAGGACATTTTAAGGCATTAGAATAAGTTACAAAGAGAATTCACAATGGAAAATTGGAAAAAATATAAATTATAGTTTAATATGAGTCATCACGGTTTGCAAATATCTATTCAGCATAGAATTCAAAATGCAATGCTTATAGAAACATTATAATCTTGCATAAGAGATTCAATGCCATCCCCATCAAGCTACCAATGACTTTCTTCACAGAATTGGAAAAAACTACTTTAAAGTTCATATAGAACCAAAAAAGAGCCCACATCACCAAGTCAATCCTAAGCCAAAAGAACAAAGCTGGAGGCATCACACTACCTGACTTCAAACTATACTACAAGGCTACAGTAACCAAAACAGCATGGTACTGGTACCAAAACAGAGATATAGACCAACGGAACAGAACAGAGCCCTCAGAAATAATGCCACATATTTACAACTATCTGATCTTTGACAAACCTGACAAAAACAAGCAATGGGGAAAGGATTCCCTATTTAATAAATGGTGCTGGGAAAACTGGCTAGCCATATGTAGAAAGCTGAAACTGGATCCCTTCCTTACACCTTATACAAAAATCAATTCAAGATGGATTAAAGACTTAAATGTTAGACCTAAAACCATAAAAACCCTAGAAGAAAACCTAAGCAATACCATTCAGGACATAGGCATGGGCAAGGACTTCATGTCTAAAACACCAAAAGCAATGGCAACAAAAGCCAAAATTGACAAATGGGGTCTAATTAAAGAGCTTCTGCACAGCGAAAGAAACTACCATCAGAGTGAACAGGCAATCTACAGAATGGGAGAAAATTTTTGCAATCTACTCATCTGACAAAGGGCTAATATCCAGAATCTACAATGAACTCAAACAAATTTACAAGAAAAAAACAAACAACCCCATCAAAAAGTGAGCAAAGGATATGAACAGACACTTCTCAAGAGAAGACATTTATGCAGCCAAAAAACACATGAAAAAATGCTCATCATCACTGGCCATCAGAGAAATGCAAATCAAAACCACAATGAGATACCATCTCACACCAGTTAGAATGGCAATCATTAAAAAGTCAGGAAACAACAGGTGCTAGAGAGGATGTGGAGAAATAGGAACACTTTTACACTGTTGGTGGGACTGTAAACTAGTTCAACCATTGTGGAAGTCAGTGTGGCGATTCCTCAGGGATCTAGAACTAGAAATACCATTTGACCCAGCCATCCCATTACTGGGTACATACCCAAAGGATTATAAATCATGCTGCTATAAAGACATATGCACACGTATGTTTATAGCAGCACTATTCACAATAGCAAAGACTTGGAACCAACCTAAATGTCCAACAACGATAGACTGGATTAAGAAAATGTGGCACATATACACCATGGAATACTATGCAGCCATAAAAAATGATGAGTTCATGTCCTTTGTAGGGACATGGATGAAACTGGCAACCATCATTCTCAGCAAACTATCGCAAGGACAAAAAACCAAACACTGCATGTTCTCACTTATAGGTGGGAATTGAACAATGAGAACAAATGGACACAGAAAGGGGAACATCACACACCGGGGACTGTTGTGGGGTGGGGGGAGGGGGGAGGGATAGCATTAGGAGATATAACTAATGCTAAATGATGAGTTAATGGGTGCAGCACACCAACATGGCACATGTATACATATGTAACAAACCTGCATGTTATGCACATGTACCCTAAAACTTAAAGTATAATAATAAAATTTTTTAAAAAACCATTAAAAAATAAGAACTTCATAAAAATTATGCATAGCTTAAGAAATGTTGAATATGGAAAGCTCTGTTCTCATGGATGAAAATTTTAAAAGGTAATAAATGGAAAATCCTAAAAATACTTAGTAAAATAAAATTACATTAGAAGTAAAAAAAAAGAATTCTAAATACTCAATATAATCCCTTTTGTAAGTATGAATAAAATATAAATACTATAAGACTTAAAGCTTATGGAATCCTTTCTCTTTACCTTATTAAAAGTCAAGAATCTCTCTGTAGAATAGTTTTAGGTGGCAGAAATGGTTTTCCTACCATTATATTCCTATTATGTGTGCATCTGTTTCACAGTATTTTTTATAAAAATACTCACTGTGATGGCCACAGAGAACCAGCATAGTTGATTGACAAGCATTATGGGTATCTGTGGCTAAGCTAGTAAGCAAAATAAATCCAGACGTGAATAAACCTATTTATTCTTCAGTAAATGAAATAACTCAAAGGTGAAATCTTTAACATTATAATTCACATGCTGCTCAGATGTCTTTCTACTTTGTGTTTTTGCCTTGGTACTGGACTTTATAGTAACATTGCGATTGAATGTGTTTGCATTACAAACGGGGTTATACTAGCTAGCCAAGTGGAGTCAGCCATTCATACATTGTCATTGCATCAATCTTCCAATCAAGCAACAGACAATCTGTCTCCCACTGTTCCAAGAACCATGCTAGATGTCTTATTAGTCTTAACATTCCATTTCTCTCTCTCAGAACTGCATGTGCTCTCCAATTGTGTTATAGTCTCCTATACCTTGTCTTGATTTGCTGTCAGTTGCTTTGCTAGATAATTGAGGAGTTGCATACAGTATTTGGATATCAAATCTGGAAGAGCATGGAAGCCATAGTTTCGTTAAAATGTAAACATGATTAGATTTTTAGCAAATGTGTTTGGAACTACTAATTAGTTAGTTTAATGTTTTAATATCGAATAAAATGAGGTTGGAGCCTTGAGTCAAGAAGATTCTATTTGCCTGATCTAAATCAAATACTTTCTTTGGTTTTCATTTAATAATTCCATTACAACTAACCTCAAATGTCTTGTAGTTACTTTTCTGTAATCATTCTCTATGTGGTCTTAATTTTTTATATCAATAATACTATAATTGGTGGTAAGCTAGTGTGATAACTTCCCTAAATATACATCAGATAATACAAAGACTGTTAGGAAAATGACTATTCCTTTGAAGTATGAGATAATCTTGTTGGCTTATTCATAATTAAATTGCCAGTCAAAAAATAAATTAGTCATGGGCAAGTCTTATTAGTATTAAATAGCAACATAGAGAAAAATATACATGATAGTTCAAATACTTTCTACATTAAAAAATAAAAGGTAAATTATCGTTGTTGACTTAGGTCTCCTCATTCAACTCCCAGCTTAGAGTGCCTAATCTTTAGCTCTTCAAATAATTTGGGATTGCGTTGTATAATCACATATAGAAAGGTCATTGCAAAGTCTTTATTCCTTTACAATATTTACTTGAATTCTGCCCTATGAAAGAGTTATCATCAACTTGGATTTTAAAGAAATGGAAAACATTTTGGAAAGAGTAAGCACAGTATAGGTACTTACTGGGCTAAAGAGGATCATTTAGATATGTTGATGTAATGGACTGCAAACTGAACAGCATTTACTGCTTGCAGCACTTTTCCTTTTACACATGTCATCACCAGCTTGAAATTTTATATAAAAACAAGATTGTTCCATCAAGATCAATTGTTTCTGCATTAAGAAAATAGAAACATTTTAAAAGAAGAATAGAGCAACATAAAAATACTATAATAAGGATTAAAAAACAGAGGAAAAGCAAGATTTGAAATCAGCTTGTCTTACAAAGCAATAACAATGCATACTTACAAAGCTAGAATGATGGTAATTATTTTGAGGGAAAGAATAACCTCTATTTCTGGAGGTGAAAACCATTACAGATTTACATATTAGTTTAGTTTGACCTCTAAGAATCTGTTTTTACAGAGCTGACTTTGTAAATTTACTCAGGTTCATGTATTCCTCATTTACCGTATTTCACAATTATACTTAAAGTTTAAGTATAAATAGAGCTCCAGGGTCAATTCAGGGTGAGATGAAAATCGAGCTAATGAAAATGATTACTTCAGCAGAGTTTAGTTTGTATATTGTTTATTCTTTTCTGAATCAGGAGGTACTGTGGCAGAGTCCTAGTCAGCAAAATTTGGGCTCTGCAATGGTAAAACTTTCCCTTGTATCTTACCACACATTCCAAAGTTTGATTCAAATGGGGCTGAGCTAATTTTCTTAGAAGGCAATTTCTACATGTAAGAAAGCCATATGAATTCAAACATCAGTCTTTGGTTATGTTCACCTTGCCATTAGAAAAATCTATTTGGAGTCTATGTTTCCGCTACAGTGGCATAGCATAATATATTGTCTACTATTCATAAATTAATCATAATTCATGAGATTACATAATCATAGAAAAGAAAATGAAAGTAGAAGAGCTAAAATAATTTATTTCAACAATCTTAAAATTTTATTTGAACTCTGATCCTTATATAAGCCCAAGGATATGATTATTCATTATGGTAAATGTAACAATCACCACTTCACTTCTATAATTCTTGTTCTACAATATCCAATAGCCATTAAACATGACTATGTGACAATATCAAAATATTTTTGCATTGATTATTTAGTCCAACCATTCTGTTTTGTAAAGGAAGGACCTGAAAACCAGAAGAACTGATTTTCCTAGTGTCACACATGTAATCCTGATGTTAAAATATGATAAGAACCTGTGTCTCTTGATTTCTAGATGAAAATTCATTTCCCTGTTGTCTCTCAACAGTGTTTTGAGTTCTTAGTATGCTTGTAGATTTGACATTTGAATTTTTCGCCGGGTAACACAAATAAGAAATTCTTTAAAAACAATAAAGTGAATTCTTGGTCTTCGAGCTAATTAAGTCTATGACAGATAGCCAGATAGCCAGATAGTTGATCAGAAAAAAACATCTGTAAGGCTAACATTGCTCGAAAATATAATGTTTGATTGAAGGCCCATTAGGTTTTGTGCCTGTGATTTCACTTCATAGTTAAAAATGTTATTTGATAATAATTGATAAACTACAAAAATATATCTGTGTATAATTTTCCCAAATTTTATATTTTCTCATATAATTCATATGCAAACATATTCTTAGAAATTTTAAAACAAAATAGTAAATAAATGTATAGGATGTTCCTCTGTGCCAGAAAATTTAAAAATATATATTAGCCATATATCCAAAAGCTGCCCCAGTGACAACAGAATTCCCTTTTCTTTTCAAATTAGAAGCACAACAGCACCAATAACATAGTGAAGAAGTACAGCCCCGGCAAGCCAGAGGCTGTAACTTTACTATTGGTTCTGTGATACTCCAGAAGTAATTCCCCACGTCTTTCTGGATTTTTTTCTGTATTTTCGTACAATTGTGACTTGTTGCTGAAATAAGGGAGCAATAGGGCAAACAATACTGCTCTGTTACCCCATCAGATACATATTGCCATACTGTTTACCCCAGACTAGAAAAAAATATGAAAACAGAAAGCTGAATATACATTGTTTAGAAGTTCTAACTTATAAATATATTGAGTGTATATATAGTACATATGTATATATACACTATATATATACATGTTTATATATGTATATATATACACACACATATATATAAACATATAAAAAGAGATATTGCAGACAAGAAGTGCAATGAAGCCTGAAAATTTCCTAGGCTCGGGGTTAAAAAGGTGAATGTCAATTAAATCAATAGATTTTGGCATTATTTTATTTGGAAGAGATCAATGCCTCTTCAAAACAGATATGTTCTATATGGAAATAGTGTTAACTCTGTTTAGATAAATACTAGTATTTGTAGCACCTGGACATAAAAAAAAATTTTTACTATCCAACAAAGTTTTGGGGCTCACAGCTCATGGCTTCCCAGGGCAGGTACTTCTTTCTTATACTATACATTTTCAACATCGTCACCCCAAAATAATCATCACTTGAAATTTTCTGAAAGTAGAAAGAAAGGCTTTTATAACTACTATACTCCAAATGAATATCTATGATTTTTATAGGATCTGTCTATAGTCACAGATTGATTTTTTGCCCCAAAATTCAAAAATCTCTGAACAGTGATGCCTAGAGACAAGTCTTTTTGGCATGATAATTTTTAAGAATAATATAATACCTGTTGAAAGTAGTAAGGCAAGACTTTATTATATATACTGTCTGGAAAGGGTAAGGGGATAGCGAGAGTTTGGTTAATAAATGTAAAATTACAGCTAGATTGGAGGAATAAGTTCTAGCATTTGATAGCACTGTAGAGTGACTATAGTTAACAGTAACTTAGTGTATATTTTCAAATAGCTAGAAAAGAGGATTTTGATTTTTTTCAACATAAAGAAATAATAAATGTTTGAGGTAATGGATATACTAATTACCTTGGTTTGATCATTACACATTGTATACATATATTGAAATATCACACTGTAACCCATTAATATGTATGATTATGTGGCAATTAAACATGTTTAAGATGTTCAACACTTTATGAATCAAATGAGATAGAGCGGTTTCACATATTGGCAAGGAAAAACACAGCCAAGCACAAATCCATAACTGAAGGTAAGCAAAGTGGTTTGAGGCAAGTCTATAAAGCATTGCATGGTAATACACCGATTCTCTAGGCTGGATGTTTGTTCTTTTTTTCAATGCCACCTTTAATATCCACTTTTTTGTTTTTCTTTTCATCCTTTCCCATTCACTAGAACAAGTTGCCTTCATGCACTGGTTATAAAAGTTCCTTATTTCTATATATCTTTCCAGGTTCACACAATGCCTGCTATAAGGTCATAAATCTTCCCTCAACGAATAAAATCATTTGGATAAAACTGGATCTGGTGGATATAAATGGGTAAGAATAATGAGATCATTCAACAAATGGCCTTGATATAAGACCATTTCAAATGGAGATAAATAACTTTTCCAATATGCCAATATTCCAGTTCTCCAATAAAGACATTTCTGAATACCAGCAATAGTACATTATAATGAAAAAAAATCTTGGCCATAATTCTACATAAATACAAAATAGAAGAACATTATGTAAGGCCTGAATGAAGAAAATAAAAATTTATTAATATAAAAACCTTGAGTCAATGAAGAAGCAAATCGTGTTTGTGAATGATATGGCCTGAAGGTCTAAACATTTCAGTTTTTCTAATATTTATGTAATTCATTTAACTACAGTAATAATCTTTTTTTTTTTTTCTTTTTTTTTTGAGACGGAGTCTCACTCTGTCACCCAGGCTGGAGTGCAGTGATGCGATCTCGGCTCACTGCAAGCTTCGCCTCCCGGGTTCATGACATTCTTCTGCCTCAGCCTCCCGAGTAGCTGGGCCTACAGGCACCCGCCACCACGCCCGGCTAATTTTTTGTATTTTTAATAGAGACGGGGTTTCACCGTGTTAGCGAGGATGGTCTCAATCTCCTGACCTCGTGATCTGCCCGCCTCGGCCTCCAGAAGTGCTGGGATTACAAGTGTGAACCACCGCGCCTGGCCTTACAATAATAATTTAAAGATGTCCCTTTTGAAAATTTAAAAACACAAGTACTTCTGAAATTATTGCTGAATAAGAAAGAGGCAAAAATAACTAAATAGTTTTGAATAGAAGAGTAAAAATTAAAATTTTCTGTAGATATTAAAATATATTCAACTACTGTCATAGTTAAAGGAGAGTGGAACTGATGAGAATTAGCAGGCAGAATAAAACAAACAAAAAGAGTAAACAGAAACACTGTTATCCTTATCTTGAAGTTAACGTGAGCTATAGTCCTAAGAATTTAGGAATATGAATGTTGCTCTCAGAGACTGAATTGTGAAATCAACACATTAATGCATTATGCATTAAAAATCACCGTAAAGAAATCATATAATTGTGTACATTTTAAAGCATCAGTAGCCTAATTTTAAAAAATCATTTTTAAAACTAACTCAGCAAGTCATACTCTCCCCAGCAATCTTCATTTGTTATTCTAAACTATGTGCCACTCTGCCTTATAGAAACAGTATGCACCGATCCCAGACACTGAGTGTGTGGTCATCATGGCGGTATTGATTCTCATTGTAAATTAATCCGTTGCCTTAGATACATCATTGCTAAGAGAAAAACCTATTTTTTTTAACTTTTATTTTAAGTTCAGGGATACAAAGGCAGGCTAGTCACACAGGTAAACATGTGTCATGGGGGTTTGTTGTATAGATTATTTCATCACCCAGGTGTTAAGCCTACCATCCATTAGTTATTTTTCCTGATCCTCTTCCACTTCCCAGTTTCTAGCTTCCACCTTCCAATAGGCCCTAGTGTTTGCTGTTCCCCTCTATGTGTGCATGTGTTCTCATCATTTAGCTCCCCCTTATAATTGAGAACATGTGGTATTTGGTTTTCTGTTCCTGCATTAGTTTGCTAAGGATTATGGCCTCCAGCTCTATCCATGTACCTAAATAGACATAATATCATTCTTTTTTATGGCTGCATAGTATTTCATGACATATATATATACTGCATTTATTTATCCAGTCTATAATTGATGGGCATTTAGTTGATTCTATGTCTTTGCTACTGTGACTAGTGTTGCAATGAACACACACATGCATGTGTCTCTATAACAGAATGATTGATATTCCTTACAACCTATGTACATTATTTTTATTTTAAAAATAAAGTCTTAATTTAAAATATGACAATACACTGAATTCAATTTTTATCTTATTTTTTATATCTAATTGATTATAAGACTTTTAATGTCTTTATGCACATCTACATTTGTAAAATGAAAATACCTAAGGTTAAATTATTAAAATGCAGGGGAGATATTTAAAAAATTATTTAAGTATTTAAGGAAAAGGTCATGCATTGTATCTTCTACAGAGTCTGGTAAGTAGTTTTTATTCTATGAGTTGTGTGGGGTTTTTTTGGTACACTACATGAAATATAACTTATGATCATTGATATCATGAGACTTCGAAACGAATGTTTTAAGTAACTGTGGATAATATCTTTATGTAGAGCTTTGACAATCTAAAAATGGTGTGAAAATGTTGAAGTAAAAAAATTGCAAAAAATATGTTAAGGCCTTAGTATTTAATTTGGATTGATAGAGTATACTTATAATTAAGTATCAATTTTTTGTTAAAAATAATTGTGCTAAAATTTATAAAATTAAATATATTTCTATATAATATATGGACTATAAAAATAATCAAAGTTTAGTAAAAATTCAGAATTGAAAAATTTAAAAGGACTGATTAACAAATCAATTTTTAGATTACCTAATACCATGACTGATACACAGTAAATATTTATTAAATGTTAATTTAAAAATAAAAATAATGACTAGTATTTACTAAATGCCCATTCTATGCCTAGAACTGATAATTATAACACATGTATTATCTTATTGTCCCAACACAAATTTAGGAATTAGCAATATGGACCAATAATCCCTGCCTAGGCTACCATCTAGTAGTGATCAATTTAACTTTTAATCAGAATTGTCACACTGGCACTCCAAGAAAGCTTTGCAAATTCTGTTACAGAGACAAAGTTATATTGCTTAATGCTTATTTAGAAAATAGCATGAAATCCTAAATTTTAATGGCATTTTAAACTATTTCTGCACATTTTAATATTTTCTCTTTTGAGAAGTTGTGTTAATGAATCTGACCACTATGAAAATATATCCACTGGGCGGGGTGGCTCACGCCTGTAATCCCAGCACTTTGGGAGGCCAAGGCGGGTGGATCACAAGGTCAGGAGTTCGAGACCAGCTTGGCCACTATGGTGAATCCCCGTCTCTACTAAAAATACAAAAAGTAGCCAGGCGTGGTGGCAGACGCCTGTAGTCCCAGCTACTAAGGAGGCTGAGGCAGGAGAGTTGCTTGAACCGGGGAGGCAGAGGTTGCAGTGAGACGTCAAGCCTGGGAGACAGAGCGAGATTCTGTCTCAAAAAAAAAAAGAAAAGAAAATATGTCAAATTTTGTGGACAATGAGGAAAGTAATTTGAAAATGTTGCTTGCTATTTTTGAAAGAAAATATTATTTTTATTAAAGTATTATGTAATTATCACCTAGAATTAAACATGGTTCAATTCAATGGTCATTATATTACAGAAGATTGAAATAATTTTCTTTTATAGATAGGTGAGAGTAAAAAGAAGGGAAAAATTTGAAATACCTATTCAGATAAATAAGCAAAAAAAGAAGTTAAAACTGCCTGTTTACACAGAAAACTCTCAGTGTTCTCAAACCATGATTCCTGAGTGCAAACCTGTTGGTATTTGGAAGTTTGGGCAACACACATACAACTTGTTTATAAATGGTTTCTATAGCACAACCCACATACCATCCAAAACCTCCATGCACTTGGAATTGAGGAAGAGATCTCATGAGACTTCACACTCAATTACAGAGTACTCTGAAGGGTGCATTTATGCTGGTTTTCTCTATTAATTATAGCAAGTGTCACCATGGACAGCTTACAGCAGTTAATTGAATTTGACAGGTGAACTTGAGAGCCCTTTTCACTGAATGCAGTAGGGAGTTGGGAAAGGAAAAGGGCTACCCAAAACGGAAACAGAAGACTCTGAAATAACAAAATAGTAATGAAATCAGCATTAGGTAGTTTGGGAATCTTTATTTCCAAAAAGAGAGAATGATCAGACAATCAGTGAGATGCCATTTCATTATTTTTATATTCTATTAGACTGTCCTATTTGCTTCTATTTTATACATTTCTGTACTGAGATGTATAATTTTAGAGACTTTGATGTTATTTTACTAACTGCACAAAATTAAAATATATTGCTCTTCCATCCTTCCTATTGGACACATCCAAAAGCCATAGGCACGCAATTTTAAGTTCAAAATTAATTTCATTTTTTTACTCACCTCACTTTAAAATTGTCTCCTGCTTCTGTATTCCTGATGCTTGTCAAAACATTAAAAAAGAACAATCGATCTAATTACAAATCTCATCTTTGACATGGTTTTCTTTCACGAGCCTTTCACTAACACTATTCAGTAATTCCCATTGCTTCTATTGCTAAGTATCTCTAGAATCCATTCTAAACTCATTGCCATTTCTCTAATTCAGACCCTCATTATATTAGCTTATTTAATAATAATGTATTTTTCTGAAATCCTCTCATTCTATATTCCTGTTTTCATTTTCATATCCTCTGTGTGTTCCTGCCTTGAGTCCATCCTTTATAACATTCTTAATGTGAATTATTTTCTAAAATGCAAATTTGATTATGTTATTTCTATCTCTAGGAAAGTGATAGACAAATCATTATATTCAGTTTAATTAATTAAATTTGAAATTTAAATAGATACATATAGGTACATATAAGCTACTGTATTGAACAGTACAGTTCAAGGAGGATCCTCTAAAAATGCAAAATAAAATATAAACATTAAACTTGAATCTTAAAAGAAGCATTCCACTTACCCAAGGTAAAGCAGAAAAAGAGAAACAGAGGAATGCAAAGTATACAGAGATAAATACTAAACAAATAACAGAATGGTGGAAACAAATCCAACAATATCAACAACTATATTTAATGTAAATGGGCTAAACATGCTACTAAATATTAGATGTTTTGAGACCGGATTTTTAAAAAAGAGCTCAACAGTTATATGGTGACTATAATCCATGTACTTTAAAGATAAAGTCTTAGGTGGAAAGTAAAATGATGAATAAAAGATATATAATGTAAACAATAATCACATGAAAGCTGGACTGTTTCAACAAAAACAAGTGAATTTTCAAGACAGGAAGATAATTAGAGATAAAGAAAACAATTTTATAAAGAGTAATTTTAAAAAAAGAAGACACAATAACCATAAATGTGCATACTCCCAATAGCAATAGCAAAGCTTCAAAATACGTTGAGAACACCAACAGAACTGATACGATACATAGACAATCTGTGGTCATACCTAGATATTTTAATACCCATATTTTAGTAATTAATAGAATAGAAAATAAAATTAATAAGTTTATAGTTTTGAATAATACCATCACACACCTTGGCCTAATAAATATTTTAAATTTTTTTAAATAAATATTTTTAAAGTGACACATAATTGTGAATATTGATGGGGTACAATGTGATATTTTGATACATGTATACAATGAGTAATGATCAAATTAGGGTAATTAGCATAACTGTCACCTCAAAACTTTGTGTTGGGAACATCCAAAATCCTCTCTTCTAGCTATTTGAAAAAATAAAATAATTATTGTGTACTATATTCACTCTACAGTGCTATAGAACACTTGAACTATTCCTCCAACTTAGCTATAATTTTGTATCCATAACCTTCCTAAACACTCTTCTCAGCCACTAGTAACCACTATTCTGCTCTCTACTTCTATGAGATCAACTTTTAAGTTTCTACGTAGGACTGAGAACATGTGGTATTGATCTTTCCATGCTTGACTTATTTCACTGAACATAATGTTCTCCAGGCCCATCCATGTTGCTGCAAATGACAAGACTTCATGCTTTTTATGGCTGAATGGTATATATGCCACATTTTTTAATCCATTCATGTGTTGATGAACACTAGGTTGACTGCATATCTTGGCTATTGTGGATAGTGCTGTAATAAACATGGGAGTGCAGATATCTCTTTGACAAACAAATTTCTTTTCCTTGGCATATATACCCAATAATAGGATTGGAGGATCATATGGCAATTCTATTTTTATCTTTTTGAGGAACATCCATACAAATTTGTATTCCCATCTATCATGTATAAGAGTTCCTTTTTCTCTGCATCGTCATCACCATTTTTTTAAACTAATAGCCATTCTAACCAGAGTGAGATGATATCTCATTGTGGTTTTGGTTTGTTTTCTTTCAATAATTAGTGATGTTAAACATGTTTTCATGTAGTTGGCCATTTGTATGTTTTCCTCTGAGAAACGTCTACTGAGATCATTTGAACGTTTTTGATCAATTTTTATTTTTACTTTTTTGCTGTTGAGTTGTTTGAGTTACCTATATGGGATATTAATCAATTATTAGATGAATAGTTGCAAATATTTTCTCCCATCCTTCAGGTTGTCTCTTAGCTCTATTGATTGTTTCTTTTGTTCTGTAGAACATTTTTAATTTGATATAATCCCACTATTTTTGCTTTTGTTACCTGTGGTTTTGAGGTCTTAACCATAAAATCCTTGCTAAGATCAATATTTTAAAGCAGTTCACTTATGTTTTATTCTAGTAGTTCCATAGTTTCCAAGTCTTTCTTTTAGGTATTTAATTTATTTTGAATTGGTTTTGTGTATGGTAAGAAATGGAGGAATAGATTTGTTCTTCTGCATATGGATATCCAGGTTTCCCAACACCATTTATCCAAGAGACTGTCCTTTCCCCAATGTTTTTGGCACCTTTATTGAATAGCAGCTGGCTATAAAATGTGGAAGTGTTTCTGGGTTCTCTATTCTGTTCCATTGGTCTACACTTCTGTTTTCATGCCAATGTCATGCTGTTTTGACTACTATAGCTTTGTAGCATAATTTGAAGTCAGGTAATGTGATGCCTCTAACTATGTTTTTTTTTTTTTTTTTTTTTTTTTTTTTTTTTTTTTCTCAATATTGCTTTGGCTACTTAGGGTATTTTCTGGTTCCATATAAATTTTAGGATTTTTTTTTTCTATTTCAGTGAAGAATATCTTTGGTATTTTTACAGGGATTGCATTGAATCTGTAGATCATCTTGGGTAGTATGGTCATTTTAACAAAATTTATTCTTCCAATCCATAAACATAGGATATCTTTCTATTTTTGTGTGTGTGCGCTCTTCAACTTTTAAAATCAATATTTTAGAGTTTTCATTGTAGAGATCTCTCATCTCCTTGGAAAATTTCTTCCTACATTTTTTATTTATTTTGTTGCTATTATAAATGGCATTGCTTTCCTGATACTTTTGTCCACTGGTTCATTGTTGGTATATAGAAATGGTACTGATTTTTATACATTGATTTCACATCCTGCAAATTTACTGAATTCATTTGTTGGACCCAAGAGATTTTTGATGGCTCCTTTAGATTTTTCTATTATATGATCATGTCATCTGCAAACAGAGACAATTTACTTTCTTTTTTCCAATTTCAATATGTTCTATTTCTTTCTCTTTCCTGATTGCTCTGGTTGGGACTTTCAGTATTATGTTGAATAAGAGTTGTAAAAGTGGTCATCCTTGTTTTGTTCTAGTTCTTAGAGCAAAAGCTTTCAACTTTTCCCCATTCATTATGATGTTGGCTGTGAACTTGTCATACATGGCCTTTATTGCATTTAGGTATGTTTCTTCTAAAGCTAATTTGTTGAGTGTTTTTATCATCAAGAAATGCTGAATTTTATCAAATGGTTTTTCTGCATCTATTGAAAGGATTACATGATTTTTATTCCTTATTCTGTTGGTATGATATATCACATTATTGATTCATGTATACTGGATCATTCTTGCATCCCTAGGAAAGTCCAACTTGATCATGGTGTATAATCTTTTTTATGTGCTTATGGATTTACTTTGTTGGTATTTTCTTGAGGATATTTGCACCCTATATTCATCAGAAATACTGACCTCTAGGTTTTTTCTCATTGTTATTGTTGTTGCTATTGGAGTGTCCTTTCCTGGTTTTGGTATAGGGATAATGCTTGTCACATAGAATGAGTTAGGAAGAATTCTCCATCCTTCAATATTTTGAAATAATTTCAAAAATATTATTAATTTTTCTCTAAATGTTAGGTAGAATTTGCCAATAATGTCATCTTGTCCCAGGCTTTTCTTTGTTAGAATGCTCTTTTCTTTTTTACTGATTCAATCTTATTAGTCATTACCGGTCTGTTCAAGTTGTCTATTTCCTCCAGGTTCAATCTTGGTAGGATGTATGTGTCCAGAAATTTATAAATTCCATCTAGGTTTTCCATTTTTATTTAGCATATAGTTGTTCATAATCATCTGTAATGATCCCTTGCAGTTCTGTGGTATCTGCTGTAACGTCTCATATTTCATTTTAGGTTTTATTTATTTGGTTTTTCTTTCTTTATTCTTTCCTTAGGTAGTCTAATAGCTTGTTGATTTTATTTATCTTTTCAAAAGACAAATTTATTTGATTATATTATTTTTGTCTTTATGTTACTTATTTCAGCTCTTTTATTATTTATTTCCTTTTACTAATTTGCAGTTGGGTTTGTTTTCACTTTTCTAGTGTATTGAGTTGCATCGTCAGGTTGTTTAAAACCTCTCTAAATTTTTGATGTAGGTCCTTATTGGTATAAACCTCACTCTTAATACTACTTTTGTTGTATTCCATAGGTTTTAGCATGTTGTATTTCTGTTTTTATTTGTTTCAATAAATTTATTTACTTCCTTAATAATTTCTTCCTTGACACATTGTTGTTTAGGAGAGGTTGTTTAATTTTTATGTATTTGTGCAGTATTCAAAGTTTTTGTTATTGATTTCTAGGTTTATTTTATTATGGTCCCAAAAATACTTGATATATTTTAATTTTTCTTAAATTTATTAATACTTTATTTTTTTGGGCTAGTATGTGGTTTATCCTGAGAGACGTTCCAGGCACCAATGAGAAGAATGTGTATTCTGCTATTGCTGGATGGAATGTTCTGTACATGTTTTTTAGGTCCTTTTTTTATACTGCAGATTAAATCTTATGTTTTTTGTTGGTTTTCTGCCTAGATGATCTGTCGAATCCTGAGAGAAATCTTCTGTGAGAAGATTCTTCTAATGGGCACACCCGCGTATGCAACTTGATGCTATTCTTTAAGATTTTTAGAATTCCCTGTCTTTGACTTTTCAGTTTGACTGTAATGTGCCTCAGAAAGGATCATTTTAGTTTGAAACTATATGGAATCTTTGGCTTCCTGAATTTAGTTGTCCATATGTCTTCCAAGACTTGTGAAGTTTTCAGATATTATATCATTAAATAGGTTTTCCAAGCCTTTTCCCATCTCTTGTCTTGAAACTCTCTTAATTAAAAAACTTTTTCACTTAATGGTGTCCCATAGTCCAACAGACTTTCTTTATTCTATTGTATTCTTTTTTATATATGACTGGATTATTTTAAAGAATTTTATTCATTGAGTTCTTCAGCTTCAAGATTTCAGTTTGGTTCTTTTTTAATATCTATCTCATTTTGAATTGTTAATTCAGATGATAAGTTGTTTTCCAGAATTTGTTAAATTGTTCATCTGCATACTCTTATATTTTTCTGAGTTTTCTTAATACTATTATTTTGAATTCCTTTTCAGGCAATTCATAAATTTCCATTTCTTCCCAAAGAAGAACTGGTATAATTCTCAGTTAACAGAGAATTATTGTGCTTCTTTAGTGGTGTCATGCTTCCTTGCATTTTTATGTTTCTTGTATCCATATATTTGGCAGAATAGTCATATCTTCCAATTTTGTAGAGTAGTTTTTGTGGGAAAAGACTTTTACCTGCAGATGTGTCCTAGATTGTTGGTTGGGTAGGGTAAAACCAATGGTTGACTTCATTTTGGGTCAGTGCCATAGTGCAGTTTTGTGCTGTTTCTTCAGCTATAGTTACTGTCAGTGATACATGTGCATGCTTCAGTAGCTTAGGCTGCAGAGGTTTGTGTGGCTGATCCATCTATTTTGGTTATACTCTTCTGGGGGTGGAGTGCAGTCCAGCCCATACTTCAGGGAAGCATGAGGCTGGTCAGCTTGTTGCTTGGCTAAGGTTCTCCCCCTGTGGTAAGTGGGCACCAGGCTTTTACATGGTTAGTGGAATCATGAGTTGGTTACTTGGTAGCTTGTCTTGGGTGCTCTAATAGACATATAGAGTACTTCATCAAACATTAAGAATACACATTTTTTTCAAGTGCATATGAAAATGTTAATGAAGATAGAGCCATAAAATGTTTCTGAACCATTTCAAAACACTGAAATATTATAGTACATATTTTCTTGCCACAGTAAAATTAAATTAAAAATAAATTACTACATCTATGGACACAAAATTTACTAAACATAAAATAAAATTAATGACAGAATTTATACAAAATAAAAGGAACTCATTAAAAGATACAGTTAAAAAATGAAGTCACAAATTCATAGAAATTTATTTGTGAGACACATCTGATAAAAGGTGAATCAAGAATAAAGTTATTATAAATGTATAAAAATAAAAAATAAAAACAGGCAAAACGTTTGAACAAGTATTCCATAAGGATGATATACAAATCATCATAAATAAACACACTTTATGGTCATTAGATATGAAATCTTCTCCATATCATTACATTATTACTAGTTAGGAAAATATAATTTAAAATCACAGTGAGATACTAGAACATCTAAAATGACTAACATAAAAAAAGAGCACTAAATGTTGGCAAGGATGTGGAAGAACATCTCTTACATTACTAATAGCATTGCACATCATACAATCAATTTGAAAAAGAGTTTTCAATTTCTAATAAACTAAGACCCAGCAATATGACTGCTCAGTATTTATCCAAAGAAACTAAAATGTATATATTCACAAAAAAGTGTATAAAATGTTTGTATACTTTTTTCAAAACAGAATAAAACTGGAATCAGTGTAATTATTTACCAACCAGAGATAGATAAACTAACATTTTAGTCATACAGTTAAATACCAATAATATATATAAATTAATAAATAAAAATGCATTACTGATACATGCAGCATTTACACCATGGAAAGACTCAAAAATATTTTGTTGAATAAAGAAAGCTAGACACTAAAAACAGATATGAACCCATTTATATAAAGTTTGAGTGGAGGCTAACCTAATCTGTTGTGATATAATTTAAAAGAGTGGTTTCTGTGGTTGTTGGAAAGGAGACACAAGAGAACTTTCTGAGGTAATGGAATTATTTTATGCCTTGATTTTGATGGTGTTTGAGTACATACATATATTAAAACTCAATATTTTATGCATTTAATTCTATGTAGATTTTATCTCGATCCCAAAATATCGAATTTTTAACACCCTGATATTAAAGATAAAATTGTAATTAGCCCATAAAAATTTTCACATTTACTTGGAATAAAAGAAAGAAATGCAAAATCCAAAGAAATATATCATTTATACCTACTTAATAGACTAATTTACATTAAATTAGTGGAATATTAAATTTATATACTCCTTATGAAAAACATGTACCCTGATTCAGTAATTCAACCTTTACAAATAATAAATTATTCAGGAAAATTTTGATATCATGTATATCAATGTGGCATTTTTTATAATAGTAAATTGTAAGCAACTGACATTTCCCAAAATAGAATAACTGCATTGATTAAATAGGTGGCAAACCATTTGTCTAGTCTTTAAAGACTAGGTTTTTTAAAAGTATATTTTATTATTATGAAAAAATATTCCTAGTACAATGTAAAAGAGAAAAAAGTTCATAGTTTAAAAATATATTCAGTAATGTTGCTACTTTAAAAAATACACATTCAGATATGTTACAAATAAAAAGCAACTGTAGCAACACATTCGTCATGTCTCTTGGATAATAGAATTACAGTGAATTTTATATAATTTTCTATATACTTTTGTGTTTTGTGATTTTTTCAATATATTATCTTTATAAATGCTTATATGTATAGACTATCTTAAATTATTACATTTTAAAAAGGCTTTAGTTTACTATCTCTTGCTGAGATTCTCTTTAGAGCAAATACTCTTTAGAAATTTGTCACTGACCATTTTTTAGGCAACCTGTTGTGATAATACATTGCATTAGAGTTTCCTGGCAGTTAGAAAGATACATATGGGTATGTGTGTACATATATATATGTGTGTGTGTGTGTGTGTGTGTGTGTGTGTGATGAGATATATATACAGATAGATAGATATGATTAAGAAAGGCCTACTAAGATTTAAGAAAAAAGTGTCAAACGAAAAAGAATTAAATTAAAACCAAAAGGCCTATGAGTAAGTAACATATTTTGGATATTAGCCCTTTATCAAATATATGTTTTGAAAATATTTTATCCCATTCCTTGGACTGCCTGTTGTTGATTGCTTCCTTTGCTGTGCAGATGCTTTTCATTTTCAATCCCCTTCTTTTATTTTTGCTTTTAATATTCAAAATATATAAAGAACTCATACAGCTCAATAACAACAACAACAAGAAAACACATAAACAAAAAACTCAAATAACCTGATTTTAAACGGGCAAATGACCTAAATAGACATCTTTTCAACAAAGTCATTAAAATGGCCAACAAGTATATGAAAAAGGGCTAACATCACTATTGGGAAATGCAAATCTAAACCACAATGAGATGTTGCCTCTATCTATCTATTATCTATTAGAAATCTATTATCTAGCTATTATTGAAAAGACAAGAAAACAAATGTTAAGGACGTGGAGAAAAGGGAACCCTCACACACCATTGCTGGAAATGTAAATTGGTAAAGTCATTGTGTAAAACATTATGGAGGTACCTAAAAGTTAAAAATAGAACTACCACATCTAGCAATTCCAATTTTGAATACATATTCAAAGGACATGAAATCAGTATCTCAAAGACATATTTGCACCCCTAATTTGTTGTAGCATTATTCACAATAGCTAAGACTGGGAACAACCTAAGTGTCTGCCAATGAATAAATGGAAAAAGAAAATGTGGTGTGTATATACAGTGGAATATTATTAAACTATAAAAAGAAGGAAATCCTGCCATTTGCAACAATCTGGATCATTATACTAAGTAAAATGAGCCAGCCACAAAAAGATACTCTATGACCTTACTTGTACGTGAAAACTAAAAAAATTAAACTTATAGAATCAGAATAGAATGGTGTTTGTCAGAGGCTGGGGGTTAGGGAAAATGGGGAGCTACTGGTCAAAAGGGTACAAAAATTCAGTTATAAGATGAATAAAATATAATATTCTAATGTATAGCATGGTGACTTTAGCTAATAATAATGTATTCTTTATTTGAAATTTCTGCGATAGTAAATCTTTGGGAAAGATCCTTGCTATACACACTCAGACAGACACACACACAAGGGTAATTGTGTGATTATATATGTTAATTAATTTAATTGTGGTAATCACTTCAGAGTGTATACATATATCAACTCACGTTGTATAACTTGAATATATACAATTTTTATTTGTCAGTTATAGCTCAATAAAACTGGAAAATAGTCAAATGTCTATGTTGATACATAAAGCAATAAGCATTCAGTGAAAAATTTTTCTAACAGTTACTTATAATTTAAGTTTTCCTATTATGAAGTTGGCCTCCTTTTGACATCTGAATATTCTGTGCACAGATATAAAATATTTTATTTTTAATGCAGATTTTAGTATTGTATTCAAGAGCAATTATTTATGACAAATAACCTCCAGTCATTATTTAGAATTTTTCTTCTACTCACAGTAACATTTCTAGGTAGAGCACAGAAAATAGTTGACCTTGAGTTGGTCTTTCCATTAGTGAATTAGTTACTTAGCATTTATTCCATTTGAACTGACAGCAAGAACCTTTTTTTGGGAATTATAAGAAAACTATTTTTTAAAAAACTTTCTATAACATATGCAGGATCCATAAAACTTATTGACTGCCATGTAGACCAAATATTTATATGATGTTCTATGAAAGGAACGTGAAGAGGCAGATATTACTTATTTGTTATGAACTGCAGATGGAGAGTGTTGCAAATGAGAAGAATTAGATGTAGAAATTGTATAAACAAATAATAGTTTAAATTTAATGATCTTGGTAAAGATGTTATATAATCTTAGTAATCTATGGTATTTAATAGAATTATTTGCATTAATATGGATGTGTTTTCAAATGTAAAACCTCAGTATTAACTGATTTAAAAAATAAGTGAACTTATAAATGAGAAATCCTAAGACACATTTTCAATATAAAATTATCCGTTAGTGAAAAGAGATGAAGACAATGGATCACTAGTGCTATAATACAACAGCTAATTTAATAGGGAAAAAAGCAATCCATATGAATTTATTTTATTTAATATAAACTGGAAGATGTCATTTGTATTCTTTTATGTCAAATTTTTATGGCAGATTGCATATACTGAAATTGTTTTTACTAAAAAGTTCTGATGAAATATATCATCTATTTTATTTTATTAGCACATGACTGAGCTAGTAAAGAAATAAATAGACATTTCCAAGGTCAGAAGTAAAAAAATTTCTAAGTCTGAGGCTACCAAGGAGCTTCAGCCAATCCCCAGCACTTCTGTATTAATGACTTCACACAGCACAGAAGGTAAATACTAGGCTTTGAACAGCATGGGAAATTTGAACAAAACCTCACATACAAGCTCTGGTAGATTTCATGTTGAACCTAAAATTCATACATTAAGCCATAATATTTAAACAAGTTATTCATGGGGATAAATGTGCTCCAAATGAAGCAGGACATTTAAAAAACTTAATACTCTTCTCACATCTAAGTTCAGCACAAGTTAAAATGGAAGAAACATGGCTGGAAATACAGTTTACCAAAATTGACCCATAGCCATTAAAAGTTCAGAGAGGTAAACTTTCAGAGGAGAGGTAAATTATTATTAAATAGTATCTCTCTCTCTTGCATACACACACACACACACACACACACATGCACACACACACAATTCACCAATTTACCAGGTCCAGATGTTTTTACAATATCAAACTTCAAACACCACTGAATCCCAATGTTATATAAATTGTTCCAGAAAATAAAAATGGTGAAAAACTTGAAATTTACATATTAAACCTCAAATTTACATTTAAAATGTAGCATTGATACCCATACTTGATAAATTTTACAAAAAATGATACAAGAAAATGGAAAGAAAGCTAACCTATCTCACTTACAAATATCAGTGTAAAAACCCTAAATAAAATATCAGCACATATATTAGAGCAGTACATTGAGAATTTCTTACAGAAAAACCATCTAGGATTTTACCCTAGGAATACAAGAGTGAAAGGACAATTCTATATTATGATATAAATTAACATATTTCATCATATTCATTGATATAAAGACAATCATAAAATGCAACTCTCATCCTTGATTGAAAAAAAGAATAAAAATAGGAATTCATAGATACTTTACATGTGTGTCTATTCAATTTATCCAATACAATTAGAAAAGAGACAAGAATTTGAGGCAGAAATTAGGAAAAGATAAAACTATCCCTATTTCCACAAGAACTAATAATATACCTGAAAAATATTTGATAATCATAGAACTAACTCAAGGCAAATAATTCCCAAAGTAACCAAATATACAATTAGCATAGTAGCCTTCATATACTCAAACAAAAACTAGTTAGGAGATAAGACAGAAGGGAAAACTCTTCTAACACTAGCAGTATTCCAAAAATAAAAGAAAGAAAAAAAAACATTTAGGAATAAAATTAGAAAAAAAAGGTCAAAATCTATATAAGAAAAGCCATAAAAAACTCAAATCATATAAAAATAGCTTTAAGCAACTGAAAATGCATTCTTTGGATGAAATGCATTGTCATGTTGTGAGGTTAGAAAACAGTCCACAAGATCACTCTAATTCAGACACCAACTGAAGAGTTAGGGGTCCTCAAGACCACCCTTACTTCGCACATCAGTTGCAAGTATTGGGGTACTCAAGACTACCTTCAGCTTTGATAATTGAATAGAAGGACTCACAAAACTCACAGAAAGCTGTCAATACTCATAGTTATCATTTATTACAGTGAAAGGGCATGCACTGAAATCAGCTAAGGGAAGAGACCCACAAAGCAGAGTCCAGGAAAGCTCCAAATACAGAATTTTCAGTTGTCCTTTTCCAGTAAAGTCATGTATAACATTAACACTATGTTACAATAGGCATTAAATATTGACAGCCAAGGAAATTCACCGGAGTCTTGGTGTCCATAATTTTTATTGAAGGTTGACCTCAGTCTCTATCCCCTCTGCAGTTCAACCTGATATTGCATGACCCAATGCCGCCACCCTAAGTCATGTCCTAGAATTTGAAGGCAAAGGTCAGACCTCTTTTTGGACAAGGTTAAATTGTTTACTATGGAAACATATATGTTAATTTTTTCTAAGTTAATTTATATATTTTGATATAATGCCAATAAAATATCAACATTCTTTATCTGAGATTAGGGAACAGTCAGTTCTAAATTATATATGAAAAATGGACATTCGATAAATTCTAGAAAAACTATCAAAAGTGAAAGCAATGAGGACAGTTGACCCCTGACAAATATAGAACACCCTTGATAGTATACTCTCTGGTACAGTAGCCACTAGTCACAAATATCTTTGTAAGTCAAAATTTAAATTAACTAAAAGTAAATAAAATAAAAATTCAGTTTATCAGTCATATTGGCCATATTTCAAGTGGCTATCATTTTGCACAATGCAGCTATGAAACATTTCCATTACCTCCGAAAGTCTACTGGATTGTATTGCCTTAGAGCTTCTATATTAAGCAATATTGCTTCAAGAGTAGAGAGAGGCACAAAACAGAAAGTCAAAATAGACTGACCCACCCAGTAATATGGATATTTAATTTGTGATAAAGATGAAATATCAAGCCAATGCTATAATAATATTTAATAAGTGGTATAAATCAGTTGAGTAGCCATTTAAGAAAATGTATAATTGGATCTGTACCTCAAATCATAAAGAATCAAAAGAATACATATATACACAGCATGGGTAGATTCACCTGGGACCTGGATATGGGTAATGACTTTCTTACTGTGATTAAAAATAAAGATGTACTAAAAAAGTAATAAAATCAGACACCACTTAAACCCAATGATCGAAATTAGCATAATGAATTTTATACCAATTTCAGTATAAACTGAAATCATGTGCCTTTTAATGTAATACACTGGGAAGTAGATGGCATCATATAGGTCTTATCTATCAAAAATGCTTTACTTACATCCAATCATAACTACATAATTAGAAAAATCTATATTGAGAAATATTCTGCAAAAAAATTGGCAAGGATTGTAAAAAATGAAAACACTATAAGAATAAGGGTATGCGTTTAGATTAAAGGATATTAAAGAGGCATGACTAATAAATTTATTTTTGATCCTTGATTATACCAAATAAAAGCTGAAAATGATATAACTAACATCACTGAACTAAGAAAACTTCAGTACGTATAGTAGATAATATTAATCAGTTAACTTACTTGAGTATGAAAATTACACTGAAATTATATATTCTTGGAAGTTATATGCTGAAGTACTTAACAATGAAGAATTTTTAGGTCTGTTACTCACTGAGTAATGGCTAAAGCAGTCATTTATCGATTGTATTGTTTAGACTTTTCTATTCCAAACGACCCCAAACTTAATGGCTTAGTGTAACAATCAATTATTAACTCACAAATTTCTGGCTGCCAATAAGGAAAAGGCTCAGAAGGATGATCCTGCTCATCTTCCTGAGCTCAATCATAATGGAGTCAGTCACCTGACATTTCTTCTGGGAGTGGATGATCTGGGATCACTATATTCACATGCCTAGTGCTTTGTAGGCTATTGGTTTGAGCACCTTAATTATGCTCTACGTGGACTTTGTGAAGGTTAGCTGGAGTATATTCCTATCACAGCAGATTTCCAATAGGAGGAGAGTGGTAGCTTCTAAGAGTTCATGACCTAGATTGAAGACTCACATGATGACACTTCTGCTGCATTCCATGGATCAAAGCAAGACAAAAGACCACCCCAGATTCAAGCCGTTGGGATACCAACTTTGCCTTTGATATGAGGAGCTAAAAAGTCTTTTAAACACACTTTATCTCTATCTATCCATCCATCCATCCATCCATCCATCCATGTATGTATTCATCCATCTATCTATTTATAGGCAAAACAACTGCACACTCTTAGCAATTTGTCAACCTGAGTAAAAAGTGTATGGTTGTTTACTATAAAGTTCTGCAGGATTAAAATTTTAAAAAAATGTATTGTTGGGAAAAAAAGATGAAACAAGATAAAAATATTTTGTCACCTCTTATTTTTTTTCTGCTTACCTTCTTTTGCTCCCTGTTCCCACGTAAGACAAAACTGTCCTGAAATTCTGATTTTGAGGTTCCAGTGTATTCCTGTACAGGAAGGTCCATCCATGTAAAAGAAGATATGATTTGCATGGATGAAATCTTCATATTACTCTCATTCATTTTCCATTCAGAATGACCTCACTAAGTTTATGTAAGATGTTTTTGGAGAGATTTCTATAACAATTTTGCTAACAATTTAAAATGTTTCTATTTTCTATTAACCCTAATATTTTTCCATATCAAAAACAATTAGACCATCAATGAGCTTGTTCTTTTCATCCTCAAAGTAAATTTATTCATGTTTACCTACCGTTATCTGAGTTTTTTCTCAGATGCTACTAAATTTAATCCAATAGTCTCTGCAATTTTAATTTATTACCATTATACACATTTCTGTCTTCTATAAGTTACACTTTCTATAATGGTAAAAGCAGAATTGATGTGGTTGTTACTAGATTAATTTCTATGCACTTGTCTCAATTATTTTTCTTAGCCATTACTTAGAAGTCTATATAATTTATATTCCACTATGTAGCAGTATGTACTCTGTCAACTTAGTTATGTTAAAACTGTTGCCTGGAATTTCATATTTTATATCCTCCAGCCTAGTGATGCAGGATTTTTCTCAGCCACTTTGCCAACCAGGGACCTCCACAATTAGCAACACCCCCCTGCTACCCAGGCCTCACTCAGGCCGGGCCTGCCACTGGAGGCACCCCACCGACTTGGCCTGCCCGTGGTATAACTTGTACTTGCATTTGGTGGTTCTCATGCTCTTGTCCCTCATCCAAGCAGAATGAGGATACACTGACAGTTCAAAGAGCGAGGAGGGCGGGGAAGAACTTTATTGAGTGATGGAACAGCTCTCAGTGGAGAGGGGCCACAGGCGTGGTTCCTCACCCCTGCACTCAGGTGGGTTTCTCCTCCAGTGTGGCTGTGTCCAGGAATTTTATGGACTCAGAATGGGGAGTGCATGCTGATTGGCTTTGAGTATGCAAAAAAGGTTAAAGAGAAGACATGGTGCAAAGGTGGGCACGACTATAGAAAACCAATTAGGAAAGGGTAGGTATCTGTAAAAGAGGCGAAGGGTGGGGATCACTCAGAGGAAAGCCTGCCAAATGGGAAGACAGGTTCTTAATCCAGTCTGTGGATTTGACTTGTAGCTTGGCTTTCAGGCTTTAAACTGTCTTCCTTGGAGGTGGGGTTTCACTGAGGACCTGTCCCTATCTACCTAGGCATATGACTGCCTCCTGTCACTGTGATTAGAGTTAGCCAAAATAAGAAATTGTTTCACATTTAGAAGACAGAAGTTAAGCAGCTACCATTACTCTTTGAAGGTGATTAAATTGAATGCTGTGACAGTCAAAAAGAGTTGGTTCCATTTTGTGTTACTCTGTGTTCAGCTCTTCTCACTGCCAGCCCTGTGGCTGAAAAGAAACTGAAGCCCACAGTCAGATGTTCTGCTGAAGACCTTTAAAAGCAGGATTTATGCAATGTGAACAATTTCCCCAAATATTTTCCCTTTACTTCTCTGATGTTTCCATTTTATTTGGCAGCTCTACATTACCGGCTTCCCAGAATCCCCTGCAACTCCTGACTTTTTTGCATAAATCGTTATTTTAGTAGGACTGATTTGTGACTTTTCCCTGATCTCCCAAATCTCCCTTAGATTTTTTTTTCCCCAGTCTCTCCCACAATTACATAAAACTTTATTCTTATAATAAGTCTATAATTTGTAATTCTCATGGCAGATATATTTTAACGTTTAAACTCTATCATTGCAATTATTTTATAAACAATAATGAATGTCTCAGAGTCTTACATGTTGGTTTGCAAGATTCCGTACGATGTAAAATTAAGACAGTTGTTCTATTTTTACATTTATCAGATTCCTTCGAAGTATGGTTATTCACTCTGTATGCTATTTATTTATGGGAATAGTTGTGAAAATTTCCTTTCCATAAATCTAAGATGTAGTTTCAGCATAAAATTATGTAATTTAATGAATCTTATTCCAAGTGCACTACGGGTTTGGAAACTTATCTTTGTAAAACAAATAATTAGTTATGGAAATTTTCACTTGATAATTAGAAAAGGAGTCAAAGTTCATTTCACAAAGGCTTAATACTTCTTTTTACTTTAGATAATTTAAACAAAAGAAACTCTTTTAGTGTTAAGCCTAATTAATTTTTTCTCTTTTGCAGTATACATTTCTTTGTAATTTTTCAAGGTCGTAGTTAAAACACATTGAATAATACATTTATCTCAACAGAGGATATAATAAATGGTAGATTTACACTTAAAAACAAAAGCTCTGTTTTCAGTAAGGTAAGATTCAGCTCCCTTCTTTGTATTTCAATTCCCAGTTCTTTGCAGTTTCCTCTCCTATACAAGTATTCATTATCACAGGGAGGAAGTCTTGCCACATGCAGTGACAAATTGTTTCATTTATTTAAGATAGAACCTTTGTATTTCACTCCATATGCTAATGCAAACACATCTTTAATGATTAGGAAAAGATAAAATCCTTACCTACTAGGAGCAGAAATTTCTGTGTTCACAGGTTTATAAGCAAACCACATACTGAGTTGCCAGTCCTGCCGCCTGAACAACAGTCTCCTTTTAATCAGTAAATCATTATGCCAATAACAGCATCAACAACAAAAAGTTGTATGGTATTTTGAGATTAGCTTCAAATCTTGCTTTGCACATTCACAAAGATAATACCAGAGAAAAGCCCACCACTCAACTGACTCAAAAAAATGAGACTTTAAGGAGTCAAAGAAGAAGAGTCTCATCTTTTATCTAAACCAAGACTCAAGCCACTTGGCTTGTGAAGCTGCCAAACTATGATTATCAACTCTTCCTTCACCAGTTTGTTACTAGTGGAAGGTATTTGAGTTTCTGGTGGTGAATCCATCTGGGTCTGCAGCAATCTCAATTCTTGCCTACTTCAGAAGAAAGAATTCGACTGAGGGGCATAAGGCAGAAAAAGAGACTGAGGCCAAGTTTCAGAGCAGGATTGGAAGTTTATTAAAAAGCTTTAGCACGGGAAAGAAAGGAAAGTGCACTTGAGAGAGCGCCAAGTGGTCCATTTGAAGAGCAAGTGCTCTGTTTAACCTTAATCCTACAACTTTATAGGGTGGCCCACCTCCAGTGTCTTGCCTGTCTTTCCCGTGATTCTTACCTTAGAATGGGCTCCCTGTATGTGCAGTGCACTCCTTATCCTTGGGAAGTGAGCCTGAGCAGTGTGTTTAGGAAATCGTATGCATGCCCATCTGAGGCTTTCTTCCCTTTTCCAGTGGAGTGCCCCTGGAAGCTCATTCTCCAAAATTCTGTCTCTTAATGAACATGCTTGGGCTTACTTACCCAATACCTGAGATTTTACTGGAAGCCCTTCTTGCTTCTCCCTGATGCCTGCATTCAATTAACACTTTAATATTAACAGCTGTGGATCAGCGGGAGATTGTCTCTCCCTGGTGTCAGCTACCAAATATTATTATTTTTAGAGAGGCAATGTGACAATCCTTGAATCATCACCTGATTGCCTGACATTCCTGGTGGGTGGGTGGGGACAGCCCTCTCCTGCCCTGATCATGCCTGTCTAACTACCTGTAACAAACTTAATCTCGTCAAATGGTTGCTTCTCAAATATCAGAAATACAACCTATTAATATGACAAAGCTAAGTACATTGCTTACCCTGGTAAGGGAGAAAACCACCTGAAGAAGTTGGGGCAGTGTCTTGAAGAGTGATGCATAAGGCAAGATGCACAAAAGAATGGAAAAGAAGCAAAAATGATCATAATTAGTTTTGATGCATCTTAGTTTATAAGTTACCTACTTCAGTCTAAATCACACTGTCATAAACATCCCTTGAGATTTTTTAAAAAAATGAAACTATGGGAATAATGGCCTTCACATACCAAGATACATGATAAAAGAGGTGAAGACTTACTGAGGTGTCTTTTCACTTGCTCTAAAGTATCTTCTTTCTATTACCTAGCAGCTCCTTTATTTAGCTTCTGGAGCTATCCATGCTGCCCTATGTCTGTTCCAAAGTTCATACCAGATCTTAGTAGAAAAAGCTGAGGTGCCGATGTTATCTCTTTTTTATCAAATATAATAAACATTCCTTTAGAGTGACAGATAGTGGCTAAGGAGAATTCAGCAGTGAATGGATTCCTAATTTTCCTTCCATACCTACCTCAAGAAGTCATCTCCCCTAGGAAATATTGGATCCTTCACTTGAATTAGATATGCCTCCTATGTCCTCTCATGATGTTTATAACTATCCAGTATCAAATTATATTATAACTATGTGTGTTTTTCTTTATATCCATTATCAGTCTGTTAATTCTTAAGGGTAAAATATGCCTAAGGAGGCTCTGTATCCACAATGTCAAGAAATGCTGGCTTAATGAATGAATGAAGTAATTCTAACTGAAATGTGAAATACAAACCCTTTGCTGAGAAACCTGCTAATAAAAAATATCTCTAATATTTGAAAGGGGGAAGCTTATAGCCAAATGTTGCCAGATAATCTTAGACAATTTTATTCATATTAAAAGGAATATAAAAAGCATGATTTTCAAATTGTTAAAAGTAATTGTAATAAAGATAATAATCACATGTTAAAATTTTAGTTTTATTTAAGAATCAACAGAGACAAGATGGGGGTTGATGATTTGGGATGACAAATCCAAAGGGGAAAGGAATACTGAATTTAAAATGTCAAGTTAGGTATAACTGATCAACATTTTTTTATGGTAAAATCAAAGCCTTCAGGGTGTATATGTTCCCAGCAAGTAAAAATTAAATCACAACTTATAATTTTTCTACAAATTAACCTCGAAAGTGAAATATCTGTAAAAGATGTGGACTTTTAATCACCTTTACTCAAAACAAAGTTGCGATCTCTCAGACAATAGGAAAACTAGAAAGAAGCCTAATATGAAAACCCTCTAGAACAAAGGTATACAAACTTCTGCTCTGTAAATCATTACTAGCCTGCTAAAAGGCAGGAAACTCATTCCAGAATGTAAATTACTTAATCTCTAAACACTCTATTTTGTTTGGCTGACATTTTCTTCCTAGAAAGACTTTGTCAATTAAAGTTTATATCCTGGTACAAGTTTCTTGTCTCGTTTGAAACTAAATTCATCATGTACCAGGAGACCAGAGGACAGAGGGAGCAGTTTTTCGCAAGCATCGTTTGCCTACTCCATGGATGAGCATGCTATCGTAAGTAGAATCAAACTAAAACCAAATTGTATCATAATCTTTCTTGTCCCTAAGAACCACCTCAGATCCTTCAGGGGAAATCCAGGATACTACTGTAATGGGTTTACTGGTAGCTCTGAAAAAAATATGTTCTAATCCTCTAATGTAACCTGCAAATATTACCTTACTTGGAAAAAGAGTCTTTGCAGATGCAGTAAAGTAAGAATGTATCATCCTGGATTATCTTGGTAGGCCCTAAATCCAATGACAATTGTCCTTACAAAAGACCCACAAAGGAATAAACAGACACAGAAAAGAAGTTGATATTAAGCTTAAGGCAAAAACTGGGGTTTGGCCTTAGGACAAGCAAGCTAGCAACTACTAGAAGCTGGCAGAGGCAAGAAACAGATTCTGTCCTAGACTCCCTGTGGGGAGTACAACAATCCAGCTGGATTTCAGAATTCTGGAATCTAGAACTGTAAGAAAATAAACTTTATGTTTTTTTCAAGCCACAAAGTGTGTGCTAATTTGATACGGTAGCCTCAGGCAACTAATGCAACAATTCTTATATATTTTGTGGAATCTAAAAATCTGTGCAAATCATCAAGAGAACTCTTAATACTAGCCAAGATAGACACCTACCCACATGTATAAAAGACATGTAATACAACATATATAAAAGACATGTTGACTTTGTGATGAATGTTCTGTTATGATGCCTTAAATAAACCTTAATTTTACTCATATAAGTGGCTTATTTCTTGGTGACATTAATTTGTGACTACTACCCAAAGAACAATTCCATTATTACTGAATTTTCATACTGAATTCAAACACTAACAACTATCAGAATTGGCCAACTTGAAATTTGATAAATTAGGCTGAAACATAAAGTTGCATTTTTTTCATTATACTTTAAGTTCTGGGATACATGTGCAGAACGTGCAGGTTTGTTACATAGGTATACACGTGCCATGGTGGTTTGCTGCACCCATCAACCCGTCATCTACATTAGGTACTTCTCCTAATGCTATCCCTCCCCTAGCCCCCCACCCCCGACAGGCCCTGGTGTGTGATGTTCCCCTCCCTGTGTCCATGTGTTCTCATTGTTCAGCTCCCACTTATGAGTGAGAACACGCAGAGTTTGGCTTCCTGTTCCTGTTAGCCTGCTGAGAATGATGGTTTCCAGTTTCATCCATGTCACTGCAAAGGACATGAACTCTCCTTTTTATGGCTGCATAGTATTCCATGATGTGTATGTGCCACATTTTCTTTATCCAGTCTGTCACTGATGGGCATTTGGGTTGGTTCCAAGTCTTTGATATTGTGAATAGTGCTGCAATAAGCATATGTATGCATGTATCTTTATAGTAGAATGATTTATAATCCTTTGGGTGTATACCCAGTAATGGGATTGCTTGGTCAAAAGGTATTTCTGATTCTAGATCCTTGAGGAATTGCCACACTGTCTTCCACAATGGTTGAACTAATTTACACTCCCACCAACAGCATAAAAGCATTCCTATTTCTTCACATTCTCTCTAGCATCTGTTGTTTCCTGACTTTTTAATGATCGCCATTCTAACTGGCATGAGATGGTATCTCATTGTGGTTTTGATTTGCATTTCTCTAATGACCAGTGATAATGAGCTTTTTCTCATATGTTTGTTGGCTGCATAAATGTCTTCTTTTGAGAAGTGTCTGTTCATATCCTTCACCCACTTTTTCAAGGGGTTGTTTGTTCTTTTCTTCTAAATTTGTTTAAGTTCCTTGTAGATTCTGGATATTAGCCCTTTGTCCGATGGAAACATTTTCTCCCATTCTGTAGGTTGCCTGTTCACTCTGATGATAGCTTCTTTTGCTGTGCAGAAGCTCTTTAATTAGATCCCATTTGTCAATTTTGGCTTTTGCTGCCATTGCTTTTGGTGGTTTAATCATGAAGTCTTTGCCCATGACCATGTCCTGAGTAGTATTGCGTAGGTTTTCTTCTAGGGTTTTTATGGTTTTAGGTCTTACATTTAAGTCTTTAATCCATCTTGAGTTAATTTTTGTATAAAGTGTAAGGAAGGGGTCCAATTTCAATTTTCTGCTTATGGCTAGCCAGTTTTCCCAACACCATTTGTTAAATAGGGAATCCTATCCCAATTGCATGTTTTTTTTTCAGGTTTGTCAAAGATCAGATGGTTGTAGATGTGTGGCATTATTTCTGAGGTTCTGTTCCATTGGTCTATATATTTGTTTTGGTACCAGTACCATGCTGTTTTGGTTACTGTAGCCTTGTAATATAGTTTGAAGTCAGGTAGCATGATGTCTCCAGCTTTCTTCTTTATGCTTGGGTATATACCCAGTAATGGGATTGGCTATACGGTCTCTTTTTTGGTTCCATGTGAAATTTAAAGTAGTTTTTTACTAACTCTGTGAAGAAAGTCAATGGTAGCTTGATGGGAATGGCATTGAATCTATAAATTACTTTGGGCAGTATGGCCATTTTCATGATATTGATTCTTCCTATCCATGAGCATGGATTGTTTTGCCATTTGTCTGTGTCTTCTCTTATTTCCTTGAGCAGTGGTTTGTAGTTGTCCTTGAAGAGGTCCTTCACATCCCTAGTCAGTTGTGTTCCTAGGTATTTTATTCTCTTAGTAGCAATTGTGAATGGGAGTTCACTCGTGATTTGGCTCTCTGTTTGTCTATTATTTGTGTATAGGAATGCTTGTGATTTCTGCATATTGATTTTGTATCCTGAGACTTTACTGAAGTTGCTTATCAGCTTAAGGAGATCTTGGGCTGAGATGATGGGTTTTCTAAGTATGAAATCATGTCATCTGCAAACAGAGACAATTTGACTTCCTCTCTTCCTATTTGAATAGCCATTATTACTTTCTCTTGCCTGATTTTCCTGACCAGAACTTTCAATAGTATGTTGAATAGGAGTGGTGAGAGAGGACATCCTTGTCTTGTGCCGGTTTTCAAAGGGAATGCTTTCTGCTTTTGCCCATTCAGTATGATAATGCCTGTGGGTTTGTTATGGGAACTAAAAATACAGCACTAGGACTTCATGATGCATACACAAGTATCAATAGCCGAATCAATCAATCAGAAGAAAGGATATCATTTGTCCTTGCTTCTCTAGTTCTTTCAATTGTGAGGTTAGGGTGTCAGTTTTAGATCTTTCCTGCTTTCTCCTGTGGGCATTTAGTGCTATACATTTCCCTGTAAACACTGCTTTTGCTGTGTCCCACAGATTCTGGTATGTTGTGTCTTTGTTCTCACTGGTTTCAAATAACTTATTTATTTCTGCCTTAATTCTGTTATTTACCCAGTAGTCAATCAGGAGTGGGTTGTACAGTTTCCATGTAGCTGTGTGGTTTTGACTGAGTTTCTTAATCCTGAGTTCTAATTTGATTGCACTGTGGTCTGAGAGACTATTTGTTATGATTTCCATTATTTTCCATTTGCTGAGGAGTGTTTTACTTCCATTTATGTGGTCAATCTTAGAATAAGTGTGATGAGGTACTGAGAAGAATGTATATTCTGTTTATTTGGGGTGGAGAGTTTTATAGATTTCTATTAGGTCCACTTGGTCCAGAGCTGAGTTCAAGTCCTGAATATCCTTGTTTATTTTCTGTCTTGATGATCTAATATTGACAGTGGGGTGTCAAAGTCTCCCACTATTATTCTGTGGGAGTCTAAGTCTCTTTGTAGGTCTCTAAGAACTTGCTTTATGAATCTGGGTGCTCCTATATTGGGTGTACGTATATATAGGATAGTTAGCTCTTCTGTTTGCATTGATCCCTTTACTATTATGTAATACCCTTGTCTGTCTTTTTAGATTTTTGCTGGTTTAAAGTCTGTTTTATCAGAGACTAGGATTGCAACCCTTGCTTTTTTTTTTTTTTTGGCTTTCCATTTGCTTGGTAAATATTCCTCCATCCCTTTGTGTTGAGCCTATATGTATCTTTGCACATAAGATGTGTCTCCTGAATACAGCACACCGATGGGTCTTGACTCTTTATCCATTTGCCAGTCTGTGTCTTTTAACTGGGGCTTTTAGCACAGTTACATTTAAGGTTAATATTGTTATGTGTGAATTGGATCCTGTCACTATGAAGCTAGCTGCTTATTTTGCCCATTATTTGATGCAGTTTCTTCATGGTGTTGATTTGGTCTTTACAATTTGGTATGTTTTTGCAGTGGCTGGTACCCATTTTTCCTTTCCATATTTAGTGCTTCCTTCAGGAGGTCTTGTAAGGTAGGCCTGGTGGTGACAAAATCTCTCAGCATTTGCTTGTCTGTAAAGGATTTTATTTCTCCTTTGCTTATGAAGCTTGGTTTGGCTGGATATGAAATTCTGGGTCGAAAATTCTTTTCTTTAAGAGTGTTGAATATTGGCCCCCACTCTCTTCTGGCTTGTAAGGTTTCTGCAGAGAGATCCACTGTTAGTTTGATGGGCTTCCCTTTGTGAGTAACCCAATGTTTCTCTCTGGCTGCCTTTAACATTTTTTTCTTCATTTCGACCTTAGTGAATCTGACAATTATGTTCCTTGGGTTGCTCTTCTCGAGGAGTGTCTTTGTGATGTTTTCTGTATTTCCCGAATTTGAATGTTGGCCTATCTTGCTAGGTTGGAAAAGTTCTCCTGGATATTATACTGAAGAGTGTTTTCCAACTTGGTTCCATTCTCCCTGTCGCTGTCAGGTACACCAATCAAACGTAAGTTGGGTCTTTTCACATAGTCCCATATTTCTTGGAGGCTTGGTTCGTTCCTTTTCATTCTTTTTCTCTCTAATCTTGTCTTCATGCTTTATTTCATCAAGTTGATCTTCAATCTGTGATAACCTTTCTTCTGCTTGATCGATTCAGCTATTGATACTTGTGTATGCTTCACGAAGTTCTCATGCTGTGTCTCTCCGCTCCATCCAGGCATTTATGTTCTTCTCTAAACTGGTTATTCTAGTGAGCAATTCCTCTAACATTTTTTCAAGGTTCTTAGCTTCCTTGCTTTGGGTTAGAACATGCTCCTTTACCTTGGAGGAGTTTGTTATTACCCACCTTTTGAAGCCTACTTCTGTCAATTTGTCAAACTCATTCTCCATCCAGTTTTGTTCCCTTGCTGGCGAAGAGTTGTGATTTTTCGGAGGAGAAGAGGCATTCTGTTTTTTGAAATTTTTAGCCTTTTTGCACTGGTTTTTCCTCATCTTTGTGGATTTATCTACCTTTGGTCTTTGATGTTGGTGACCTTCGGATGGGTTTTTTGTGTGGACATCCTTTTTGTTGATGTTGATGTTATTTTTTTCTGTTAGCTTTCCTTCTAACGGTCAATACTGTCTGCTGCAGGTCTGCTAGAGTTTGCTGGAGGTCCACTTCAGACCCTGTTTGCCTGGGTATCACCCAGGCAATCAAAGATTGCTGCTTGTTCTTTCCTCTGGAAGCTCTGTCACAGAGGGGCATCTGCCAGATGCCAGCCAGAGCTCTCCTGTATGAGGTGTCTGTCGATCCCTGCTGGGAGGTGTCTCCCCATCAGGAGGCATGGGAGTCAGGGACCCACTTGAGGAAGCAGTCTGTCCCTTAGCAGAGCTTGAGTGCTGTCCTGAGAGATCTGCTGCTCTCTTCAGAGCTGGCCGGCAGGAACGTTTAAGTCTGCTATAGCTGTGCCCACAGCTGCCCTTCCCCCAGGTGCTCTATCCCAGGGAGTTGGGAGTTTTATCTATAAGCCCCTGACTGGGGCTGCTGCCTTTCTTTCATGGATGCCCTGCCCAGAGAGGGGGAATCTAGAGAGGCAGGCTGGCTACAGCGGCTTTGGTGAGCTGTGATGTGCTCTGCCCAGTTCGAACTCCCCTGGGGTTTTGTTTAGGCTGCGAGGGGAAAACCACCTACTGAAGCCTCAGTAATGGTGGACGCCCCTCCCCGTGCCAAGCTCGAGCATCCCAGGTCAACTTCAAACTGCTGTGCTGGCAGCAAGAACTTCAAGCCAGTGGATCTTAGCTTGCTGGGCGCCCTGGGGGTGGGATCCACTGAGTTAGACCACTTGTCTCCCTGGCTTCAGCCCCCTTCCCAGGGGAGTGAATGGTTCTGTCTTGATAGCGTTCCAGGCGCCACTGTGGTATGAAAAAAACAACTTCTGCAGCTAGCTTGGTATCTGACCAAATGGCCACCCAGTTTTGTGCTTGAAACCCAGGGTCCTGGTTGTGTAGGTACCCTAGAGAATCTCCTGGTCTGAGGGTTGCAAAGACTGTGGGAAAAGCATAGTGTCTGGGCCGGAGTGCATGGTTCCTCACAGCACAGTCTGTCATGGCTTCTCTTGGCTAGGGGAGGGAGTTCCCAGACCCCTTGCGCTTCCTGGGTGAGGCGATGCCCCACCCTGCTTCTGCTCACCCTCCGTGGGCCGCACACACACTCTGACCAGTCCCAGTGAGATGAACCAGGTACCTCAGTTGCAAATGCAGAAATCACCCACCTTCTGCATTGATCTCACTGGGAGCTGCAGACTGGAGCTGTTCATCTTTAGCCATCTTGCCAGCCACCTCCTGAAATAGTAGTTTCATAAAATGCTAAATTAGTTACTTTTAGTCAGTGACTAACAACTTTATACTTTCTATTTATTTTGCTTTGTCTTGCTTTTTTTATACTGGTTTCTATTTATTTTGCTTTGCCGTTGCTTTCCTGTCTTCAGTTGGAATAGTCAAATTATTTCAGTCTTCCTTTCCTTTGTCTTTGATTGCTTTAAAATTTTTATTTCTACTACTTTATGCATTACTCTTAATGTATTTACATGTGTACTTGTTTCTAAAAGGTCTACACTTAATCCTTAATCCTGCCATTCTTTTTTTTTTTTTTTTTTTTGGATACAGCGTTTCACTCTGTCACCCAGGCTGGTGTGCAGTGGCGTAATTACTGTTCTCTGTAGCTTTGAACCCCCAGGCTCAATTCATCCTCCTCCTACCTCAGCCTCCTGGGTACCTGGGACCACAGGTGCATGCCACCATGCTTAGCTAATTTTTTTTTGTATTTTTGTTGTTGTTGTTGAGATGATGTTTTGCCATGTTTCCCAGGCTGGTCCATTCTTATTAAAGAGAACCAGAACCCAGCATCTTAAGCCTCATTCTGATTAGTTTTCTCTGACATATTATTTAGAAATTTGGTCTCATTTTGTTTTTTTACGTTTCAAATTAGTCATAATTTCATATATATATATATATTTTTTTTTTTTACAGAGAGTCAATGTCCCTTTAACTACACCTAGATATTTGGCAAGTTTCCCCCACTATTCCTGAAATTTCAGTCCTACTTCCTAGGTATTTCCTTCTTTATGAAGTACAGCATTTCAAAATTCCCTCAGTGAAAGTAACTAGGTGATAAACTCTCTTAAGTTTCTGTTGCCTATAAAATTATTTAGCTTTTACTTTTGAATGATAGCTTAGTTCAATTTAAAATTCAAGGTTTATAGATATTTTTCTTGTATTTAAAAGATTCTAAGATAAAAGTTGAAATTATTTTTTAAAAGACTCTATTTCAATGTCTTACATTTTTTCTCTTTTTTCAAGACAGTGTCTTGCTGTGTCGCCCAGGCTGGAGTGCCCTGGTGCAATTTTGGATCATTGAACCCTGGACCTCCCAGGCTCAACCAATCCTCCCAACTCAGCCTTCCAGGTAGCTTAGACTATAGGCATTACTCATCACGCTTGGCTAATTAACTTTTTGTAGAGATGAGGTCTCACTACATTGCCAGGCTTGTCTCCAACTCCTGGGTTTAAGTGATCCTCCTAGTCCTCCCAAAGAGCTGGGATTGCAGGTGTGAGCCACCACACCTGGCCTATTTTTTTCTTTATTCTGACTGTTGAGAAGTCTAATCATTATGCCTTTGTTGATAAACTATCTTTCCCTTGACAGCTTTTAAGCGTCTCTTCTTAAGTATTCAGTATTTGGCCACAAAATATCAAGATATATATTATTATTATTCATTCTACTGTAAATCATTTCTTCATCAGTTCTTAACATTTCTTAACCATTATCTCTTCAAATATTAACTCTTTATCTACTTTCTCCATCTTGAAATATATTTAGGTACATGTTAAATCTTATTTCATTTTCCATGTATTTTCGACTCTTATTTTTATTTCTTGTCTCTATGCCTCTATGTATTAAGTTTGCTTAATTTATTTAAGACTGTCTTCCAGTTAGTTTCCTCACAACTTTTTCAAATCTGTCTAATCTGTAATGTAACTCATCAACCAAGTTTTGATTTTTATTAAACATTTATTTTTAAGTGCTCTTTGTCTTTTTTTTTTTAAATTGTCTTACCTTTATTATATCTTTTTCTATTCTTAAGCTTCTTAAATATCTTCCGTTAAATTTCAAGGATAATTGTTTGGGTCTTCACTCCTTCAATTCCATTATGTGAATTACTTGTAAGTCTAATTTTAATGTTTGTTGTTTAATCTGAATTGTGGCAAAACAGCAAAATTATCACAAAACATTTGGTGTTGAATTGCATGTAGAGACTTAATATGACCCTAGCACAGAAGAATTTACTTTGAAGATAAAATTCCAATAATATGAAAAGAAAGAAATCAGCATAAAGTTAATTAATGTGGTATCATGTTTTCAGAGCAAAACAAAATGAAAACCAAAGTAATGTCAATAGAGAATATTGCTTGAATAACCTGTTGTATATCCACGCAATATGGACACATGCATGTATGTATGGATGGATCTATGTATGTATACACACATGCAAACACACACATACATATACACACATATTCATTCTACTGCATGTATCTGCTTATTTAAAAAAAATAAAGACACAGGACACAAGAAGCATGAATGATAATGTAATGGAATTAATGATTATTTATGGGAGAAATATTTGACCACAATTTTTCTCCTTTGCTATTTGTATAATCACTAGTATATAAAGAACATGTGTGATGTAAAATTCTTCATGTTTCTCAATAAAACACGGATTTTTAGAAAAATTTCATGCAGAGATAATCAAAAGGAAGATCACATGCACTCATCTATATTGAAGTAATCTCTTTAATTATATATACAGCTCTAGTGCATAATTTCATGTAAACACTGTATAATCTCTTTTAGTTCTTCACATATTTGACTAATGTGCATAACTGAGTTAGTCTGCCACTGTCTGATTTTCTGGAAGACTGATTCACTCTCTGCTCTAGTTTAACCCTAGAAAATGCCCAAATATTAACAGGAGGAAGAAATATGTGTTTACTGTAACTTCATAAACATCACATATAAAAAGTAATTAAAATTGTCCTCTTTTCAGTAGGAACATCTTGCAGTATTTTTCCCCAATGAATGTAGAGCACTATTAATGGCACAAATAAATATAAAATAAACTTCTGGGCCTTAAGGCCTTCAGGAAATTTCTGAATCCAGTAATAATCAAGAAAACATTGCATATTGGCATAAAGAAACACATATAATGATTGACACAATGTTTTCCACAACAGCAGCAGAAAATTCAAAGAAGCATTTCTCTTGAGCATCTATTAATAAACTTAAAAATAGTGCCCAAAAGACGACTGTATTGCACTGTCTCCTTTTACATTTCCTTTACCATTAGAAAGTTAAGGATCGATGAGCAGACCCACTGAATACCATGGCCTAAGTTGTTAGAAATCCTCTCTTTCAATGATTATTTCTTTCTCCCCAATATTTAGCTTCCTTCTATCTTTTCACTGTTAGTCTCAGAAAGGTAGCCTACATATGTTTTCTATACTTTTCCTCTATCTTTCAGCTTACTGTAAGTTGAGTCCTCTGATATAATACTGAAAAAATGCCCCCAACATTTACAGATGGCTTGATAATTGAATATGATCTGGTTTCAGAAAAAACAAATGGAGAGTACATGTGTTCAAATTACTATTGCTGGGTAAAAGTAGACATTCACAAAAGAGAAATTTTTGTTTTGTGGATGCTCACTGCAAAACCTGTAAATTTTCATTTCCCTCTAAATTATCATTAGGAATTTAAAGGAATATAGTTTTCTATCCTTATGTTCATCAATAGTGAGAAAGTAAAAAAATACCTTAGCTGCTTGCTTCATTTCAGGAAATATGTGTACCAGAAAAATAGAACTAAGAACCAACTAAACTGGCTCACATTTCAAGCCTAACAGCTTGCTTTTTCTGACTGTTTTGATGAACAGCTTTCTCATCAAGACATACTTCAAGACCCTTACTTTAATGTTACCACCAATTCAAAACTTTCATGTCATAAACTCTGACAGATCCCTACACATTTATGACTCCGAAACCAGGGTCAAATATATAATTTGCAGAGCTCAGTGTAAAATGAAATTTGGGGCCCGTTCTTCAAAAAGTGAGGACAAGATGACATTAAAAATACTAAATACAGCATTTTTCTATTTCTTTCATTGTCTATCTGTTAACATGCCATGGTATTTTTTATTTGCTATTTAATAATGCTTTTCATTAAAACATTAAACTTTTAAGTCATTAGCATGATTTTTTCCATTCACTTTTATATTGTGAAATGTCAGTTTTAAAGACACTTAACTGTTATGTGGAATCACCAAAATGCACAATTTAAGTTTTGCAGCTCAAATATTCATCTGTACACCGTTCTTACCAGAATAGAAAAATACTGCATAAAACTAAACATTTTTATTTCACTTTCATGAGCAAACATTCTACCAATACTTTCTACCTTTAGCTTACTGATGAGTAAGGAAAACTGAAAAAAAAAGGAACTATGTGCTGCCCTATCTTTCCCTCTTAGCATAAGAAGTTGGTTGATACTTAGAAATAATAGGAGTAAGAATGAATATGGATTTCTTTGATGGATATATAGATGTGATGGGTCTATAGATATAACTGCGTATATAGAACCTATGTGGATATATATAGACATATATGGATATAGGTTTCTTTCATTGTTTATGTTTTTTGAAATACAATTTCCTTCTTCTTCTGCATTTTAAATAAGTTCTGGTTGAACAAAAGTGTTGCCTATTGAAGCTGTCAATATCCCTGCTTACCCAGTTGTAGGCGTAAAACAATATGTGCTTGCTTTGTCTTGCTTTTTTGCTGAACTCCAGGCATTGTGGATTCACAGGTAATTGAATCATGGGGTCTGGTCTTTCTCATGCTATTCTCATGATAGTGAATAAATAAGTCTCATGAGATCTGATGGGTTTATCAAGGATCTCCGCTTTTGCTTCTTCCTCATTTTTCTCTTGCCACAACCATGTAAGAAGTGCCTTTTGCCTCCCGCTATGATTCTGAGGCCTCCCCAGCCATGTGGAACTATAAGTCCAATTAAACCTCTTTTTGTTCCCAGTTTCAGGTATGTCTTTATCAGCAGTGTGAAAACAAACCAATACAGTAAATTGGTACCAGAAGAGTGGGGCGTTGCTGAAAAGATATCCAAAAATGTAGAAGCAACTTTGGAACTGGGTAACAGGCAGAGGTTGGAACAGTTTGGAGGGCTCAGAAGACAGGAAAATGTGGGAAAGTTTGGAACCTCCTAGGGACTTATTGAATGGCTTTGACAAAAACGCTGATAGTGATATGAACTGGTGTCAGATGGAGATGAGAAACTTGTTGGGAACTGGAGCAAAGGTGACTTATGTTGCAAAGGGACTAGCAGCATTTTGCCCCTGCCCTAGAGATTTTTGGAACTTTGAGCTTGAGAGACATGATGTAGAGTATTTGGTGGAAGAAATTTCTAAGCAGCAAAGCATTCAAAAGGTGAATTGGGTGCTGCTGAAAGCATTGCATTTTAAAAGGGAAACAGAGCATAAAAAATCAGAAAATTTGCAGCCTGATGATGCAGTAGAAAAGAAAAACCCTTTTTCTTTCTCTCTTTTTTTTTTTTGAGGAGAAATTCAAGCTGGCTGCAGAAATTTGCATAAGTAGCAAGGAACCTAATGTTAATTCCCAAGACAATGGGGAAATGTTTCGAGACCATGGCAGAGACCTTCACAGCAGCCCCTCCCATCACAGGCCCAGAAGTACAGCAGAAAAAAGTGGTTTCCTGGGCAGGCCCAGGGTTTCTGCGCTGTGTGCAGCCTAGGGATTTGGTGCCCTGTGTCCCAGCTGCTCCAGCCATTGCTGAAAAGGGCCAAGGTACAGCTTGGGCTGTGGCTTCAGAAAGTGGAAGCCCCAAGCCTTGGCAGCTTCAGGTGATGTTAAGCCTGTGGGTGCACAGAAGTCAAGCATTGAGATTTGGGAACTTCAAACTAGATTTCAGAAGATGTACGGAAATGCCTAGATACCCAGGCAAAAGTTTGCTGCAGGGGCAGGCCCTTGTGGAAAATCTCTGCTAGGGCAATGCGGAAGGGATATGTGGGGTTAAAACCCCCATCCAGAGTCCCTACTGGGGCACTGCCTAGTGGAACTGTGAGAAGACGGTCACTGTACTCCAGAACCCAGAATGGTAGATCAACAGACAGCTTGCACCGTTCACCTGGAAAAGCTGCAGACACTCAATGCCAGCCCGTGAAAGCAGACAGGAGGGAGGCTGCACCCTGCAAAGCCACAGGGGCGGAGCTGCCCAAGACCATGGAAACCCATCCCTTGCATCAGCATGACCTGGAGGTGAACCTGGAGTCAAAGGAGATCATTTTTGGAGCCTTAAGATTTGATTTCTCCAGGATTTTGCACTTGCATGGGTTCTGTAACCCCTTTGTTTTGGCCAATTGCTCCCATTTGGAAAGGCTGTACTTACCCAATACCTGTACCCGCATTGTACCTAGGAAGTAACTATCTGACTTTTGATTGTACAGGCTCATAAGTGGAAGGGACTTGGCTTGTCTCAGATGCGACTTTGGACTGTGGACTTTGGAGTTAACGCTGAAATGAGTTAAGACTTTGGGGTACTGTTGGGAAGGCACGATTGGAATTTAAATGTGAGGACATGAAATTTGGAAGGGCCAGGGGCAGAATGATATGGTTTGGCCGTGTCCCCACTCAAATCTCAACTTGAATTGTATCTCCCAGAATTCCCACGTGTTGTGGGAGGCACCCAGGTGGAGGTAACTGAATCATTGTGACTGGTCTTTCCCGAGCTATTCCGGTGATAGTGAATAAATCTCACGAGATCTGATAGGTTTATCAGGGGTTTCTGCTTTTGCTTCTTCCTTGTTTTTCTCTTGCTGCTGCCATATAAGAAGTGCCTTTCACCTCCTGCCATGATTATGAGTGCTCCCCAGCCTTGTGGAACTATAAGTCCATTAAACCTCTTTTTGTTCCAGTTTCGGGTATGTTTTTATCAGCAGCATGAAAACGAACTAATACAACACGAATTCTTTACTCACAGGGCATCATGAACATCTCTGCAAGTGGAGTTGCAACGAAGCTAGATATACACACTGTGTATACCTTTTCTGCTCACAAATGTGCTCATCTCTCATTACACTTCACTTAGAAAGTACAAGTTCAAAGATAGATAAATTAAGAATTTAAAAATGGAAAAAAAAGAGAGTGCTAAACCAAGTACAAGGCAGTCTCACATGCAACACTCATCTCAAAAATTACCTATCCCCATTTTCAAAACTCCTACACATACCTGTCCCTAATGTTTTCCTTCTGAGACACTACTAAGGTTCTGTTAAGGTGGTGTTCTTCCTTACTGCAGTAAGATTAGTAAACTCAGCTATACTTGATCAACAGGGCTTCCCTCACAGCTCTCATGGGGGAATTTTGATGCCAGAGAGTTTAGAATCAAATTTATGATCCAATATTACAAAGCATTAAAAGATCTCATAGTATGCATTTTATCCACTAATCTCTCCCATAATCCATTTTTTCTTCAAATTTTCCACTGTCTTATTGCTACTACATTTTTATGTTAAATTGTCCTGCTTTATCGTATACCTTTTTGATAAATCACTTTAAATCTTTTTAGAATAAGACAGACTATTAGTAAACTTTTAAACTGTACTTATCACACATGCTTACATGCAGATATAAGCATTATACAATATTTCCTGTTATTAGACCCTGTTTCCTCTCATGAGGAAATGATGATTCCTCTTTGAAAGTGAGGCTAAAGGAATAGTCCTGGTACCATCATATAGTATCAGGTTTCTGTGTTGTGTGTTCCAACCTGGATTTGTTTCACTCATTATGAATAAGAATGTCTATTTATTACTTCATTGTCTTTGTTGCTCATGTCTTACTTGTGTTGTTTTTGGTTTCTACCTATGAACATCCTCAAAATTTGATATGCAAATATTGCTTTCTTTTTATTTTTCTGTTGCTTATTCTTTACTTCCCTTCTGCTTAAACCACTTGTCTAATATTGATTACTTAACAGGTAATCAATATTAATAACCTGCTGTTCATTCTTTCATAATATTTCATCTCATATAATCAAATTCAAAAACAAATGGAAACACAAACTCATGATTTTCTTTAGGTCTTATTTCATAAAACAAACAAGTAAACAAGCAATGCTCATTATATACTTCATTTGTATTTTGTTTTTCAATAACATATTCTGAAAATTCTTTCTAAATTAGTCGATTGTAGATCTAGCCGACGTTGTTTAGCAGGCACTGACATTGTTTCCTTTGTCCCCTATCCTCTTTATGATGAATAAGCTGATACTCTCTACAGGGTTAGGGAGAGCTTGGAAAACTAGTTGCCTGATATAATAATCGATATATAATGATTAAAAAGTATAAAGTCACATTTTGTATAGCATTAAATCTTAAATTTTGGAAGTAGTCCTCATGATACCCCTCATTGGGCTGAATTGTGCTCCTATAAAATTCATATGCTGAGGCCTTAGCCACTAATGTGATAATTTTTGAAAGTAGCAGCTTTGGGGGAGACAAGGTTTAGATGAGGTCATGAAGATGGAGCCTTCATGATGGGATTAGTGCTTTTATAAGACGAGACATGAGAAATATCTCTCACTCTCTTTCTCTCTTTTCTTTTTTTTTATTTATTATTATTATACTTTAAGTTTTAGGATACATGCATGCAATGTGCAGGTTAGTTACATATGTATACATGTGCCATGCTGGTGTGCTGCACCCATTAACTCGTCATTTAGCATTAGGTATATCTCCTAATGCTATCCCTCCCCACTCGCCCCACCCCACAACAGTCCCCGGAGTGTGATGTTCCCCTTCCTGTGTCCATGTGTTCTCATTGTTCAATTCCCACCTATGAGTGAGAACATGCGGTGTTTGGTTCTTTGTCCTTGCGATAGTTTACTGAGAATGATGATTTCCAATTTCATCCATGTCCCTACAAAGGACATGAACTCATCATTTTTTATGGCTGCATAGTATTCCATGGTATATATGTGCCACATTTTCTTAATCCAGTCTATCATTGTTGGACATTTGGCTTGCTTCCAAGTCTTTGCTATTGTGAATAGTGCTGCAACAAACATACGTGTGCATGTGTCTTTATAGCAGCATGATTTATAGTCCTTTGGGTGTATACCCAGTAATGGGATGGCTGGGTCAAATGGTATTTCTAGTTCTAGATCCCCGAGGAATCACCACACTGTCTTCCACAATGGTTGAACTAGTTTACAGTCCCACCAACAGTGTAAAAGTGTTGCTATTTCTCCACATCCTGTCCAGCACCTGTTGTTTTCTGACTTTTTAATGATTGCCATTCTAAATGGTGTGAGATGGTATCTCATTGTGGTTTTGATTTGCATTTCTCTGATGGCTGGTGATGGTGAGCATTTTTTCATGTGTTTTTTGGCTGCATAAATATCTTCTTTTGAGAAGTGTCTGTTCATGTCCTTCGCCCACTTTTTGATGGGGTTGTTTGTTTTTTTTCTTGTAAATTTGTTTGAGTTCATTGTAGATTCTGGATATTAGCCCTTTGTCAGATGAGTAGGTTGCGAAAATTTTCTCCCATTTTGTAGGTTGCCTGTTCACTCTGATGGTAGTTCTTTCACTGTGCAGAAGCTCTTTAGTTTAATGAGATCCCATTTGTCAATTTTGGCTTTTGTTGCCATTGCTTTTGGTGTTTTAGACATGAAGCCCTTGCCCATGCCTATGTCCTGAATGGTAATGCCTAGGTTTTCTTCTAGGGTTTTTATGGTTTTAGGTCTAACATGTAAGTCTTTAATCCATCTTGAGTTAATTTTTGTATAAGGTGTAAGGAAGGGATCCAGTTTCAGCTTTCTACATATGGCTAGCCAGTTTTCCCAGCACCATTTATTAAATAGGGAATCCTTTCCCCATTGCTTGTTTTTCTCAGGTTTGTCAAAGAACAGATAGTTGTAGATATGTGGCGTTATTTCTGAGGGCTCTGTTCTGTTCCATTGATCTATATCTCTGTTTTGGTGCCAGTACCATGCTGTTTTGGTTACTGTAGTCTTGTAGTATAGTTTGAAGTCAGGTAGCATGATGCCTCCAGCTTTGTTCTTTTGGCTTAGGATTGACTTGGCAATGTGGGCTCTTTTTTGGTTCCATATGAAGTTTAAAGTAGTTTTTCCAATTTTGTGAAGAAAGTCATTGGTAGCTTGATGGGGATTGTCTCAGCCCAAAATCTCCTTAAGCTGATAAGCAACTTCAGCAAAGTCTCAGGATACAAAATCAATGTACGAAAATCACAAGCATTCTTATACACCAATAACAGACAAACAGAGAGCCAAATCATGAGTGAACTCCCATTCACAATTGCTTCAAAGAGAATAAAATACCTAGGAATCCAACTTACAAGGGATGTGAAGGACCTCTTCAAGGAGAACTACAAACCACTGCTCAATGAAATAAAAGAGGATACAAACAAATGGAAGAACATTCCATGCTCATGGGTAGGAGGAATCAATATCGTGAAAATGGCCATACTGCCCAAGGTAATTTGTAGATTCAATGCCATCTCTCTCTCTTTTCACCATGTGAGGGCACAGCAAGAAGATGAGCCCGGAGCATGGTGGTGGGCGCCTGTAGTCCCAGCTACTTGGAGAGGCTGAGGCAGAAGAATGGCGTGAACCCGGGAAATGGAGCTTGCAGTGAGTGGAGATCACGCCACTGCACTCCAGCCTGGGTGACAGTGCGAGACTCTGTCTCCAAAAAAAAAAAAAAAAAAAAAAAGATGAGCCCGGAAGAGAGGCTTCACCAGAAGACATGCTGGTACCCTGATTTCAGACTTTCCCAGCCACAAGAACTGTGAGAAATAAATGTCTACTGTTTAAGCCACCGAGTCTATGGTATGACAAGTTATAATAGTTCGAACTGCTTAATATATACCATGTCCAAAATATTAAAGTGAACTAGGAAAAATGGGTGCATATTGTTAAGAGGTTACCATTTGTTCATTATTTTAGGTGTTAAGGTTAGGAATACCATACATAGCTATCTGCACCAAAATCTGAAGGAATCCGTAACCGTGGGATACATTAGAACTCACTCAATCCTGACTGATGTATCCGCAGGAATTGCCCGCTTGGCAGCATCAAGAAATCCATTCAAAATTTTCCGTTTCTGCTTCCGTTATAATCCCAACAACAGGACCAGAAGTCTGGATTCCCATTTTTCAGTTCTTTGGTCACACAGCTGATACAGTTTGCACACACACTTAGACATACACAAACACACACACACACTAAAATTTTTCACAATATGTCTGGGGGACCAGGATGGCTGAATTTTAATGAGTTTCTTAGTCTTACACTTCTGACCCTGGCGACAGCCTTAAGAATAGAGGATATTGGGCTCAGTGTGGTGGCTCATGCCTATAATCTCAGCACTTTGGGAGGCTGACGTGGCAGATTGCTTGAGCTCACAAGTTCGAGACCAGCCTGGGCAACATGGTGAAACACCATCTCTACTAAAAATACAAAAAGTAGACAGGTGTGGTGGTGCATGCCTGTAATCCCAGCTACTCCGGAGGATGAGACATGAGAATCGCTTGAACTTGGGAGGTGGAAGTTGCAGTGAGCTGAGATCATGCCACTGCACTCCAGCCTGGGCAAATGAGTGAGACTCTGTCTCAAAGAAACAAACAAACAAACAAAATGAATGGAGATGGAGGATATCGGTCTTCATATCAAAGTTTTTCCTGACATATTGTTCTTAAGAGAATGTCATTTACTTTCTGGGACTACACTACCTTTTATGTATGTGTGTAACCTATCCCATAAAACACAAAGAGAGTGAAGACATGAGGGACTTATATGCTTAACTAACACCAAATAACCATTGGTATGGTAATGCAGCAATCAGAGTTAATATTGCTAAAGGGCGTAAAATGCAAATAAATAAATGCCTCTTTGAAGAGTGAAAAACTTATTTATGAGAAAGATGTTTTCATAATTTGTAAAGTTAACAAAAGGCATACACAATAATAGTCAACATTAATATAAACACACGTGTAATACTCAGAACAATACCATGATGTAGAAACCATTATCATAACTATTATATTCAAAGCAAAAATCCAGACTAAAAGGATGAATAACTTGCCAACGCTCCACAACTATCCAACTTCAGAATCAAAACTACGCAGTGTGGTGCCAAGGCTTGCGCTCTTGACCAAAGTTTAGTATCTCTTGTTACATCACCTTGGTTATGTTTAACTCTAAAGGTATGTGAAAGTGCACATGGTGATAAAATAGGGTCATTAAGAACTGATACAAGAAATAATTTATCTGAACTATTTGAAAACGCATCTCAATTATCCAGTATAAGATATCATACTGACTCATGTTCAAAATATGATTCTGTCATTTAAGAAAGTTTATAGCATGTTCTGCTTAGTTTAAAAATAATTCAACTAACAATTTGTTACAATAAAAGTTTCACTACTAAAATGTAAGGTTCTCTACTATGTAAAAATTGCAGCCTAAAACTTATAATAGCTGTTTAACTTTATTACAATAACATTATTCTCTTGGACTTTGTAAGCTTCCAGTCTCTGAAATACATTCCTTTATATTTTCAGACTCTGAAATATGTTCCTTTATGTGCACATTTTATTAGCAACTTCAATTTAGCTAAACCTTCAGTAAATATCCCAATGTCATTGATTGACATCATGGAAAGAACAGTGGCTAATAGTATAAATCTGTAACAACTTTCTTCATGGTTACAGATTACAAAGTTGTGTTGTGATCTGAAACAGCCTTGCCATTCTGGTCACTGACCCATCCAATTAAGATTAATGATCAAAGTGCAGGCACCCCCAGGGAGCAATTTCACCAGTTAAATATCATTCTTTTCATTTCCACCTTTTATCTTACAGTTGTTGGATGTTCAATCACAACTTTGATTGAAATGGTTACTTCATTTTCCACTGGCTTATAAATTATGAAAAAGAAATCAAAGTAAATTAGAGGTTGTACCAAAGAAAACTTACATTATTTCCCAATTTCATTTTTCTTTATTTTTAATTATAATAATATTTATTTAAGCTATTTTCTATTTTTCCAACTCAAGGAAGTAGATTTTAAAAAAGTTTTTCAGATGAAATAACCGGGTTAGTCTTCCTTAAATGTTTCAAATTAAAGACTGCAAAACTGCTTTATCCTTCTTTTCTCTGTCCTCTCTAACCTCTCTCAGAAAATTTCTAGACTGGAAAAACTCCAGCCACATACTAACCACAGTGGAAAATAACAACTTACTAAATACGTAAGTACTTTTTAAAGGAATTGGGCTTACTTTTCTTTCCCCTCCTATGCTCTCTTCTTACCTAAGTTCTATCTATTTAAGAGTGACCACTTACCTTCATTGTAAAGAGGTGGTTCTTTACAATGCATTAGAATGACTTGACAGTCTGCTAAAAACATAGACTGTTGAACCCCAACCTCAGAGTTTTTGATTTTATAGATCTGGAATGGAAATTGAAATTTTTCATTTCTAACAAGTTCCCAAGTGATGCTGCCACTACTGGTCTGTGGACTGCACTTTATAAACCACTGTCTTAGAAGTTTGTTTCATTTCTGTGCTCTGGAAATTCTACCAACAAACATGCCGCCTTTACCCTTATAATAATTGGTATTTGAAAAAACATCCAACCAGAACATGATAGATATACTCTGTATTTGGGTAGTTACTGTATACCATGATAGTTCATCTATGCTCAGGGAAGTCAGGGATTCCTGTAATTCAGGTAGAATCTGGGGACCCCTCTGTCCTCGAGCCTTCTCTGAGATTTAATCTAAAGAAGGATGTTAGCAAAAGATAAGCTATTAACACATTTTCTAGCTAATAGAAATGCCTCAAATCAAAACTGTAGGCATAAAAGCATTTTTATAATTTCAAATTCATGTTAATTTTTAGTGAATGGACGGTAGTATGTGGTGGGTGAGTGGGGGAGATAATGTCAACTGTTGAACCACTAAAGTAGGATAAATTAGCAAACATTCTATCACATGTGCAAGACTGATAAATTTGTCTACTTTTGTCTACAAGAAGATGAAAATTTATACACTTTGTTTCATAGAATAATTTATTATATTTTAGCATGCGAGTGAAATACTAATGTAGTTTTCAAATAATATGATATTTAGTGTACTAGGTGTGAATATAATAAACAGAATCATCATTAAATAAAATTAATTTAAAATTATATGGAAAATAAGTGCATCATTTGTGTTATTGCTAATATATTTTAAAAATAAAAGAAACATTTGGCTATTAATCTAACAATTATTTTAGCAAATAAGATAATTATCATAGCTACTAATTCATTTTTATTTAGAACTTCAGAAGATGACAACATAAATCTGTAGCATGTATCTTGTATGTTTAAGAAGAAAATATCTCACTACTCTGAATATATTTTCAGATTTTTTAACACTTTGCTAAGAGTTTATTTGCAGATTTACCTGAAGCAATTACACTAATTTTTTGAAGTGTTTGGTTCTTATAAATGATTTTTCATAAATGATACATCAGGAAAATATTATTTAATAACTCCCCTGCTACATATAGCAAAGATTAAAAATTAGGAAAAAATATAAACTCATAAATTAACTGGTTGCTCACTTTTTAATCAATGTGTGTAATGTTTCTGTAAACTTTTAAGAAAAGTTTAAGAAAAGTTCTGTAAACTTTTTGACCATTGCTGCTTCTGTTCTTCATATACATGTAGCTAATGAGAAATGTAGGACAAACAATAATAAAGTGAAGCCTGTATTGTCGTTGTAACAGTACTTTTTTTTTTTTTGAGAGAGAGAGTCTCACTCTGTCACCCAGGCTGGGGTGCAGTGGAGCGATCCCGGCTTACTGCAAGCTCCATCTCCCGGGTTCATGCCATTCTCCTGCCTCAGCCTCCCGAGTAGCTGGGAGTATAGGCACCTGCCACCACAACCGGCTAAGTTTTTGTATTTTTAGTAGAGATGGGGTTTCATCGTGTTAGCCAGGATGGTCTCTATCTCCTGACCTCGTGATCTGCCCGCCTCGGCCTCCTAAAGTGCTGGGATTACAGGCATAAGCCACCATGCCTGGCCTGTAATAATAATTTTTATTATTGTTATATCATAGTCAACCCTTGAACAACATGGGTTTGAACTGGAATAATTCACTTATACCTGGAGTTTCTTCCACCCCATCATCCCTAAAGTCACCAAGACCAACCTGTCCTCCTCAGTCTCCTCCTCAGTCTACTTAATGTAAAGATGACAAAGATGACCTTTATGATGGTCCACTTTCACTTATTAAATATTAAATGCATTTTCTCTTTTTAATACTTTTCTTAATAACATTTTCTCTTACTTTATTGTAAGAATATTGTATATAATGCATATAACTTACAAAATATATTTTAATTATGTTATTAGTAAGGCTTCCGGTCAATATTATGCTACTATGGTTAAGTTTTGAGGGAGTCAAAAGTTATACACAGATTTTCAACTGCACAGGGGTCAGTGTCTCTAAAACCTGCATTGTCGAAGGGTCAGCTGTATTCTATTATGTTAATAACCTGGGTTCATTTCACTTGGAAAACAATAAAATATAAAAAGAAGTAAGAAATGTACAACTGTTTTAAATTTATGTTTAAGCAAAACAAAAATATGTTAATTTAGGTTTCTTATTCTCACTAGTCACTAAGTAAAGGATATTTGATGAATTTTGGAATTATTGTGTATATACTTACATACAGACAAAAATTTTTTTAAATTAACTTTCCAAAATTCTTGGCTTTGTGATAGCATTAACTGATACTGCAGAACTTCAACATCTCTTCCACAGTGCAGGCTTAGGAATTTTGAATGGAGGACAGACAACATAGTGCAAATGAATGTCCTCCAGTTTTGAATTAACACTGATCTGGTATGTATGAATATTTAGTCAACTTCTCTTAACAGGCTTGCTCTTTTGAGAAGTGAGAGTAAAAATCCCTATTTCAAAGCCATTGTAAAGATAAAGTCAACTAACATATACAAAGCAGAGAAGTAGAGGAAAGTCAGTCAGTGGTTGATAGATGTGCATGAAGGGTCTCCTAATATGCCTGGATATTTGGGTGGATCACAATATCCAGCAGCTTGGCCTTAAATTTTATATATTCAAAATTTTATCAGTTTAGCCAAAAATTATTTGACTTTAGGGAATCTATGAGTGTGATTCAAATGCAAAGGCAGAAATTTTTAAAATAAGCCAAAAAATAATGTGTTCATTTACCACTATGTATTGACTCATGTCTGTTCCATTAATCTAGGCTTCTCTACAAAAATATAATATTAACCCAGGTTTTCTACTCATTAAGTTATATGCAAAGACAATATTCTCATCCCTATTTCCCACTTCACCTCAGAGATCACCCTTGTCTGATCTTGGATCTTTCCACTCATTTTTGTGAATACAAATGTTCACTCTCTCTTTAAAAATGCCTAACATTCCATTCTACCCTCATAGTTTTACTGTTATATTAGGGTTATTTCTTGGCATTTAAAATACTGGCTTTTTTAAACAACATTTTATACTTCTCCCTTTTTCCTCAAAATGGTGAATATCATAAATTGTAGACAAGTCTTCTCCTTCTAAAGACACTGAGAAAATTTTGGTGAGGGCTATACATCAGGGGGTGACCACATCTACAGGATGGTAAAGTATGAAGATAATAGTCCAATTACTACTAATGTTGGACAGTGCTGGGAAAGAGAAATGATAAAAAAAGTTCAACAGACGCAGAGTTGAAAGGTATGAATAAATGGCTGCATCAAACTTCTAGGCACATGTAGAAATAATGGCTACTAAATCCCAGATTGGGTTACCCAATTGCGTCAGCTCATTAGGAAAAAATGTGTTTACATACAGTCTATATATTTAACATATCTGTATACATTATTTTCATTAAGTAAATATAGGTATTTTAGTATGTATCATTGGTAACATTGTCTCACATTACAGACAGGCTTCATAATTCTAGAAAAGAAGAATATAGAATGGCCACCTTAAAATTATCTGGAATGATTCATAAAAGTTAAAATTATGTAAAATGTGTATCTATAAGCCAGGGTCTATACCTGGATTATAGTAATTGGCACAATTATCAATCTTTTTTTCTTTCCCTCGCATTATTTTGATTGTTTTGAGAAACTTATAGTGTTCAATTACGTATTCTCACAGCTTCACATAATAAATAAATAATAGGTAAATAATTAATAGGTAAGAGATTAATGACATATAAAATAATTATAGAATTATTAATAATAAAACACATAAATTAACAGACAATTCTCAAAAAGCCTTCTGATACACATTTTCTGACTGTTGAATTGACATAAATAACTAAGAGTCACCACTTTTTCTAAATAAAATATGGGAGTAGGTTTTTAACAGGAAGATACTTAGGGTTTCAAGACATTTCACAATAATAAACACAAATTATGTAGGTGCAGGAGATAACAAGGGAATTCTATGGGACTGTTATTCCAGAGGTTGTTTGCAACAATTTCTTGGCTACATTTTACTTGATTTATTGGAGATAATAGTTTTTATGAAAGCATGAGTTGGAAGGTCTGTGTGATTATCTGGCATGGATGTTGACATTGAATAAACTGAAATCATAAAACACACCAGGTAGTTAGCATATCTTATTTAAGAAATTACTTTTCCACAGGTCATGCCTTAGTATAGAATCCATATTGAATGTTTGGGATCTTTTTAATATAATTTATTGGTATTAATAAATTCTATTTCTAAACTTCCTAAGGATGCAACTGTACAGGTCTTTGTTGTTTACATGAATCTTTAACTCTCTGTAAATTAAAATTGTTACATTTCTTAATGAAAACAAGCAAAACAATGAAAAAGGAAGTGCCAGAAATAGACAGACCTAGCTCAGAGCTAACCACACCTATCCAGGGAAAAAAAGCAGAGATCATGAGACTATTCTAAAACTGAACCAGAAATGGAAAATGAAATAAAACATGCTTTTTAAAATTTACCCCTTGATTGTTCAATAAATGAAACATATTAAACTCACTTAGCAGAAATATTATAGATCTCTGTATAAGATTTGGCTTAAAATGAAAGGATTCCCTATTTAATAAATGGTGCTGGAAAAACTGGCTAGCCATATGTAGAAAGCTGAAACTGGATCCCTTCCTTACACCTTATACAAAAATTAATTCAAGATGGATTAAAGACTTAAACGTTAGACCTAAAACCATAAAAACCCTAGAAGAAAACCTAGGCATTACCATTCAGGATATAGGCATGGGCAAGGACTTCATGTCTAAAACACCAAAAGCAATGGAAACAAAAGCCAAAATTGACAAATGGGATCTCATTAAACTAAAGAGCTTCTGCACAGCAAAAGAAACTACCATCAGAGTGAACAGGCAACCTACAAAATGGGAGACAATGTTTGCAATCTACTCATCTGACAAAGGGTTAATCTCCAGACTCTACAATGAACTTCAACAAATTTACAAGAAAAAAACAAACAACCCCATCAAAAAGTGGGCGAAGGACATGAACAGACACTTCTCAAAAGAAGACATTTATGCAGCCAAAAAAACACATGAAAAAATGCTCATCATCACTGGCCATCAGAGAAATGCAAATCAAAACCACAATGAGATAACATCTCACACCAGTTAGAATGGCAATCATTAAAAAGTCAGGAAACAACAGGTGCTGGAGAGGATGTGGAGAAATAGCAACACTTTTACACTGTTGGTGGGACTGTAAACTAGTTCAACCATTGTGGAAGTCAGTGTGGCGATTCCTCAGGGATCTAGAACTAGAAATACCATTTGACCCAGCCATCCCATTACTGGGTATACACCCAAAGGACTATAAATCATGCTGCTATAAAGACACATGCACATGTATGTTTATTGTGACACTATTCACAATAGCAAAGACTTGGAACCAACCCAAATGTCCAACAATGATAGACTGGATTAAGAAAATGTGGCACATATACACCATGGAATACTATGCAGCCATAAAAAATGATGAGTTCATGTCCTTTGTAGGGACATGGATGAAATTGGAAATCATCATTCTCAGTAAACTATTGCAAGGACTAAAAACCAAACACCGCATATTCTCACTCATAGGTGGGAATTGAACAATGAGAACACATGGACACAGGAAGGGGAACATCACACTCTGGGGACAGTTGTGGGGTCGGGGGAGTGGGGAGGGATAGCATTAGGAGATATACCTAATGCTAAATGACGAGTTAATGGGTGCAGCACACCAGCATGGCACATGTATACATATGTAACTAACCTGCACATTGTGCACATGTACCCTAAACCTTAAAGTATAATGATAATAAAATAAAAAAGATTTGGCTTAAATATCAAGATGTATTGCCACACATATTCCAAAAAGTCATGAAAAGGTTTATTATTTGAGTAATAAAACTTTCTGGGAAGAGCAGGGAAGGCTTCTGGACTGGTCTGAAAATGTCTTAAGAGAACAGGGACAGAACACTGGCTTAAAGTTTTATAGCAGATAGAGGGAATAGGGCTGGGATGAGGTTCCTACATATACAGGCCAGAGATTGCATCATTTGAACCTCCCACTGGCCCCAAAGGAAGGTGATCAAAAATCAGGAGTGAATTGTAACAAAAACTCAGACGCTGTTTTTGATGTCTGAATGAGGACAACTTTCAAGGGTCACTCATCTTCTTTTCCCACTTAAAAAAATTCTCTCCACACTTTAATTGATTTAAAATTGTACCTAAGATTTGAAAATGCTTATATACATGTGTAATTTTTTGTTTATAAAAGAGGTTCCATAACTATTTTTACTGTAGTTAAAGCAGATAACCAGATACCTACCTTTTAAATAATTTTTAAACTGTGCAGTACACTATTGTTAACTATATGCAGAAAGTTTTACAGCAGGTCTCCAGAACTTTTTCATCTTGCATAACTGAAACCGTATCCACTGAAAAGCAGCTCCCCATTTTCCCAGTGGGAATTGGGAACAATTAATGTTGTCAGATCATATGGTAATTCTCTTTATAATTTTTCGAGGAACCTACACACTGTGTTCTCTACCATTTTTCATAGCAGCTGATTCATTTTACATTCCTACCAATCGTGTTCAAGGGTTCCAATTTTCTCCACATCCTTACAAACACCTGCTATTTTCTTTTTGTTGTTGTTCTTGTTTTTAATAATGCATTCTAACAGGTATGAGGTAGTACCTCACTGTGGGATTGATTTACATTTCCTTGATGATTAATGATGATGACCATCTTTTCATATACCTGTTGGCCATGTGTATGTATTCTTTGGATAAATGTTAATTCAAGTCATTTGCTCAGCTTTTAATCAAACAATAATATTTACTTTTCACTGTAGAAGTTGCTTATATATTTTGGAGATTAACCCTTTATTAGATGCATGCTTTGCAAATATTTTCATTCATACTGTAGATTGTCTTTTCACCCTGTTGATTCTTTCTTTTGCTGTGCAGAAGATTTTTTAGTTTGGTGTCCCACTTGTCTATTTTTGCTTTCGTTGCTTGTGTTTTGGTGTCATAACAAAAAAGAATCCTTTCCAAGATCAATGTCAAGAAGCTTTTCTCTTGTGTTTTTTCTTAGGAGTTTTAGAGTTTTAGGTCTTAAGTCTTTAATGCATTTCGAGTGATTTATTGTGTATGTTGTAAGACTTAGACCTAGTTTTATTCTTTTGCATGTGCATATCCAGTTTTCCCAGAACCATTAGTTAAAGTGACTATCTTTGCCTCACTATGTGTTCTTGGCACTCTTGTCAAAGATCAGTTGACTATAGATGTGTGGATATCTGAGATCTCTGTTTTATTAATCTGTATGTCTGTTTTTTTATGACAGTGTCATACTCTTATGATTACTGTAGCTTTGCAACATATTTTGAAATCACAAAGTGTGGGGCCTCCAGCTTTGTTCTTCTTTCTCAAGTTTGTTTTGGCAACTGAGAGTTCTCTGTGGTTCTGTATAAATTTTATAATTTTTTTATTTATGTAAAAAATGCCATTTTTAATATAGATTTTAATATATTTTAATATAGATTTTAATATAGATTTAATTTAGATTTAATATAGATTTTAATATAGATTTCATTGGATCTGTAAATTGCTTTAAGTAGTATGGGCCCCATTTAGCATTCCTCATAAGGCATATCTAGTGGTGATACATTTCCCCCACTTTGTTTTTCTAGTAAAGTCCTTATTTTTCATTCATTTTTAAGAGATAGTTTTCCTGGATAGTATTCTTGGCTGGCAGTTGTTTTTTTTTTTCAGCACTTTGAATAAATCATCCCATTCTCTTCTGGCCTGCAAGATTTCTGCCGAGACATCTCCTGATAGACATCTACTGATAAGGTTATGGAGGTCCCTTGCATATAGTAAGTCGTTTTTCTCTTGTTGCTTTCAAAAGTCTCTCTTTGTCTTACACTTTTTACAGTTTCCTTATGACATGTCTTGGTGTGTATATTCTTGGATTCTTATTTGTTGACATCCAGTGGGGTTCTTAAATCTGGGTGTTCATTTACTTCCCCAGATTTGGCAAGTTTTAGCCCATCATTTCTTTAAACTTTCCACACCTTTCTCTCTCTCTTCTTCTGGAATTTTCATAATGTGCATATTAGTGCACTTGATGGTGTATTATAAGTCTCTTAGGCCTTCTTCACTTCTTTTGATTCTGTTTTCCTTTTCCTTTTGATTGGATACTTTTAAATCACCTATATTTGAGTTCGCCAATTCCTTTTTCTGCTTGTATAAGTCTGCTGATGAGCTTCTCTATTAAAGTTTTTACTTCGGTTATTGTATTCTTCAGCTCCAAATTTCTGTTTGGCTTCTTTTAAATTTTCTATCTCTTTTTGATATTCACATTTTGTACAGGCATCATTTCTCGAGGTCATAGAGCATATTTATCACAGGTGTTTTGATTCTTTGTCAGGTGACACATACACCTCTGTTTCTTCATAATCTGTTTCTGGAGATTTATTTTATTCCTCTTCTTGGGTCAGGTTTTTCTGTTTCTTTGTGTAGCTCATAACTTTGTGTTGGGATCTACACAAATGTAAAACAGCCACCTCTCCTATTCTTTATGAACTGACTTTGTATAGGGAAAGACTCTCACCAATTAGCCCAGTTGGAGATTCTGAGGGCCTCTGAAAATTTTAGGGGGAAATAGAACTTTTCTGAGGCCTGTGCATTCAGTTTCTCAATTAGAGATGTTTATAGGCTGTGCACTGTGACTCACTACTGTAATCTCAACAACTCTTCAAGGCTGTAGCAGGAGGACTGCTTGAGGCCAAAAGTTCAAGACCAGCCTAAGCAACATAGCAAGACTCCATCTCTACAAAAAATTAAAAAATCAGCTGGGTGTGGTGGCACAAACCAGTAGTTCTGGCTACTCAGGAGCCTGAGTACAGAGGATTACCTGAGCCCAGGAGTCAAAGCTGCAGTGAGCTATGATCACACCACTGCACTCCAGCCTGGGCAACAGGGCAAACTCTTGTCTCAAAAGAAAAAAAAAAAAAGTTACTCAGTTTCTTTTTCAGGAGCTTATAATCTCTTGCTCCTCTGGTGTGTCTCTGTGAAAGTTTCCTGATTCTACACCAGCAAGCCTCCTTCTTTCTCTAGTTCTCAGTGGCATCTATGCATTCAGAGTGTGTCAGCTTCCCCTAATGCCCTGAGTAAAGTGAGACAGATGCCAGTTGCTCAAGTAGCTCTCCAAAAAAACCTAGAACACTGGATACACATTTCCCTTCTCCTCCTCCTTTCTGAGGTAGAAGGCTGGAGTTGTGCTCTTTCTCCAGAGTGCACTGAGTTGTGCCAGCCACAGCAAGCTCCTCTCCCAATTCTTCTTTGCTCTCTGTTGTCTCCAGACATCCAAGACATGCTGGTTCCATTAATGCCCCAAATGAAGCGAAACAGAATTCACTTTCTTGGGCAGCCCTCTGAAAAGCTAAAACATTGGATGCATGCATTCCTCTTCTTTTTCCTTGTTCCCTGAGGGAGAAGGATTGAGCTGGAGGGTTGTCTCTTGAGACTGAGTTGTGAGGGCTTGGGGAAAAGAGGTGTGTGTGTAAAATGAAATTACTCTTTTTGCTCACTGAAATGTTGCTGTTCTCAGCTGTGTTTTCCCTTGTGGCACTGCAACTTCTTAACTGCGTTATAGAAACCTCATAATGGTATTTTGGTCCACACAGAATAGTTAAATTGATATTTTTGTAGGCAGTCAAGGCCTGGGACTTTCTGTTCTGCCATCTTACTGTGATCCACAGCACACTGTTCACAGTCCTACTTGAACTTTTGATAATTGTTTCTTTGCCTTATACACTAGATTACAAGTTCCTCAAATGAATAAATAAAACAATGAAGTGAATTGGAATGTATAGCTGCTGTTTTCAGTATTGGTGGAGTACTTTGAATTATGCAATCTCTTATTTTGTTTGTTGTAGTAATTTAGGGGAGACGTGATTGGGTAGTGTTTAGAGTCATTATATGGAAATACAGAGCTATTTTGGGAATAGCAGTTTATTCCAATTCATTATTCATTCCTATTTCAAATTACAGAGATTCTCTGAATTCTATAGGGCAATCGATTTATGGCTATACCTAATTTGCAGTTTTTCTGTGTGATGTTCTTTAATCTGTAGATGCCAATATTGGTTTTCCCAAAAGTAGTTTTTCTCTCTTTCTCTATCTCTATCTGTGTAGATTTCCATTGCTGAGGGTGGGGAACAACCCTATTTTAATTAATTTGTATCATTCTTGAAGGGATGAAATTCCACCTTTTTCTGCAGACCAGCCTTATAAGAGTAAAATTTTCTTTTGTTATAATTTTCTGAGTTTCTATAAAAATGAGATCTTTTCTTAGAAATAGCTCTGGGTCTATGACGGAATGATGACAGTGAAAAATGTCTACTTCGAGGTTGTGTTTGTTTATAAGAAAGGAAAAGTAAGTATCTGAAATGGTGTACACATAGACTTTACTGTATGTAAAAGAGTTATTAGATCAGTTTTAAGGTATTTTTCAAGCCTTACGAATCAGTGAATATTTTAATGCTATTAATATAAAGTGGAGAGGTACAAGTTAAAAGAATGTCTTACCTTTCAGTGTAGTTCTATAAGTTTTCTGTGGTAGTTATCATTAATGTATAAGAAATATGTTTATAAGGGAATCATTTCTTTACAAGAACCACAAATGAGAAGCAGCGAGTTACTGGGCATTCTTTTTCCATGTTCCTATGTTACCATTAGTGATAAGCATGTTTTCCTGAAAATTGTTAACCTTTGGTAAGTTTTAAATCTAAAGATTAATCACTCAATCTGAACTTAGATTTCTTATAGGTGGGAGATTTGGGAAAGGCTTCAAATCCTGATTATTAAACTTTATTTTTATAGTCTTGTGTTACAAAATTATATCACACAAATAATCATTTAAAAAAAGATAAATTGTGAAAATATTCTCAGAGATCACATAACAGTAATAGCTACATTTTTCTGCCTGCTTCTGACAGAGAAATAACCTAGAACCCACCCAGACCACTCAGTTATAATTCTATTCAGACTCAGCTTAAGGATTCAAAATAGCATTATGATTTTGTGTGTCTTATTGCTCAACATTCACTGAACTATGTGAAAAATACTCAGTGGATGAGAGGAATACAGTGGTGAGCAAGATATATAGTTTATGTCTTCAAGAAACTTAACAATCTGAATGAGAATTCTAGTAAATAACAGGTGAATACAAAGCAACATATTAAATCCTTTTCTGGTGATTACTGTAGTATGCTCCATGAGCATGTACTGGGGCACTAAATTCAGTCTGAGGTCAACAGAGAAGTTGTTTTATTGGCATTGATGTGCTAGTTGTGACTCTCAGAACAAGGATGAGGTAGCCAGATGAAGAGGAATTAAGGTTCAAGAATATTTTGATGCAGAAACATGATATACAAAGCCATAGAGGTAAGAGAGGGTGTGAAGCCACAGATGCAGGGGACTGTCCCTCGCAGACCCTGACTCAATGACAGATGAACAAAGTACACTGACACACAGATATTCTGCTTTGCCAGTCCAGCTAAGTGTCCATACCACTTACAGACGCCAAGGAAGGTTCTGTACAGAGTTCGCAGCCATAGCCTTGACTTGCCAGTGAGACTAGCATTTATTCAGTAAAGATTAATTGACAAAGGTTGTGAGTAAATACACTTGTGGCTAATTAATGTGGTTGCCCCCATCCCGGAGAGAGCCATCATGTACCCGCAAGTGATCAAAGGTTGGTTTTATGACCCCATGAGTAAACAAGCTAGTTAGATAAACTACTCTTCCTTCCTTTGTACCCACTTTAAACTATTTAGTCAAGGTAAGGATTAGGTTGCCTTCAGCCATAACCTTATCCCAAAACTTCTCCAAAAACCTTCAGGCCTTCCAAGAAGGTTTGTGGCTATTATTTATAACTAAAATTTTCCCCACCAGCCTGACTGAATCCCCACATATAGATATAAGAGAGGGTGTGGTGATTTCTGGAAATATAAGTTAATTCTGTGTAACTGAAAAAGAATGTGAAGTTGATAATAAATGAAATGGCATTGAGGTGCTAAGGATAGATTTGTATTTCATTTTAAGGGCTATTAAAAGATTGCAGGAGATGATATAATTTATTTGAGCTTTCAAAAATATTATATTGACTTCCATAAGATAATATGAAAGTGAAAATATTAAAACCAAATGTAAAGAGTTTTTCTTGATTAAATCTAGAAAAAGAAAATCATGAAGCTATAAAAATTGAGACAACTAGCAAAATTTGAATAGGAACTGTGTACTAGATGACAATATTCTATCAATGATAAATTCTCAGAACATAATAATTGTATTGTCGTTGTATAAGAGAATGCTCTAGCTCTTAAAAACAAATGATGAACTACCTAGGCAAGAAGTGTCATTAAGTCTGCAACTAAATTCTAAATCAGGAGAGAGAGAGAGAGAGACAGAGAGAGAGAATGTACTAAATATTAAAAATTAGTGGATCCAGAAGAGAATGTAAATACCTATTGTACTATTCTTTCAGTTGTTTTGTAGGTTTGAAATTTTTCAGAAGTTCTAAAGGAAAAAAGGAAGAAAAAGTGAAATAATAAGGTGTTCATGTGTCAAATATGGTCAAGAATAGAAGATGTCATTCTGGTAATTCAGATATGAAACGATGGCATCTTTCTTTGAGCTGGGTACTAAGGAATTAACTCCAGGATTCAGTTTGACATATTCCTTGGCTTCCAAACCTTTTGGATTATTTTTTACTCTTATGGTTTGCTGAAAGCAAAAGTTACTTAAGAGGAGATATTATACCTCTAAACTAAAAGATACTTCTTACAACTAAATAACTATGTCCCCAGCAAATGAGTCCCAGCTCAAGGTGACTCCATTAGCCTGTCATTTCACTTTATACTGCTATCTTTCCACAGTTGCTATACAGTTATGAAAGATCAAGCTTTTGTTCTCTGGAATATAAGAAAAATAAATGTGAGTCTCGCATGGTGATGGTATAGAGTCATTACTGGTGACTCTATTGTATAAGTTGGTCATTCTTAACATGTGACAAAATTGTTCCTCTGTGACTAAATTGTTCCTCTCCTGCTGGCAAGTAAGCAGCACTTAGTGAATAAACTTTAGGCATTCAAGAAAATTTGATGTGTATCCCAAACTTGATATAAAGTCATGTTCAAAGTACCAACAAATTTAGTGTATGGATTTTGTTAATATGCTCTTCACTATATATTTGAACAAAAAATTGAATCCATTAATAAGTCAAAAAGCTTATTAGTCTAAATAAATCCCTTATTACTAGTAAAAACGATGTAACACATGCTATCCCAGACTCAAAATTGCAACTGCTAACCTTTTGTGTATATGCACGCCATGCATGTCCAAAGTACTTGTCATCTGGAACAATCTTTATAAAATCTACAAGTTTAAACCAAGGTGCTGCCAATGGGGAAAATAATAATGAACACTCAAATCCATTTTCTACTTGCCAGGTGTTCTTCTAAGAGCTTTACTTAAATGAATTAACTTAATACTCACCACTAACCTATGATATTGATACCATTATTCTGATCATTATTTTAGAGAATGAAATTGAGTGTATAGAGTTTAATGTCGCATAGTAAGTGTTGAAGTCTGACTACAAACCCAGACAATCTAGCTGCAGATAGACATTAGAAAGAAGCAGATGGATTTGAGAGAGATTCAGGGGTCATAGGGAAAACATCTTGACAATTACATTTCTGAAAATTGTTCCATATATATAAGTATTACATTTTAAATTTATCTAAAATGAGACTGCTATTGCTGAAATGTATAATAATAACAATCAATGCAATAATAATACTCCACAGTGATAGTCCCAATTGTTAAAGATATTCACATGACTTAATAACTTACTTGATGTCTCTTTGATATATGAAATATGCTTTGTTCTTATAAGCAAAAGATTGTGGGATGAGTGACCCTTTAATCCCTAATATTACATCAGAAACATATATGTCCTTCATCCCGTGCTTACTTCTCTTGAGTCAGTCAACTTGTTCACTTACTGCTGTAAATGCTTAATGTCAGATCTCAGATCCCTAGCATCTCTTCACAGAGCTTTATTTTATTGAAGATTCAGATTTTTCTAATATAGGTTTACATACTAATCTTTCTGAATAGTTTATCATGTTGGATTTAGTCTTTAGATGTGCATACCATAGGACCATTTGCCACTCTTGAATTTAGGGGTCATCAAATTTCTATGTTTTGTTTTATTATTATTGTCATTATTATTTATTTTTTGAGACAGAGCTTGCTTTCTTGCCCAGACTGGAGTGCAATGGCATGATCTCAGCTCATTGGAAACTCTGCCTCCCGGGTGCAAGCGATTCTCCTGCCTCAGCCTCCTGAGTAACTGGGATTGCAGGCATTCAACACCACACCCGGCTAATTTTTGTATTTTTAGTAGAGACGGGGTTTCACCATGTTGATCAGGCTGATCTCGAACTCCTGACCTCAGGTGATCTACCTGCGTCGGCCTCCCAAAGTGCTGGGATTACAGGTGTGAGCGACCACGCCTGGCCGAAATTTCTATGTTTTAAATATGAATCTATCAATGTCTGTGTTTTATATATGAGTAATCCATAAAAGAATGTAAATGGATACTGCTACATTTATGGAATACTTCTTTTATTTCAGCATCCTCATCATTTTTATTGATCTTTATGTTGTAAAGTATGCAAACCTTAATGTTTTATAAAGTTTATAACACATAATTAAGCTCAACTTAACTAGCATTACCATATTTTAAACTTACATTCATTTTTAAATTAAACTTTTATCACAAATAATCAGAAGAATCTCATAATTCAATGTAATAGTTATAGCTTATAAACTAAAAAAATACATAATATTGTTATAATGATTATCATTTTTATACTCAAAAAGTGTGAGATATCCAGCTATGAACATTATGTGTACATTCTGTGTCATGGCAGAGCCTAACATAAAATATAAGAATTCCAAAAGATAAGCACAGGACACTAGAGAAGAACCCACAAGATTTATCCAAATTTAATATGTGGAATCAGGGAGAGCACCCCAGAAGAAGTGATAAATATAACTTGAAACCCAAAGCAGCTATGCTTTGGACCAAGGATCCAAGAATAGATAGCACTATTGCATTTGAGTTTTCAAAGAATTGTAAAGAAATACCATATTCAGTGTCTGTATAACAGGAAATAGAACCTTCCAATTTAACTGGTAAACTCTTCAACTTATTTAATTTGAATATATTTACAGGTTAGTTCTAAATATTTTAATTGCTAAAAAAAACCCCTAAGATTAAAAAAGCAAAATTTATGCAAATACTTGCATGTAGTGTCCTAGCAAAAAATAAACATTCATTCATACTAAGCAAGTAGCTTATAACATAGGTTATTTATTTTGTCCAGTTGAAACTAGATCAGAATTTGTTTTCATAAATTCTCTGTACAGGATAAGTGTCAGCAATTCTACAGAAACTCCAGAAAGGAAAAATTCACTGATTAGGACCTCAACTGTTACAGAAGTTACCCTTATCAAACATTTTTATATTCCCCTTTTATAGTCTTAGTGAGCTAATACATAATAAGAAGCATAACTGTATAAACACATACAAGTATTTATTATAAATATAACATAGAAAATTTTAATTTATAGACTGTCACTTCTTCAGGAAAATAATATTTCCAGGGAATCAGAAGTAATCAAAGTTTTCTAAAAAGGGGCCCTTATTCCTTTAATTCTGTTGGTAATGGTAATAATCTTGAGGGCCAGATGAATTATTACTACTTTTCAGAGCCCCTGAACCAGTACACCACCTAATGCAGAAAAAATGGAATGAATTCATCAATTATATTAATTCAAAATAAGTTTCCAATGATGCTTTTTTGAAAGGGGTACTAGATTTGCAACCTTACTAATTTTAAAGGGATATCAAAAGAAGCAACATTTAGAAAATACTATGTAAATTGAAATTCTATAACCTGATAATGTATTTTTCATTCTAGTACAGTAATTCCTCTGTCATTTAATTATTTCTACATTTTGTTTAAGTAACATTAATTTTTTATATATTGTTACATTAGATTCATACTATAAATTTGTATGCACATACACATATGTGTGTAACAGTGTAATAATAATACATTCTTCAGCAAACCAAACATCTAAAGATTGCTTTAAGAAAACAATTTTGTTTAAAATAATTTTTAGTTACAATAAACATCCTATAGAAATACTCCCTTCTCACTACTGCACATACTAGCCTTAATAAAAAAAGAAAAAGAAGTGTATGTTACAACTAGGTACCTTAAGACTGGACATGTTTTCTAAACTCCTTTTCCTTAAATTCAATTATCTTTATTTTTCAGTCACACTTTTATAAAAATGTTCTTTCTTAAAGATGATGAGAAACAAATAAGAACAGAATGTGAAAAAAGAACACAGTTAAAATAAGGAAAATAACAGAAATGCTAAAGAATAAAAACATACAAAAAATGTAAGCATATCCTTATTTTTACTACAACTCTTCCACAAAGAATAAAAAAGTCTTTTTTGAATATGTATACTTTGATTGATGCTAGGCGGAATGTATCTAGTGATCTTGAGATGGCTGAAACCCACTCACTTGCAATTTTATGATTTGGTGAAAGGCACATCCTTTCTGAATTTCCAAACAATCAATAGCACTATTAAAGTATCAACATTTGAAATGTCTGCATGACTGAAGTAAATGTTAAGAAATGTTTAGAGTCAGCTTAAGAAAATAAAATTGAACTTTCACATATTTAAGACAGCAGCACCTCTAATTACCCTAGCATTTTCAATCACCTTTACTTTTAGAGAAGTGTGTCATAATTGTGTTACAGTTGCTATCTAACAGAGCTGAAAAGAGGAATAAAATATCTTATTAGATTATGTGGCAAAAAGTCCAGCAATGAATATTCCAATCTATAATTCCCAAAATGAGATCCTGGAAAGGCATATTGCTCAAGGAAAAGAGAAGAAATTAGAAATTGTTATAAATGCAAAAGACACCCATGAAGTCAGTGAATACTATTTGAACATAATTATTTTAAAAGTCAAATTGATAGGCTCCTATAGATAAAAGGTGCGTCAGCCTGTTTGTTTTACCGTTTCCATGGGTACAAAGACTGTTTTCTTCTTTTTCCTTACGTTTCATACCAAAGACTGTGAGGTAAAATAATGGTAGTCATTTTCAATATGTGTTATGTTATTACGCATCATTAATAAAAACTTTCAACCTGTATATTTGGATATATCTGAATAAGTAAAGAGTCTCTGATATTAACTGCCTCTGGAAAAAAAAATCTGTAAGGAATTTAAAACAACTACTATGTATTAAATTTTAGTATGTCATTCATTCAACTATTTTTTAAAATATTTGTGAAACTAAATATATATTTTAAGCTGTTTCTACTTAGCAAAAGTAAAAAATACTAAATCAGCAAGGAAAAAAGCAGTTTATCAAAAGTATATTTAGTGTGATTTAAATATTGTCAAGAAAACATACATAATTTTTGGTAGCTTTCCATACTTCCAAAGACTGGGTAGTACTTGTATGTTAAAGAAAAATATAGTTCAGTGACAGGTAAGAAGCATATATAAATATTCAAAGATTTTAGACTTAAGGTTCAGTCTAGATATACTAGGAATTTGCAGTCCTATATTGTGCACGAAACAAAAAATGTGTAGAAAAAATAGTTATATAAAATAAAGGCAATTTAAAGTAAATTTAGTAATATAAAAATAAATGTTTAAAAATAAGTAATAATCTAATTAAAATACACTCAACTTACTTTTACTTTTGATTGAGATTTTTCAAGTACACAATTTTCTAAGGTAGAATCTGTTTTTTTTTCTCACCTTATCAATTTTACCTTTCCTCATAAGATCACAGAGCTTCTGAACATTCTTTTGAAGTATAGACTTCAATTCAACAACAAACAAATTTTTCCAAAAAGTGAATACATGCATCCACAAGAAAATTACAAACTACAAGGGCCATTTAAATACCCCAATTTGTCTAATGTGCCTGTAACTTCAAAAAACAGTATTGTTGTCACAAGCTGTTAGAAAGCGTGCTTTTGTTTCTAGAAGTAAATTGACTATATCTTTAGTAAAAACTCTGATGACTGTGAGAATTCACACATGAGAAGAAATAATAGAATATGGAGTGGTTCCAAGTGATTTATAAACTAAAATTTTTTAAGGGTAGGGATTATCCCTTTCTTACATTCATGAGAAATCACATCTGATTAAGTTTATTTTCTGTGCACAATTAAGAGAAAATAATAAGTTACAGAAGAAAAATAAGACAGAAAACATTGAGTATATGACTTCAGGCAAATAGAAAGTAATAAATACTGCTTCTATATGGGTTTCTAAAAAGAAATGTAGATGCAGTTCAAACCAGAAACAGAACATCAGTTGCTAGTCATGTGAAACCCTATAATTCTGTGTGTGTGTGTGTGTGTGTGTGTGTGTGTGTGTGTGTATGTGTTTCACATATAACCTGAATTATTAAAATTAAGGATACGTTCCAAAATAAGTATTTCTCTAAAAGATATATCCTAAAGTAACCTCAAACTAAAAAAATACAACATGACTTTCACCATAATATTCTGGCTCTTAGAATAAGGGAAATTCAGGCAAAATGTCAAACGATATAGTGTAACAAAAAATGTTACCAGCACCTAGACTGATTCTGTATATCTTCTTTCTTTCTGTCATGTATCTTATTTTCTCATACTTATGCCAAAAAATAAAATTATTTTTGTATTATTTTATTTGAAAACAGAAAGTTTTAACCACTACCTCTAAAATGCTTGTTTAATGAATAGATAATTATTTCTCCCAATTCATAAAGAGCTTTACAAAAGCAATCGTAGTATAATTTAGTTTCATATCTTCTTAGTTATCTTTAAGCATGAATTCTGTTTCTTTTCTGCCTGATAATGGGAAAAATGATTTTTGGGTTGTGAATTACAAAGGAGGACATTTTTAGAATAGCTGAAATATTGCTGGGCAAAGAGAACATCAAATCAAAAGAAGTAATGTCACTAAAGTATGTAGCACATGTGCATCAATATATTGCCCTGGTTTACATGACTGAATCTTCCAAAGCACACTCCAGTAACCATGGATTTTGAATATTAAGTCTGCGAAAACTAATTGCAATTTATTGAATATGTCAGTGAAGCAGAACATCAGTAAATCAAGTCCAAGTCACTGTTACAGCATTTTTCCCTTCTCTTAAGCAACGGACAGTTTCTTCTTTCAATCACTGAAAGTTACAAATTTCCAGGAACTAGCTGCAGTAGAAGAGTAATGGTTGAAAGAACCAGATGATCCTGTTTTATGACCCTTGGCACAAAGATTAAACCCTTTGTTTCCAGCAATGCACAATTTCATGCTATTTCAGGGAGCTTGACCCTGAACTGAACTTCTTCAGACTGTTCAGTTCAATCTGAATTTATAAGAGCTAGTGACAGTCTGTAGCATGTAATGAAAAAAAAATAATGGAGGGACAGCTGTTTGCTTTCACAATCCTGCCATTGAGGCTGAGAGAGGAAAAGCTGTGGGGCTGATGGATTCAGAAGGAAATGAGTTGGGATTTAACATTTGCAAAGAGAAATCCTTTTGTTATGCACTGATTTGAAGCAAATCTCTGGCAACATTTCCAAGGGTCAGATTTGGGAGTGTTTTCCTTACAATGCTGAAAGGAACATAACCAATTTTCTAGTGGCTGATTGTATTCTGCTAGTTCAGGCATTTGATTAAATGTTATATGTTATTTATCTTTCCTAAATCTAATATCATGTGAAACATATAGGAACATTTCTTGAAAGTTAACAAATTTGTAGAAGTACCAATTTAGGATAGGATTATTTTTAATTACATATTGAAATATTATTTATTTAAATAATTACAATAGAAAAGATTGAGTACTTTGTATTTTGAATTTCAATAACATGAGTTAGAAATTTATAAATGCATTTCTGTAGCTATGTATGCAAAATCTCATTCTAAAACAAACATAATAAGGAAAATATGCCTTTTGTAAGGAAAAGTTTCAATTTTCCTTACATACACAACAAAATATGACACAGATTTTATTAAAATTATCACAAAGTTCAATTTCACAATGACTATTATTATTGAACTTTATAACTGTGAAATCTATGAACTATGGCATTTAAAATTTTACAGAGAAATTTAGAATGCAAATCTGCTTATACAGTTCTGAATTGGAACATGAAATTACTGAAAAGTGTTGGCAAATATGACAATTGAAACAATTGCCTCTGGGACACAGAGGTCTCCTCCCACAATTTTTCCAACCAGTATTTGGCACCTAAGTAATCTGATGTTTAGCCATTCTTAAATATGAAGAGGGAAGAGTCTGGTAAAAAATATTGAGGAGTCTTAAGATTATGAAATGAATATTCTATAATCTTAGGGATGAACTCCACAGTGTCCTGCCTAAGGAAGCATTGTCTGTTTAGTGAACTATATTATTCAGGAACATCTTTGTGACATCTTCCAAAAATAAGTGCTTTTGTAATTATTATTCTCTATTAATGACAAATTATTAAAATAAGCTGTGGACTGCCTTTGGGATCATAATAATTTCCTATGGAAACGATATGGCAATTTTCCTGAACATACCCAGGGACCAGTAGATAACACCTTATTGAGTAGACCAGGGTGGTGACATTGAGTTATGCATGTAGCTCTGCTGCAGTATACTCCACATGAAAGGCCAGTAGAAATCATCAGTATTAGAACAATATATGTTAGACCCTACCATGGCCAGTGCTTAACACACACATTCTTTTGTTGTTGTTGTTTGTTGTTTTCTTTCGTTTTTTTTTCAAAGTCTACAATATAAAGCAGCCTACTAAATTTGACTCCACAGAAATTAATGATAAAATGATTAATGTTAAGAAATAAATCAATAGTTCATATGATATGTGCTGAAGGAATTTAGAGTTAGGCAATTATTTTTCTAACTACCGTGGTTGAAAATGTTTGTGGAATAGCTAAATTTCAAATGACTCTTACAGATCACTTTGAAGAAGTTCAGTTTTCCTCATGTGAAATATTTCCAAATGAATACATTATGAATGAGGCAATCTAGATTATGTGAGGTTCTGAATCATATATTATAGTGTTAGTGTGGCTGTGTTAAGGCATAGTACAGACATTTTCAATAACATTCATAAAACAGAATAATAGGTATGAGAAGTCATATACTTTATCAGCTCATGTACTTTTAATAAAACATAAAATTTTATTTAAATGAAAACATTAAACGGAACTATCTCACATTCACAGAGTTAGTAATTTTATTATATAAGACCTTAAAACTTGGGGAAAAAGCAGTAGAATTTTGAGAATTCATATTAAATGAAATAAATGACTTAATTTATTAACATAAAAACCAAATATTTCTAATTATTTTTCTTTCCCACCCTCTCAGAGTAATATGAAACTAAGTATTATGTATTACATCTCAAGGTGATATAAATCATACACATCTTTGTACCATCAGAAAAGTTAATATAGATGGTTACATGTAATTTGACTTTAGGGTTGGTAATACAAACTTAGCCAAACTGTTTCCCCAGTTTAAAGTGATTGGTTCAAGAGAAAACCGTTTGATTCAAACGGATGCAATCACAGGTACTCAATGAAAATTGATATATAAAAGTTAGGGGTAAAAGTTTCTCTCAATGTAGAATTATAAGAGATAAAGACCACATAGTGCTGGAGCTGTCAGTGGATACTGTCTCTGTCTGTCATTCATACACACACCAACACACACACACACAGACTGATTTGGAAAATAAATATATAAATCTGGGGCAAATGGAGTGTTAAACATTTGAAACTACTAACTCTAGGCACAACTGGTCCATGATTATTCTCTGAATTCTGTGATTTAAAATTGTTACCTTTTACCCTGAAGGCTACTTTAAAAATTGACTTTTGGTCTTCAAGTATTGGGGGAAATTTAGCCAGATATCGGGCAAAATTCACCCCCGATATTTCACGTATGTTCTTTTCTATTTTCCCCAAGCGTCGGCAGGTTTGAGAAATAAAGGGACAGAATACAAAAGAGAGAAATTTTAAAGCTGGGCGTCCGGGGGAGACATCACATGTTGGTAGGTTCCATGATGCCCCGCAAGCCGTAAAACCAGCAAGTTTTTACTAGTGATTTTCAAAGGGGAGGGAGTGTACGAATAGGGTGTGTGTCACAGAGATCATGTGCTTCACAACGTAATAGAGTATCACAAGGCAAATGGAGGCAGGGCAAGATCACAGGACCACAGGACCGGGGTGAAATTAAAATTGCTAATGAAGTTTTGGGCACACATTGTCATTGATAACATCTCATCAGGAGACAGGGTTTGAGAGCAGACAACCGGTCTGACCAAAAATTTATTAGGTGGGAATTTCCTCGTCCTAATAAGCCTGGGAGTGCTATGGGAGACTGGGGCTTATTTCATCCCTAGAGGCAACCATAAAAGATGTCCGCACCCAGGGAGGCCAATTTAGAGGCCTACCCTCAGGAACGCATTCTCTTTCTCAGGGATGTTCCTTGCTGAGTAAAAGAATTCAGCGATATTTCTCCCATTTGCTTTTGAAAGAAGAGAAATATGGCTCTGTTCCGCCCGGCTCACCGGCAGTCAGAGTTTAAGATTATCTCTCTTGTTCCCTGAACATTGCTGTTATCCTGTTCGTTTTTCAAGGTGCCCAGATTTCACATTGTTCAAATACACATGCTCTACAAACAATCTGTGCAGTTAATGCAATCATCACAGGGTCCTGAGGTGACATACATCCTCCTCAGTTTACGAAAATGATGGGATTAAGAGATTAAAGTAAAGACAGCCATAGGAAATCACAAGGGTATTGACTGGGGAAGTGATAAGTGTCCATGAAATCTTCACAATTTATATTCAGAGATTGCAGTAAAGACAGGTGTAAGAAATTATAAAAGTATTAATTTGGGGAACTAATAAATGTCCATGAAATCTTCACAATTTATGTTCTTCCGCCATGGCTTCAGCTGGTCCCTCTGTTTGGGGTCCCTGACTTCCTGCAACATTCAAGACTTCTTTTGAGATATTGTTTTTAAGTCTTTAGACATACTTATAATCCAGGAAGCAAGATTCATACTTGGAAGTGTTTGATTTGTAAAATATTTGACCATTTATGAACCAAAACTGAAAACTTAATTACCAAGGAAAAAGTAATTATAATTAAATATACATCCATTACTAATATTCTTACCCATTTAAAGATCACCACTTTTTAATATGGGCATGACTGAACTTTTCAAATATATTGTTTTTCAGGGCCCGAGGTAAACTGACATTTTCTCTTCACATCTGAATGCCACAGTTCTACTCCCACAGTCTACTTTATTGTGTTTGCTTTTTCTTCCTTACACAAACACACAGACACACATAAATAAACACACACACAAGCCCTGAAGGGACTCGTATTTCTTTAAGTAACATTAATACTCAATAAATACATATAAAATCCAGAAGAGAATGCATTTATTTCAGCCTCTCTCATTCAAAACATCCCAGAGATTGCATGTAACACCTAGATATTCCAATAAGTTACTTGATAAAGTTCAGATGCAACTACCCATAAAATAACACTTTGATAAAGTGATAAAATATGAATTTGTTCATGTGAAAAAAAAATCTGTTATAAATAACAAGTCCAAATAGAGCAATTGGCTCAGACAAGGTAAATATTCTTCCAGTATAAAATTTAAAAGTTTCATGAAAATTATCTGTGCCTTTGAATAATGTTTTCAGTAGAAAGCTGTTTTGAAGCTATTTTAATCTAACTCCTCCTTCATATGTTGTATGTGATAATTTACTTCTTTAGGCATAAGAAAAGCTCAAAGAAAACTTTTTCAATTGAATAATTACTCAATTATTGTGCGAAAAAGTAAAACTAAAATATATAAAAATATATATTAATGCTAACAGAACAAAGGGCAACTGAGACAATAAAAAATGAATCATATATTAAACCAGAAGTTGACACATATATGGATACTGACAATGGAATCTGGAAAGAAATATCAGTATTAAAGTCTTCAGCTGCATATTATATGGTCATACACAACATGGCAAAAATAATCTGCTTTGCTTCCACCCAGTATTTCATCTTTTCATTAACTAACTAAAGCCCACACAGTTAGTCATATAAAATCCACACAATCAGTTTTAGCTTGTCATTTAGAATTTTATAAAGTGATAAATTAAGTTAGTGTTTAAAATACTTTAGTGAAAAGAATTTGTGATGGTCTCATCATTTAGGATGTAGTCAGGAATTCAGAAAGAACTCTGGTTATTTTGAACAGACATAATTTAATACAGGGAACTAGTTAAACAGGAGTTAGAGTATGAAAAATAAAAAATAAAACACTCACACAAGAAACAGGCCATCTCTAGGTCTGGGTGAAATAATGTGGCAGTTTGAGGGGGAGCAGATAGAAGCACAGATGAAAGACTCCACAAGACAGAGGTACTTAGCATTCTAAGGTGGGATTTTTTTTTTTTTTTCTTTTTAGTGCCTTAGATGATAAAAGGAGAGGCCCATAGAACAAGGGCTCAGACTTCTGGGGAGGGGTAGGGCTGGTTGGCTGGCCTTCATAAGGAGTTTTGGTAAACTGGCTTTAGAATTAACTAAAGAAGCTGGCTACTATAACCAACTGTTCCTGCCAGAGCAGAGCCATTGGTAGGGAGGCTCCAACAAGAATAGAATACAAACAGGAAAAAGCAAATGCTCTCTCGTCCTCATGCAGTGACCCTTTCATGCTCCTAATTTATATATTCCAATAGAATTCTAGCCGATGAAGGGGAGAATTGTAGAACTCTAACTCCAGAATCACAAAGAAGGGTAGATTTGAAGCTAAGAAAAAATAGCTTAATTATTGGTATCTTTTAGTTATCTGAAATCTTTAAATAAGGATGTCAAGAAATAAAGATTGCTATAAACATAAAACTTTTTAAAAGATTTTTGTGGACCTTGCTTTTACTTCTTATGTTATTAGATTAAATTTATTTCATTTTAGTGTTGCTTTCTTGATTTACAAATTATTTCTGATGATGGTAATGACTGTATCAGGGTTCAACCAGAAAACAAAGACTTTAGCCATTACAGGTGTTGGTTAAACACTATACGACTGCTATCTTTGCTTCCATTGTTAGAGCTTGAGGTCCACGTGGTGGCCATTGAGAAAGAAAGATGAATGTAAAGTGCATAGAACAAGAATAAATTTAAACACACGACCATGATCTGGAGTCTGTGAGCATAAGCTGGCTGGAAATGATAAAGATGGACTAGAACCCTTAGGTGTCCTGCAAGAAAAGCTGTCACCTTTCATCACAGTGCTGAGCACATCTCAAACCCAGTCAGCAAAGATCCACTAGGGCAAGGTGGAGTAATTGCAGGCCTGGCTTCTGTCCCAGACCAAATTAGCCAGCAGACAAGTGCCACACGTAAGAGCTGCAAAAGCACCTGTTTCAACCTTCTAAGCATAAAACCAATAACTACCGCTTTACTTCCACTCTCCAAATCTCCGCACAAAAGTATCTCTTGTACTTAATACGCCATTAAAGAGTTCAAAGGCAGCAAAGACATACAAAAATGGATTTCTTCTGAGGAGGTAGAAAACACTTTTGGGATGGCAAAAGTGTTCTGAATTGAGAGTGTTTTAAGATAACCTGCAAATTTTGACTGGAAAAACATAAACTTCTAATTGCTTTAATAACAGTAGGCCTAGAAAATATTTGTGATATATCATTTTAATTTAAAAAATTATTATTTTGATCACTTATTGGCCTGATTAACTAAATTAATACAAAAAGCATTCAATGCTGTTGCAAAAATATATATTTTATAACTTTTTATAATTTCTGTATAGTTAAATGTTAAAATAAAATGTATATATATATAATTCACTTTTTACTTTATGTGCACTTTTAACAGGTAAATTTATTTCTGCAGTACATATTAAAGAAAACACAAATATTTTTATAAAAGGTTTCTCCCAGATGAGAATATGCAGGTGATTTTTCAAAGTATAATATACAAAAGGTATATATTTTATTTTTATTTTATTACTTGCTATTTTTAGAGATCTATTTTAAGTATCTCTTCAAACTGGAGCTTTTTGAGGAAGTCCCTAAAATCCTATTAAAGAACAATACAATAACACTTTTCTCTTCATGCAAGACTCTATATTTATCTGTATTTTAAAACATTAAGCTCTAGTGACTGCATGGTCTTAGTATTATACATACTTTGCTTCTAGAAAAAAAAATACTCAAATCTACTCTTGTGAAACACTTTTGCTATGCAGTTTTCTTCTTTTACATGTATCCTGTATTCCATTTCTACTGTACTTCAGGGTAAGCCTTCTGGGACTACAGAATGCTCTAAATTGAATGTACCCCATATTATTTTTGCACTCCTGTTCTCAGGAATCTAATACAGTTTCCAGACTTCTCACCATCTCATTAAAAATTAGTAGAGGGATGTCGGTAGGTACACAATCTTACAAATGCAGGTCTGACTTCGTAAATTAAACATACTTTGTGTGTGTACATTATTAATTCCTGTTTGCTTTTAGGTGTCAGCATGTGCAAACTCACTGGTACCATCTTTGCATTTGGAAGTTCTCTGGATTTTGGAGAAGAAAGCAAATGAATGACTTACATATGAATCAGGATTATGAATTATGTAAATCAAGCCACCAAGTCAGGGCAAAGAGAAAATTAAAGTTACACTAAGGGCATACTCCAAGAATTTCTCAGGAAAGACAAGAAAAGAAAATGTCAGTTTTAACAGGTAATTCCACTTACCTACAAAGATTTTTTGCAACAAATATGACAATCCTTATTTTGTTGAATTTTTTCTCTTCAGCTCTTAAGGGAATTAGATATGAACTATTGTTTGTACCTGTATTCTGGGGTAAATTATTCTAGAACTCCTTTGAATGTGCTTTTTCAAAAGTATTAACCTCCAGAAACATAAGCAACAATAACAGAAGGGTCAGTCAATAGATGTTCCTAAGTGAAGTGCCAGCATTCTGAACCATAATTTTTGTGACTTCATATGAGGTTATGTTTTATACAAGCCAAACTTATTTTTAAGGGTAAAACAGAAGAGCAGGTTGAAATGGGGAACAGCTCAGAAAGTGGCAGAAAGTGCTAGCTGTGGAATCTTTGCCCACCTCCAGCCTCTGGACCAAATATTTTTCTATGTACCATGTGCATAATAAGCTATTGGTGAATAGTTTGGCAGATGTCTCTAACAGGAGTCATGTGGCAGATGTGTGGGGACAAGAATGTAGGCACCATATCGACCTTAAATGATGAGTCTGAGAAGGCAAAGAGAATCCTATAGTCAGAGATTCCTGAGATAAGCAGAGGAAGGTAGGGATGGCCTTTATGCAAAGCTTGACAGCAAGATGGGAAGCCATGGTAATGTGAATTTCACAGCAGAAACAAAGGCAGACATAATGAAATGCTTGGACTCTGCTTTGTGGCATATACTTAGGATCAACTTCTAAATCCTATATAGTTTTGTTATCTAGGACCTTGAACCAGTTATTAAAACTCAATTTCAGTTTTTTCATCAATGAGATTATTTAATAATATTGACCTTAATATTGTTGAGAGGATTCACTGACATGACACATGAAAATAATTATCTAAGTGTCTGGTATCCTAGAGCAGATCCAGGTTGCCATTTGAAATCATTGATGTAAGCTTTTTATTTTTCATTTATATCTGAACCTTAAAATTTATTTATATTCAGTCAATCTATTTTGAGGCTGTCCGTTCAAATTTCTTTTAATAACATTTGAAGACCAGATGAGTTTTATCTAGGATGGAAAGTGAGGAATATTTTCCATTACTAAAATTAACAGAGTGAACATCTTACAGGAATAGCATTTCTGAAAGTCTTAAAATTACCTCGAAACAAATGAATATTTACAGTTATACACAGGCAGGCCTCAGAGATACTGCAGGTTAGGTTCTAGACCACTGAAATAAAGTGAATATCACAGTAAAGCAAGTCACATGCATTTTTTGGTTTCGCAGTGCATATAAAAGTATAATTACACTATAGTCTATTAATTGTGCAATGGCATTGTCTAAAAATGCATATAGCTTAATTAAAATACTTTATTGCTGAAAAACGCAAACTATTATCTGAACTTTCAGTGAGTTCACAGCATAATTTGGGTGGTTGAGGGTCTTGTTTCAATGCTGATGGCTGCTGACTGATCAGGTTGGTATTTACTGAAGCTTGGGGTGCCTGTGGCAATTTCCTAAAATAAGACAGTAATGAAGTTTGCTGCATCAATTGACTCTTCCTTTCATATAAGATTTTTATGTAGTATGTGATGCTGTTTGATAGCATTTTACCTACAGTAGAATTTCTTTCAAAATTTGAATCAATGCTCTCAAACCCTTCTGGTACTTTATCAAATACATCTGTGTAATATTCTAAATTCTCAAACCCTTCTGGTACTTTATCAAATACATCTGTGTAATATTCTAAATTCTCATCAAATAGAAAACTAAATAAACAATTCTTCATCCATTCAAGTTTTATCATCAGACTCTGGCTATTCAGTCACATCTTCAGGCTCCACTTTTAATGTTAATTCTCTTGCTATTTCCACCTCATCTGCCATTACTTTCTCCACTGAAGTCTTTAACCCCTCAAATTCATTCATGGGACTGAAATCAAATTTTTCCAAACTCTATTTTTAATGTTGATATTTTCACCTCCTCTCATAAATCACAAATGTTCTTAATGACATCTAGGATGGTAAATAGTTTCCAGAAGGTTTTCAGTTGACTTTGCTTAGATATATCAGAGGAATCACTATCTACGGCAGCTAGAGCCTTATGAAATTTATTTTATTTATTTATTTATTTATTTATTTATTGTTGAGACGGAGTCTCGCTGTCGCCCAGGCTGGAGTGCAGTGGCGCGATCTCGGCTCACTGCAGGCTTCGCCCCCCGGGGTTCACACCATTCTGCCTCAGCCTCCCCAGTAGCTGGGACTACAGTCGCCCGCCACCTCTCCCGGCTAATTTTTTGTATTTTTAGTAGAGACGGGGTTTCACCGTGTTAGCCAGGATGGTCTCGATCTCCTGACCTCGTGATCTGCCCGCCTCGGCCTCCCAAAGTGTTGGGATTACAGGCGTAAGCCACTGCGCCCGGCCGAAATTTATTTCTTAAATAATAAGACTTGAAAGTCAAAATTATGCCAGGTACATTGGCTCACACTTGTAATCCCAGCACATAGGGAAGTGAGGAGCAAGAATGAGAGATCACTTGAGCCTAGAAGTTTGAGACCAGCCTGGGCAAAATAGTGAGACCCCGTTTCTATAACAAATTAAAAAATCGAAAGAATAGCTGGCTGTGATGGTGTATCTCTGTAGTCCCAGCTGCTTGTGAGGCTGAGACAGATGGATCACTTGAGCTCAGGAGTTTGAGGCAGCAGTGAGCTATGATGACAGTATTGCACTCCAGCCTGGACAACAGAGCAAGATCCTGTCTCTTAAAAAAAGAAAAAAAAGGAAAGTCAAAATTACTTTTTGATTAATGGGCTGCAGAATGGATGTTGTGTTTGCCAGTATGAAGATATTCATCTTTTTGAACATCTCCATCAGGGCACTTGGTGACTAGGTACATCGTCAATGAGCGATAATATTTTGAAAGAATCTTTTTTTTTTTTTCTGAGATGTAAGTTTCAAAAATGGGCTTAAACTATTCAATAAATTATACTGTGAGCGGATGTGCTATCATCTATCTAGCCTTTATTGTTCCATTAGTGTATCACAGCAGAGTGACATTAGTATAATTCTTAAGAGCCCTAGGATTTTGAATAGTACATGAGCATTGGCTTCAACTTAAAGTCATCAGCATTAGCCCTTAATAAGACATGTTGTCTTTTAAAGCTTTGAGGCTAAGCATTGAATTCTTCAATTGGATTCTCCTCTCTAGCTATGGAAGTCTTAGAACACATCTTCTTCCAATAGAAGACTGTTTTGTCTACATTGAAATCTACTGTTTAGTGTAGCTACCTTCACCAATGGTCTCCACTAGATTTTCTGGATAACTTGCTGCAGCTTCTACATCAGCACTTGTTGCTTCACCTTGTACTTTTTATGTTGTAGAGATGGCTTCTCACCTTAATCCTCAGGAACCAACATGTGTTAGCTTCAAACTTTTCTTCTGCAAGTTTGTCACCTCTCTGAACCCTCAAAGAATTGAAGGTAGCTAGAGTCTTGCTCTGGATTAGGCTCTGGCTTAAATGAATGTGGTGGCTGGTTTGATCTTCTATACAGACCACTAAACCTTTCTCCGTATCACAATAAGCCCGTTTCATTTTCTTGTCATTCATGTATTCACTGGAGTAGCACGTTTAATTTCCTTCCAGAACTTTTCCTTTGCCTTAATGACTTGGCTATTTGGCATAAGAGGCCTAGCTTTTGGCCTGCTTTGACTTTCAACATGCCTTCTTCACTAAGCTTAATCATTTCTTGCTTTTGATTTAAAATGAGAGACGTTTGTTTGACTCTTTCTTTCACTTGAACACTTAGAGGCCAATGTAGGCCATTAATTGGCCTATGCGATATGTTGTATCTCACGGAATAGGGAGGCCCGAGGAGAGAGAGTGAAACAGGAATAGCTAGTTGGTGAAGCAGTCAAAACACATACTGGTATGTATTAAGTTAGCTATCTTATGGCACCCTAAAACAATTACAAGAGTAACATGAGAGATCACTGATACAGTTAACCATAACAGATATAGTAATAATGAATAAGCTTGAAATACCATGAGAGTTACCAAAATACGACATAATGACATGAAGTGAGCACATGCTGTTGGAAAAATGGCATGGATAGACTTGCTCTACACAGGTAGCCAAAATCCTCAATTGTAAAACACTCAGTATCTGTGAAGTGCAATAAAGCAAAGTGTGATATTACAAGGTATGCCTGTAAAGCATTGTTTTAAAAACACTGCTAAGAAAAATTTAAATAAATTATGTGTATTGAATAAGAATACAAAATGTTAATAATCTGATTTTGATACTTGTTCTCTGCTTAAGAATCTTGTTATTAGGAGACCCACACTAAAGTATTTAGAGTTAAAGAACATAATGTAACTGTGTGAGTTGCTCATACATTTAGGCAAATAGTGTGTGTGTGTGTGTTCACCTGTTTGTGTACAGAGAGAGACAAAGAGACCAGAAAAAAGGAAGAAAAAATATTAATAATAAAGCAAATATATTAAAATGTCAATGCTTGGGGAATCTGGATGAAGAGTGTACATGAATTATTTGTGCTATTTTTATGGATTTTCTATTCTTACATTATTTCAACATAAAAAATTTAAAAAATATTGCTCAACACTAGTCTCACAATGTTATGTTGACTTTATGGGAAATGATATGAAAACAGATGCAAGATTTGGTGAATGCCATATCAGTCCCCACATTAATTATTTATGCATGCTTACTTTAGTGTAGAAACCTGTATGTTTATTTTCTAATATTTTAATGGCAGTATGCTATATGTGAGTTGAAGTTGTTTTTGAGTCCTCATCAACTTTGTATTTGACTTTAATTGATTTTTTTACTATTGATACTCACATTAGATAACAGCAAAAGGGCTTGTTAATTTAACAGAAAGAAAATTAATAATATTCTCATATATTTTCCTCATTAAATTCACATTATAGGAGTAATGGTTATTTTAAATGGGCATAATTATTAACAGGAAAAATGCACACATTAATTTTAAACACTAATGACTGTGGCACTACTTACTTTTCTAGAAGTAATTTAGGCACGGTTGCATGAGTTTCAATTCCCCTTTAACCAAACTTATTAATGATTTTATGGCAAACTCAAGACAGTGTACAGTAAAGGTCACTGGAATGGGGCACATATAAACCTTTTACATTTATGTGCTAATATGGCCTTATTATCTATGGCTTGCTGCTATTTGATGATACCTCACTGAGAATATATCTTAACAACATAATGTCCTTCATAAAAGTGACTGTCCACAGAAAAGTTTTCTTAGCCTACTTACAGTTGGAAAGCCCTGTTATTTATTTTTCTTCCCCATCCTTTCATTTTCTTTTTCTTTTAAATCCTTATGTCGCTACATGGAGCCCATCTAGGCATTTTTTTTGAAATTATGTATATAATTCTATGCATATATATAAAATGAATCCAAATATTAAGTAGATCTATTACCTTATTTTTTAGCATCTGTTTACTTCTTAACATTTTCAGTCTGCCTTAAGTTCCCAATATTCCATGAAATCAAAAGTTCTTTTCTTTGTCTCCATTAATTTTTATCTCTCAAATGCTTCAGCAAAGTAATGAAAATAAAAGAATTTCACAATGAGAACAACCCCATCATTTGAATCCTGGCCTTGCCATATAATGAAACTTGACTTATTTTGAAACATTTTTATGCCTAGGTTTCCATCTGAAAGATGTGGATGAAATACCCATTTTCCAAGTTTTTGTGTGTGTGTGTGTGTTGAATGAAATCATGGATACAAAACAAATAGCAAGGGTCTAAAACATACATACTAACCTCTCAAAAATCTCAATGTTAAATAAAAAGAAATTTATTTGGCAAAAGTTACTCCAAGGATATGGAGGGTGTTGCCTAGAATGTTTCATTGGAAATGTAAAACTTGAGGTAGTTGTTGGAAGGGTGAGCTTTAGTTAAGCAGATAAGTAAAAATAGTATGTTTTATGTATAGATGAGCAAGTTATATCTTGGAAATGGTGAAGAGACCACTTCAGCTGAAGCGGAGATTTTCAGGGGCAAAAGTTGGGGGCTGATTTAGAGAGATATGAATCTATGAATGCTATATAAAAGAGTTTGAACTTTATTTTGAAGACAAAAATGGAACTATTGAAGTTTCCTTTTTGGCAGGAGAGTGCCTTTATGAAAGCAGTGATTAACGCAGATTGGTTTAGAAAAGCACTGGGCAGTATGATTTGGAGATTGGAAAAGAGGGCCCAAAGGTTAACCAGTTAATGGCTTATCACAAGTGCCCACACATGAGGTTCTAAGAGTTTGCCTTTGCTGTTTGCAGTGAGAAGAAAAACTAAAGACAAATTTGATTTTTTCCATAATAAAGGTTGATAAAATTTATTATCTGGCTAATTCTTTTGCATTACAGATAAAAACGTTTCTCATAAAATTTGGAGTTTTTTGTCTTCAGTAATGGAGGAAAAAATGTCAAAGACAAAAATTATGGAAATTATAGTAAAGAAAGGTACTTTTAGTTAGATAAAAAATTGATTTTAAAAACAGAGATTAGGCTGAAATAACTACATATCAATTCTTTGGAGACACTTTGCCACATGAGCCTGGAACTTGAAAGAAATGGCCTCCAAAATATGGATGTATATGTATATATTGTATTACAATGGTAGTGAAATTTTGGTGCTTACCTACCAGTTGTTGACAGCTAGAGGAACCAGTAAATGGTAAAATTGAGACAGGATAATCTGAATGGGTCACTGTGACAAAGGCCAGGGTAAGAAAGAATTTCAAGATGGAAAAGAGAAACATGATTATGGTAACTTTCAGTGTGTCCAGAATGTTCTAAGCACTGATCCTAACACACAGAATTTCATTGAATGCCTTTAACAACCCTATGAGAAAATATTTTACATGCAGCCACATATCCTGTGAGAGTTTTCCCTGTTCAAGAATGTATCATAAACCCTAAACTGAAGATGGAAGGCACCGCATTCTTTTCACAATAAGTATACAAAGTTATCATAAATCAGAATAAACCACAATCCAACAGAACTACTCAAAATAGCCATTTAGAAGTCTAGCCTATTCTACCTAGCCCAATTGTAGTCAATATAAAAGAGGGCTGAGAATTAAGGATGTTATTGGCTTGTTCAGGAGTTTAATCATTATGAACTATAACCTTGCTTCCTCGAGCCAAGAGAAATGGGCTCCAAGAGACTCACTTATAAAGATAAAAGATCCCTAAAAACACAGAGTAGTATTGTTTTCCCCTTTTTGGGTATCCTTTGAAAGTCTCAACTTGATGATCTGTTTCTGTGCTAACTGGACAAGGCAAAAGAGAGAATTGGATAGTAATAAATGGTTTCCCAGGGGACTGCCAAGCAAAGAGAAGGCAAGGATCTTCTCTATTCATGTTTTGTTTCTAAAAGGTGCAGGAGATAGATACTGAGTTCCAATGCAATCTGGATTGTTGGGCAGAGAGGCTCGATAAATTTGGGGCTTCAGCTTTATTGGGGCACTCAAAGCATTGGGACAAAGATCACATGTCAGAGGGAGAAACTGTGAATGTCACAGGTGAAGATCAGCAGGAGGATGTGGAGGGACAGACAGCACAGGACTAAGGGAGATGCAGGAAAGAAGTGACTCTGTAACAGACAGTGGAACCTGCTGGAATAGTCATCTGTCTCCTTTTAATTGATAGTCACAAGGATAACCAAAAAGTGCTTAAACCCAGTAAAAAGAGAACTACAACCTTTTCAGTTGGATATTTTACACATTTCACTCGCCTTGCCACTCCACCACTACCCTGAAAACACACCTTCGACTGAAGAGGAGTGTAAAAAGAGTAGACCTTGTCTTCCCCTTACACTCTAAGTCCTTAAAGCCACTGAGACCTAGTCAGCATAGGCAGAGACGATGAGAAGAGACAGGGATTGAAGTTTTTTAACGAACAGGACTTTATAGCAAAGTGAAACTGTTCTGATAGCAGAGAGAAATTGGAAAGTCATTGAATGTAGCCAAGATATCAGAAGGGACTCTCTAACAATTGGGTGAAGGTGAAGTTCAACATGATATATGTGCAAGGCAGTTGTTTCAAATATACCTCCAGTATTTAACTGTATTTAACAGATAGAGAAGTATTCCTTATATTTAATTAAACCCACAAGTGCTATTAAACATTAACCCATTTTAATTTTCTCTGTTAATGGAGAATTTTTTTCCATATAGCAATTACAGAATAATATGTTAAAGTCACCATTTATATTTTCTTTCTACTAAGTTAATGCTCTAGAATTCTTTATATTAACTTTTTATATCAATTTAAATTTCATGTTTCTCAAAAGTCTAAAAATTTTAAAAGTATGTTTGACTAAATATTTTAGGTCACTTAAATAAAGAAACAGCAATAAATTATTTAAATGCCAAAGACCTACCATCTTGAATTTTACAAAAATTCTGGAAAGTCTTTTTTTTCTTTTTTTTTTTCACATTTACTAGCACCAAACATTTTTCTCTGCTGACCAAGATGGACTTAATATTTCCTTCAACTTCACTAAACTTCAGTCAGGCTTCTTCTTGCCTCTAGGCCCCTGACTTCCCTCTCACACCCATCCTTCCAGAATCCAGATAGCCTAAGCACGGAGTTCTCTCCTCTCTGTTTTCTCAGTGCATTAACTTTAGAAAATTTGTAATTCTAGATTATTTTTCTGACCCTTTGAAATTTAAATCTATTTAAAAAAACTTATTCGTACTTCTTTTTTATTTTTAATTACTATGAGTACATAATAGTTGTCTATTTTTATGGGTTAAATGTTATGTTTTGATACAGGTATACAATGTATAATGATCAGAGTAATCAGAGTATCTGTCATCTGAAGAATTTATCATTTTGTGTTGAGAATATTTTAATTCTATTCTTTTAGTTGTTTAAAATGTATAATAAATTATTTTTAACTATAGTCATCCTATTGTGCTACAATATTAGATCTGTTATACTAGATCTAATTTACTCTAATTGTAGTTTTGTACCCATTAACCATGCCCACTTTATGTCTCTCTCCCCACTATCCTTCTGAGCCTCTGGTAATCATCATTCTACTCTGTTCTCTAGGTTCAATTATTCTTTTAGCTCCACATTTGAGTGAGAACTTGTGATATTTGTCTTGCCATGCCTGGCTTATTTCACTCAACAAAATATCCTCCAGTTACATCCTTACTTTTGCAAATGACAGAATTTTATTCATTTTATGTCTGACACATATTTTACAGTGTGCATATGTACCACATTTTCTTTATACATTCATCCATTCATGGGCCCTTGGGTTGATTCTATATCTTGGCTATTTTATTTTATTTTATTTTTTGAGAGGGAGTCTCGCTCTGTCCCCCAGGCTGGAGTGCAGTGGCGGCTCACTGCAAGCTCCGCCTCCCGAGTTCATGCCATTCTCCTGCCTCAGCCTCCCGAGTAGCTGGGGCTACAGGCACCCACTGCCACGCCCAGCTAATTTTTTGTATTTTTTAGTATACACGGGATTTCACCGTGTTAGCCAGGATGGTCTCGATCTCCTGACCTCGTGATCTGCCCGCCTTGGCCTCCCAAAGTGCTGGGATTACAGGCATGAGCCACTGCACCCAGCCAATCTTGGCTATTTTAAATAGTGCTGCAGATATTCCCAGATATGCAAGTGCAAATATTCCTTCAATACACATTTTTGAGGAACCTCCAAACTGTTCTCCATAGTGGTTATGCTAATTTACCTTCCCACCAACAGTGTACAAGTGTTCCCTTTTCTCCATATCCTCTCTAGCATTTGTTATTGCCTGTTTTTTAGATAAAAGCCTTTTTAACTGGGAGGAGATAATATCTCATTGTAGTTTTGGTTTGCTTTTCCCTGATAATTAGTGATATTAAGCATTTTTTTCATATAGCTCTTGGCCATTTCTCTTCTTTTGAGAAATGTCTGTTCAAATATTTTGCCCATTTTTAACTGGATTATTTGATTTTTTTAATTGAGTTGTTTGGGTTCCTTATATATTCTGGTTATTAATCGCTTGTCAGATAAGTAGTTTGTAAATATTTTCTTCCACTCTGTGGATTGTCTCTTCACTTTTACTTTATTTAGAAAAACCTAAACATTCCAAAAAAAATACTGTTAAAACTAATAAATTCTTACAGGATTCTAGAACAACATACAAAAATCAGCAGTATTTTTATATGCCAACAGCAATGATCTGAAAAAGAAACCAAGAAAGTAATCCTATTTGACAATAGCTACAAATAATATAAAATACATAGGAATAAATTTAACCAAAAAACTGAAAGATATCTACAATGAAAACTGTAAAACACTGAAGAAATTGAAGGGGACATACAAAAAAATGGAAACATATTCTATGCTAATAAATTGAAAAAATCAACACTGTTAAAATTTCTATACCACCCAAAGCAATCTACAGATTCAAAGCAATTTCTATCAAAATACCAATGATATTCTTCACAGAAATAGAAAAAATTATCCTAAAATTTATACAAAAGACCCAAAATAGCTAAATCCATCCTAAGCAAAAAGAACAAAAGTGTAGGAATTATTACCTGACTTCAAATTACACTACAGAGCTATAGTAACCAAAACAGCATGGTACTGGCACAAAAACAGACATGTGGATCAATGAATCAGAATAGAGAACTCAGATATAAATTCATACATTTACAGTCAGCTCGTTTTGACAGAGGTTCCAAGAGCATACATTAGGAAAAGGACAATCTCTTCAATAAATGGTGTTGGGAAAACTGGATATCTATATTCAGAACAATGAAATTGGACCAGTGTCTTTCACCTTATACAAAAATCCAATCAAAATAGATAAAAGACTTAAATAAGACCTGCAAGTATGAAACTACTTGAAGAAAACATTGGGGAAACACACCAGGACATTGGTCTGGGCAAAGATTTCTTGAATAAGACCTCAAAAGCACGGGCATCCAAATACAAAAATGGACAAATAGGATCACATCAAGCTAAAAAGCTTCTCCACAGCAAAGAAACCAATCAACAAAGTGAAGAGACAACTCTTTTCCCATTTTTATAACTCAGGACTGTCTTTCTCAAGGAACTTGGAGCCATTCTTTGAAATATAATCATCAAGGAACATAGTGGCTCTATCTCCCAGTCTTTCTGTGAATGTAGAAGCTTATCTTCACTGATATCTCTTCCAAGTTGTGAAACTACCTCCTGTCATGATGATACCAGAAAGTTTTTTTGGGTAAAGTCAATTAGCAAACACAGATGGGCTATGTTCCTCCCAGTCCCAGTTCTTAAAAAGTCTTTACCTCTTGAATTCAAACTGCATCTTGGTCTCTCTCTTTTATTGCAAGATCCTTCTATAAAGTCTTCCTTACCTGTTTAGCATTGCCTGGTGCAATTTTTGCTTTGACACTACCATCTTCTTCTTTCTACTGTTCTTTAAACTATGAAACGAAGAAAACCTTGGGATCTGTAAGTTTATGTATAAATAATACAGTCTGCCCCTTCCAGACTTTTTCCTATGAAATCTTAAAAATGCTAACAAGAGATAGCTATTCTATTACAAATCTGGTGCTTATGTTAGTAATATACATTTAGAGGAAAGTCATTTTTTAGAAGATAATTACTAGCCAATTTTATCTACCAAAAGTTTAATATTGAATGCTTTATTCCAACAGCAACACAGCAACACAAGTATTTTATTTCCCACAATGTGCTGATTTAACCATCTATTTAGAGGCCTAAATATACACTCAATAGCTCTAGATTTTCATCTCTTCAGGAATGCTCCAGGAATCATGGCATTGCTAGAGTCTTTTTTTTTTCCCCATCCCTTCCCTTCTCTTTCATATCCTTTCCTTTCCTCCTTTCTGTGCTATCTTTGTTGTTGTTGTTGTTGTTATGGAAATTTCAGTCACTCAACTTAGTAATCTTTTGCTATCACTTTAAAGTTCCAGCTCCTCATCTCACCCTGACAAGCTCTTGAGTTAACTTCTCCAATGCACCTAATTGTCACACTCATCCTCACTGCTCTATTAGGAGACAGTACACCTGAGAAGAGTCCTATGTCCATTGAGCGGAAACGAGGGGAAGAGAGAACAAATATGGCACATATTTGGGAAGTTCATGTAAGAATTTTCATTTTGAAACACAGCAGTATAGAATTTGTAACATCCAGTATTTACTAACTGCTCACTAAGTTCTAGGCATTGTTCTAAATGCTTTGCATGAATTATCTTCCTTAATTCCCATAGCTATCCTACAAAATAATTACCAATATTAGGCCCACTTTACAAATGGGAATGTTGAGACACAAAGAAGCCACAAAGTTAGCAGTGAACCCTAGATTCAAAAACAGGGTGTTGATTCTATCAAAGTGCCATATCCGCAGTCTTTTCTTTTCTGGAATATTTCATACAGATTTTTCAGCGTTACACTTGAAATGAGTTGTTCATGAAGAAACAAAGACTGAGGTTATCACTTACAGAGTATTCTTCCTGTCGCTTGGACAAATACAAGTATATGTTTGTACTTCTCTGTGAGAACAAAAACTACTTTTGCTTCCCTTTCTTCCAACTCATCACACGTAATGATTCTACTAATAGGCATATAAAAGAGTTCAGAATATGGATTGTGGGCGAAGGATTACCCAGGTGCGGAGGCAAGAGACTGAAGGCACACACTGTTTCAGTATAATAAAGAAAATAGTTAGAATAAGAATAGTTATAATACAAATTAGATACAGAGATGATCATGGACAATTATCAATCATTAGTATAAACATTAATAGCTTTTAATATTACTCTTTGTTGTATTACTCATATTACCAAGGAATAACTGGCAGGTATAGGGTCAGGTACTGAAGGGACATTGTGAAAAGTGACCTAGAAGGCAAGAGGTGAGCCCTCTGTCTCGCCCGCATAAGGGCCGCTTGAGGGCTCCTTGGTCAAGCGGTAATGCCTGTGCCTGGGAAGGCACCCGTTACTTAGCAGACCGTGAAAGGGAGTTTCCTTTCCTTGGAGGAGTCAGGGAACACTCTGCTCCACCAGCTTCTTGTGGGAGGCTGGATATTATCCAGGCCTGTCCGCAGTCATCCGGAGGCCTAAACCCCTCCCTGTGGAGCTGTGCTTCAATGGTCACACTCCTTGTCCACTTTCACGTTCCTCCCATACTCCTGGTTCCTCTTTGAAGTTCTTAGAAGATAGCGGTAAAAGAAATAGTGAAAGTCTTGAAGTCTTTGATCTTTCTCATAAGTGCATAGAAGAAAACTCTGATGTATGCTGCCTTCCCCCTCTGCTTCGGCTACCTAAAAGGGAAAGGCCCCCTGTCCCATGATCACGTGACTTGCTTGACCTTATCAATCACTTGGACAACTCACCCTCCTTACCCTGCCCCCTAGTCTTGTATTCAACAAGTATCAGCACGCCCAGCCCTTTGGGGGCAATACTGTTTCTGCGTCTTGGTGGTAGTGGTCCCCCCGGCCCAGCTGTTTTCTCCTTAGCTCTTTGTCTTGTGTCTTTATTTCTTACAATCTCTGGTCTCCGTACACGGGGAGAAACCCGCAAAGCCCTGTAGGGCTGGACCCTACAATGGATCTGTTGTAATTTTTGCCTGAAAGCCTACCTCTTTTTCAGCTCTTTCCTATTTTATCAGAGAAAAGAGTCTAAAATTCTCATTGGGCCAAGCATGTTGTTTCTTCGTTTAAAAGTTTATGTAGACCCTTAGGTATTATTTCATCAGTGCTGTAGATGGACACTTAGAAACAGTGTTGATAACTTCCAGCCCTACTGAAATACCTGCAAATGCCTATAACATTATGATTGTTTGCTTTCTCCTGAAAGAGGCTTTAAACTTGTTCGATAAATTTAAACATTATATGCTGCCACCAATTATTTGGTTTCTTGAGGTACACCATGCAATCATTCACCTCTACCAAAAGAAAGAAGAAAAAAAGGTCTCAGTGTAATGAAAATAATTGCAAATATGGCCCAAACATGTAAAAGCCAACAACAACAACAATAAAAAGTAGATAGTTGTACTATATCATTTTCTCATATCTTCTTAAAAAATATTTTTTAATTACCCAAAAGAATCATTTTGACAATTGGATACACATTTTTCAGGCTAGAACAAGGTGAATGTACAATTGAGAAAAGAGTAGAAGAGAAATTTCACACACAAATGGTCTCAGAGGTCACCTTCAGGTAAAGTTGACAAATTTTTCAAAGCAGAGAAAGGAGCTAAACTTATTTAAAAATCTTTATTAAATAACAGTGGTTCTTTAGGTTACATTGTCTTTGTTTTTAAATAATGTGAATTTTCAAAGAGGATTACATCAATTAATTTATAGCATTTACTCATCCTTTGTTATCATAAGCCCTGTACTCAGTTATTTTAAATTCAGTATTTTTTAAGTTTAGCTTGCTTGTGCATATTGCTCTTTTCCTTCTACACATTAATTTATAATATTAAAAATAATTGTCAAACCAGAGGTAGCACCTCAGAAGTTTCCTCTAGCAGCTGACAAAAACATGTTTTCACCAGTAATTTAACAAGGTCAACACCTGGCACATAGATTTTGTACTTGAGCTAGCAGAAAAAAAGCTATTTATATTGACAGGGTTTTCAGATACTTACACAGAAAATAACTCCGAAAAATTTTAAGTTACAAGGCTAAATGACTAAAATTTCTTTTTAAACATGTCTATAATGTAGTATCTGACTATTAACGTGGGCTAATAGTGAACGACAGCATGTTATCCCAGATAAAACCTAGTAATAAGAGTACATTGAAAATGATTTTTGGGTCAAGTACTACAAGGAGAAATTGAGTCAAACATCTGGTCTATAGCATATAAAAAATTGTTAAAGCTCAAAACTGGATTCAAATTCCTGTTCTCTACTAGTTTTAAGATCTTTGGAAAGTTAGCAAATCTCTCTACACCCAGATTTTCTCATTTGTAAAACTGAGATAATAGCTCCCCTTCTTGTAGAATTATCTGAAAGTTATCTAAAAAACTGTGCAAACCGATTAACATGATGTTTCACAAACAAAAGAATAATAAATATTAGCTAAAATTATTATGGCTATATTTCCTACCATTATCACTATCATTGTACATAATTTAAATCCATGCCTAATTGTTTACAGCCTTGGAACCTTAGTCAATAATGTCATGTATCCTTCTCCCTAATAAATTACCTCTATTTTTTTCCTTCTCCTTCTTAAAAGTATCTGAACCAACACATACATGGACAAATACATTCCACACATATCATGACACACACTTGAATCCGAACTCCCAAGTCTACCTTTAAATCCATTTAACTACTCATCTTAGAAACACCTTGGAAGATCACAGCGCTTATATTATATATGATTTTCAAATATATTTAATACTGTGTCCTCTACATTTTCAATACTGAGAAGCAGACACTGTTTTCCAATCTTATATTTCATTTTATTATCTTCCAGAAATTTATTATTATTTGAAGACTCAAATGCTAAGTAACATTAGCGCTTCTGCTTCCTATATGGCAGAGTACGTCCCTAAGAAAACCCTACTGCAGAGAACAAATGTAACTCAGATTTGAACACACACACAAAAACTAGCCAAGGCTACAGAGAGTGGAAAAAATTAAAACTGATTTTGGATAGGGGTCCAAACCTGATATAACAAATCGGAAAAAAATGGGTTTCTAATTTTTTTTGGACTGGCTTGAAGATTGGCCATAATTGTGGCATGATACAAGGTGGATGAAACTTTATTATAAAATCCTCTCTATTTCTAGCATAATTAACCAGGTAACAGAGTCTGAAGTGACCACATCTGCTGGAAATTGAGGCCGTAGGGATCCTGGAAAGGAAGGAGCCAAAGAAAGAGTGCCCTGGGTTATATGTGTAAACTCTGCTGAAGTTGCTGTTTGACTCTTTGTCATGTTCAGAGCTCTTTGGGTGGTCCAATTTAACTAGCTTGCCCAAGGGACAAATTTTTCCTTTCAGCTCAACTCACATCAAAGATGAGCTTTAGGCACCGTTTGATGTTCCAGCAGTTTATTCTGGCAGTGCTATTAAAAGATGAATAGCAGGTGCAGGCCAGTGACATGGACCAAATGCAGGGGCCATATGACTGCCTAACCAGAGAGTCTCCATCTGGAGACTATTCTCAGAGTCTGGGGGATTCTTCTCTCTTTTTTACACCTGTATTCAGTCTGGACCACTTACCAGGTGATTCTTTCACAAAGGGAGTTTAAGCTATTCCTGTAAGGGTAAGCTTTGTTTTAAGGTTCATGAAAGTTGCATCTGTGCTGAGATGATTTTTTTTTTTGCTCTTGGAAATCCTCAGACCAGAGTTAGAAATTCCTGGACCAGCTTCCATCATACTACAAGGTAACACATTGTATCTATTCTGCAAGATGCTTGAGTGGGCGTTATGACGATCATTAATCTTAGATGGACAATATGTTTCGTAGTATATTACAGCCCTGAACAATGAATATGCAGACATGTCTCAAAGCAGTTTGCAAATAAGTCTCAAATGTGATATAAGCAGGTGTGATAGCATTTGTAGTGTGAATCTAACCAACTGCCTGTTAAAAAAATAGCTACTGCTTTTTGAAGCAATGTAATAGAATCCATATTTGACATTCAACACTTCCATGATAAAATCTAAAACAACATCTTGCAAACAACCAAAGCACATCATGTTTTCTTAAGGGAAAATATAATTAACACAGGCCAGCTCCAATATAATCCAGATATTGGAATTATTAAACTAGAACTTTAGAACAGCTATCACAAGTGTGCTCAATGAAATAAAGAAAAGTACATTCATAATGAACAAACAGAATCAGAGGAATCTCCAACATTTGTAAAAGTGGAGTCTCAGAATGAAATATTTTTTTAAATGACAAAAATCTTCTTAAATTTGTTGAAAAATATCAATTTACAGTTTAAATAACAGCAAACTTCAAATAAGAGAAACAGGAAAAACTCGCCTAGAAATACCATAGTCAAACTGACGAAAACCAAAGATTAAATAAAATCTTGAAAGCAGTAAAGATAAAATCATGAAAAATTATGGAATAATAATAGCCTTTGTGAACATAGATGTAATAATCTTTAAAAATTATAGCAAATGAAATCCACCAATATATAATGCATTATAATCAAGTAGTAGTCTTCCAAAGAGTTCAATGTAATTCACAAAATAACAAAATAAAGGAGAACAACCATATAATCAATTCAACAGAGGCAGAGAAATTATTTGACAAAACTCATCACCAATTCATGGTAAAAGTTACCAGCAAACTATGAATAGAAGGGAACTACCTCTGTCTTATAAAAGTCATCTATAAAAATTCTACAGTTAATATAATATACAGTGGAGCAATGCTTAATACTAATGCCACCTTCCTCTCTCACACACATAGAAGATTTAAAATAACTTCTTTTTTACGGGGTATGAAATGTTTAGCCATCGGAACAAGGCAAGACAAAGAAATAACAGTAGTAAGAATCAAAATGGAAGAAATAAAATTGCTTCTATTTATACATGACATGATTGTTTTAATAAAAAAATCCTCAGGGTCTTAAAAATTTATTAGAATTAATAAGTAAATGTAACATTGTTAAGGTATAAAACTCAATAATATTTTATATACTAACAATAAGCAATTGGAAAGCATAATTTTAAAATATCTATCAGAATAAAAACCTAATAATAAAATTTAGAAAAAATATTTATGAGACATCTACACTCAGATCTGTAAAACATTGCTAAGAGAAATTAAAGAATACCTATATGAGGAGATATACCATGTTAATGAAGGAAAAACTCAATATTTTTTAAACACTGATTCTCTTCAAATAGATCTACAAATGCAAAGCAATTACCCCCAAATTCTAACAAGATTTTTGGAAATACTTGATAAGCTTATTATAACATTTATATTGAGATGGAAAAAAAACCTAGAAAGTCCAAAGCAATTTTACAAAATAAAAACCAAGCTTGATAATTTACATTAACCTTCAAAACCACAATATAAAGCTACAATAATAAAGGCTGTGTGGTATTAGCATAACAAAGGATATATGAGTCAGTTGAACAATGTAGAGTCCAGAAATCGTTGTATAAATATATGGTCAAAGATTTTGAATCAAGATTTTTAAAGCAAGTTTTTAAAAAAAAAACTGATGGAAGTAGGTATCTGTGAAGTAATGAACATCAACCCTTAACCTGACAGCCTACAGAATTTACTCAAAAAGGGGAATATAACTAAATATAAAAGTAAAAAATATAAAACTTCTAAAAGACAACTAAAGATAAAATCTTTACAGCCTGGAAGCAGGCAAAGGCTTTTTTAGATAGGACCTGTAAAATAAAATGTTGAAAAAATTGGCCTTTATTAAAATGTAATATATTTCTCTTGAAAATAAAACATTAAGAAAGTGAAAAGGTGGCCAGATAATGGGAGAAAACATTAATATCTTACCTCACCAAGGACTTTAATCTAATTTGTATAAACTCTTACACTGGCCAAATAATTTGAACAGCAAAAGAGGAGAAGTAGAAAAGAAAGGAGAAAGAGAGGATCAAGGAGAGGAGGAAGAGGAAAGAGAAAGAGGAAAAAGAAAGGAAAAACACACATAGTAGTAATTAAGCAAATGAAAAGTCATCAGAGAAATGCAACTTTAAACTATAATATGACACCATTATAGAGATATTAGAATAGCTTAAGAAAACTACAAATATGACATGGTGTCAAGGGTGTAAAACAATTGGCACTCTCATATATTACTGTAACATGGTACAGCACTTTGGAAAAGTTTGGCAGTTTCTTTAAAAATTAACCATGTACCTACCATAGGACACAGTCATTCCATTCCTAAGTCTTTGCCCAAAAAAAATAAAGTTATACGTTCACATAAAGTGTGTGACAGACACAGATATTTATAGAAGCTTTATTTGTAATATAAAAACCTGGTAAAAATTCAAATATTGAAGAACAAGTAAATAGATAGATACAATGTGTAGGATTTCCACAGTGAAACTCATAGCAATAAAAAAGAAAAAATGACTCATAAACTCTTCAATATAGATAAATTTCAAAATTATGCTGAGTGATAGAAGCTAGACACAAAAGGGTACATACTCATTTATTGAAAATGTTAAAAAGTGCAAAGTAGCTTATAGTGATAAAAAGCAAATCAATGGTTCCATGTGGTCATGTGCAGAGGAGCACATGGATTGCAAAAGTGTGTGTGGTAGTCAGCCTCCAACTTTGCCTACAAAAATTCCTGTTTCAGGTATTTACACTTTTGTGTAATCCCGTCTCACGTTTTTCAGGGTTATGACTCACAGGGCGTAGCAGAAGTGATGCTATGTCATTTCCTAGATTCTCTCACTTGGATCACTCACTCTACTGGTAGTCAGCCGCTATGCCATGGGGAAACTCAGGCAACCTATTGGGCCTATAATGATGGCTACAAGGATCTGAGCCCATCTGCCAACAGCGATGTAGCTGACCCACTTTGGACAAAGGTCATTCAGCACCACTCAACTTTCAGATGACTGCAGCCTAGGCAATATCTTGATAGCAACTTCATGAGAGATATCGAACTAAGGTAATCCTAAAATCCTCACCCACAGAAAACATGAAATAGTAAGTATTTGTTGTTTAAAGCCACTAATTTTGGGGGTGATTTGTTACACAGCAATAGAGAAGTAATACAGATTTTAGTAACAAAATCGGATGCTACCATATCAAAAACTTAAAACGAAGAAATTGCTTTGAAACAGGGCAGTGGACTTTGATGATAATATTAGCAAACACTTAATGAACCTTGAACAAATTATTCATAAAATTTGGACTTTGAGGTGACTATCAGTAAAGACTTAAAGGGAAGTGAAGAAAATCTTATTGGAAACTAGAGGTAAGGTATAATTACTAAATAGTGGCAGAAAGTTTAGCAGGACTGTCATTTATAATAATGTACAAGGTAGAAAGTATATATAACCATGTGATCTAGCTTAAGGTGATTATAAAGCTATTAAAATCTATGGGCTATTTTGTCCTTTAATGGATTTCTTACCAATATATAAGTTTAAATTAATAAATCCCTGAAATGTTCTTGGGATCCTCTTGGTTCCACAATCATCAAACGAAAATACTTTTTCACTGACAACACATTTTTTAAATGGTTGTAGGTATGTTATAGAAAATCCATTGAAGGAGCACTGGTGGCAGCCTAATGTCTAAGCTGTTTGAGCTCCTTGGGGGAGGAGCAGCAGCCAGCACTGTGAATCACAACAGCCTAACTCGCCTAGCTCCCTGGGTGGAGGAAGGGCAGCACCCATTTCTATAGCTCCAGGCTGTTTTTCCCCTACTGAAGCCAGGAAGGCTGGACGGCTTGGTCCCAAGACTTGTCCCTACAGCCCAACACACCAGCTGTGGCAATCTGTGGCCAGAGTGCCTCATCAGGCCTAACTCTGACCCATCCTTCCTCCATGGGCAGGGCTTCCCCACAGGAACTCCAATAACTCCAGCTAGAGGCTCAGGGACAGAATTTGGATCTCCCTGGGGCTGAGCCCCTAGGGGAAGGGGTGGCCACAGTCTCTGCAGACCAGCACACTTAGCCTCTCCTCCTGGTAGTTCTGAGGAATCTGGGCAGCCCAGGTGAGTGGGTTTCCCCTGAGTGAAACACACCCTCTCCACCAAGGGACAAAGTGTGATTCATTAAACGGGTCCTGCTCCCTGTGCCACCAAACTGGGTGAGACCCTCTAACAGGGGTTGTCAGACAGCCTATACAGGAGCAATCCTACTGGCATCAGGTTGGTGCCCCTTGAGGTCAGAGGTCCCAGAAGAAGAAGTAGGCACCCATCTTTGCTACTCTCTAGCCTCCTTGAGTGACATCTCCAGGCACAAGAGTGAATCAGTTGAATAGGGCCTGAAGTGAACCCCCAGCAAACTGCAAGCCTACAGAAGTGGGACCTGACTATTGAAAGAAAAACAAACAAGCAGAAAGCAACAACGACTGTATCAACAACAACAACAAAAAGGCCCCCACAAAACCCCATTAAAGGATAAGCAGGCTCAAAGACTGAAACTAGACAAATTCATGAAGATGAGAAAGAATCAATGAAAAAGTGTTGAAAACCCAAAAGGCCAGAGTGCTTCTTCTCTAAATGATCGCAACGTCTCTCCATCAAGGGTGCAGAACTGGATGGAGGATCAGATGTGCCAAATGACAGAAGCAGCCTTCAGAAGATGGGTAATAAAAAACTATGATGAGCTATGGAGCATGTTCTAACCCAATGCAAAGAAGCTAAGAGCCGTGATAAAAGGTTAGAAGAATTGCTAACTAGAATTACCAGTTTAGAGAGGAAAATAAATGACCTGATGGAGCTTAAAAACACAGCATGAGAACTTGGTTAAACATACACAAGTATCAACAGCCAGATAGACCAAGCAGAAGAAAGGATATCAGAGTTTGAAGGCCACCTTACTGAAATTAGAGGTGCAGATGAGAATAGAGAAAAAAGAGTGTAAAGTAATGAACAAAGGCACAAAGAAATATGGGACCTAATAAAAAGACCAAACCTACAATTGATTGGAGTACCAGAAGGAGACAGGGAGAATGGAAACAAGCTGGAAGACACACTTCAGAATATTATCCAGGAGAACTTCCCCTATCTAGCAAGACAGGCCAACATGCAAATTCAGGAGATACAGAGAACACCATTAAGATACTCCAAGAGAAGATCAACCCCCAAGACACATAATCATCGAGTTCTCCAAAGTCGAAATGAAGGAAAAACTGTTAAGGGCAGCCAGAGAGAGAGGGCAGGTCACCTACAAAGGGAAGCCCATCAGACAAACAGTGGATCTCTCTGCAGAAACTCTACAAGCCAGAAGAGAGTGGGGGCCAATATTCAACATTCTTAAAGAAAAGAATTTTTAATCCAGAATTTCATATCTGGCCAAACTAAGCTCTATGAGTGAAGGAGAAACAAAATCCTTTCCAGACAAGCAAATGCTGATGGATTTTGTTACCACCAGGTCTGACCTGCAAGAGCTCCTGAAAGCAGCACTACATATGGAAAGGAAAAACTGACACCAACCACTGCAAAAACACAACAAAATATAAAGACCAATGACACTACAAAGAAACTGCATCAACTGGTGTGCAAAATAACCAAATAGTATCATGATGACAGGATCAAATTCACACATAACAATACTAACCTTAAATGTAAATGGGCTAAATGCCTCAATTAAAAGACACAGACTGGCAAATTGGATCAGGAATCAAGACCCATCAGTGTGCTCTATTCAGGAGACCCATCTTAAGTGCAAAGACACACACAGGCTCAAAATAAAGGGACGGAGGAAAATTTACGAAGCAAATGGAAAGCAAAAAAAAAAAAAAAAAAGCAGGGGGTTGCAATCCTAGTCTCTGACAAAACAGACCTTAAGCCAACAAAGATCAAAAAAGACAAAGAAGGGCATTACACAATGGTAAAGGGAACAATTCAACGAGAAGAGCTAACTATTCTAAATATATATGCAACCAGTAAAGGACCACCTGGATTCATAAAACAAGTTCTTAGAAACCTACAAAGAGACTTAGACTCCCACACACAATAACAGTGGCAGACTTTAACACCCCACTGTCAGTATTAGACAGATCAATGAGACAGAAAATTAACAAGGATATTCAGGACTTGAACTCAGCTCTGGATCAAGTGGGCCCAGTAGATGTTTACAGAACTCTTTACCCCAGAACAACAGAATATACACTCTTCTCAGTGCCATGTGGCACTTATTTTAAAATCAACCACATAATTGGAAGTAAAACACTTCTCAGCAAATGCAAAAGAATAGAAATCATAACAGTCTCTCAGACTGCAGTGCAATCAAATTAGAACTAAGGATTTAGAAACTCACACAAGACCACACAATTTCATGGAAATTGAACAACCTGCTTCTGAATGACTCCTGAGAAAATAATAAAATTAAGGCAGAAATCAAGAAGTTCTTTGAAACCAATGAGCACAAAGAGGTAATGTACCAGAATCTCTGGGACACAGCTAAAACTATATGAAGAGGGAAATTTATAGCACTAAATGTCCACATCAGAAAGCTACAAAGCTCTCAAATTAACACCCTAACATCACGATTAAAAGAGCTAGAAAGGCAAGAGCAAACTAATTCAAAAGCTAGCAGAAGACAAGAAATAACTAAGATCAGAGAAGAATTGTAGGAGATAGAGTTATGAAAAACTCTCCAAAAAATCAATGAGTACAGGAGCTACTATTTGAAAAAATTAACAAAATAGATAGACCACTAGATAGACTAATAAAGAAAGGGAGAGAGAAGAATCAAACAGACACAATAAAAAATGATAAAGGAAATACCACCACTGACCCCACAGAAATACAAACTATCATCAGAGAACACTATAAATACCTATATGCAAATAAACTATAAAACCTAGAAGAAATGGGTAAATTTCTGAATGCATATGCCCTCCCAAGATTAAACCAGGAAGAAGCTGAATTCCTCAATAGAACAATAACATGTTCTGAAATTGAGCCAGTAATTAGTAGCCTACCAACCAAAAAAGCCCAGGACTAGATGGATTCACAGCTGAATTCTACCAGACATACAAAGAGGATATGGTACCATTAGCTCTGAAACTATTCCAAACAACTGAAAAGGAGGGACTTTTCCCTAACTCATTTTATGAGGCCAGCATCATCCTGATACCAAAACCTGGCAGAGACACAGCAAAAAAAGAAAATTTCAGGCCAGTATCCCTGATAAACATTGATGTGAAAATCCTCAATAAAATACCACAAACCAAATCTAGCAGCACATCAAAAAATTTATCTCCCACAATCAAATCAGCTTCATCTCTGGGATGCAAGGCTGGTTCAATATATGCAAATCAGTAAACATAATCCATCACCATAAACAGAACCAATGACAAAAACCACATGATTATCTCAATAGATGCAGAAAAGGCCTTTCATAAAATTCAACATCGCTTCATGTTAAAAACTCTCAATAAACTAGGTATTGATGGAACATATCTCAAAATAATAAGAGCTATTTATGACAAATCCACAGTCAATATCATATCAAATGGGCAAAAGCTGGAAGCGTTCCCTTTGAAAACCAGTACAAGACAAGGAGGCCGTCTATCAGCACTCCTATTCAACATAGTATTGGAAGTTCTGGCCAGGGCAATCAGGCAAGAGAAAGAAATAAAGCATATTCAAATAGGAAGAAAGGAAGTCAAATTGTCTCTGTTTGCAGATGACATGATTTTATATTTATAAAACCCCATTGTCTCAGCCCCAAAACTCCTTAAGCTGATCAGCAACTTCAGCAAAGTCTCAGGATACAAAATCAATGTGCAAAAATCATAAGCATTCCTTTACACCAACAATAGGCAAGCAGGGAGCCAAATCCTGAATGAACTCCCATTCATAATTGCTACAAATAGAATAAAATACCTAGGAATACAGCTAACAAGGGATGTGAAGGACCTCTTCAAGGAGAACTACAAACCACTGTTCAAGGAAATAAGAGACAACACAAACAAATGGAAAACATTCCACCCTCAGAGATAGGAAGAATCAATATTGTGAAAATGGCCATACTGCCCAAAGTAATTATAGAGTCAATGCTATTCCCATCAAATTACCATTGACATTTTTCACAGAATTAGAGAAAACAATTTAAAATTATTTTTGGAATCAAAGAAGACCCTGTATAGCCAAGACAATCCTAAGCAAAAATAACAAAGCTGGAGGCATCAGGCTACCTGACTTTAAACTATACTACAAGGCTACAGTAACCAAAACAGCATGGCACTGGTACCAAAACAGACATGTAGACCAATGGAGAAGAACAGAGACCTCAGAAGTAACACCACACATTTACAATCATTTGGTCTTTGTCAAACTTGACAAAAACAAGCCATGTGGAAATGATCTCCTCTTTAGTAAATGGTGCTGGGAAAACTGGCTAACCATATGCAGAAAACTGAAACTGGACCCCTTCCTTACACTTTATACAAAAATTAACTCAAAATGGATTAACAACTTAAATGTAAAACCCAAAACCATAAAAAACCTGGAAGAAAACCTAGGCAATACCATTCAGGACACAGGCATGGGCAAAGACTTCATGACTAAAACACCAGAAGAATAGAAACAAAAGCCAAAATTGAAAACTGGAATCTAATTAAACTAAAGAGCTAATGCACAGCAAAAAACAAACAAACAAACAAAAAAACAAAAAACTATCATCCAAGTGAACAGGCAACCTACAGAATGGGAGAAAATTTTTGCAATCTACTCATCTGACAAAGGTCTAATAACCAGGATTTATAAGAAACTCAAACATATTTACAAGAAAAAAAAACCCATCAAAAAGTGGGAAAAGGATATGCATAGACACTTCTCAAAAGAAGACATGTATGTGGCCAACAAACATATAAAAAAAGCTCAACATCACTGATCATCAGAGAAATGCAAATCAAAACTACAATGAGATACCATCTCATGCCAGTCAGAATGACCATTATTAAAAAGTCAGGAAACAATAGATGCTGGCAAGACTATAGAGAAATAGGAATGCTTTTACACTGTTGGTGGGAATGTAAATTAGGTCAGCCATTGTGGAATACAATATGGACCATTCCTCAAGGATCTAGAACCAGAAATACCATTTGACCCAGCAATCCCATTACTGGGTATATACCCAAAGAAATAGAAATCATTCTACTATAAAGACACATCACACATATGTTTTTTGCGCACTACTTACAATAGCAAAGACCAACCCGAATGCTCATTAATGATAATAAAGAAAATTTGGTAGATATTCACCATGGAATACTCTGCAGCCATAAAAAGGAATGAGATCATGTCTTCTGCGGCGACATGGATGAAGCTGGAAGCCATCATCCTCAGCAAATTAACACAGGAACAGAAAACCAAACACTGCATGTTCTCACTCATAAGTGGGAGTTGAACAATGAGAATGCATGGACACAGAGAGGGCAACGACACACACCAGGGCCTGTTGGGGGGTAGGGGGTGATAGGAGGGAACTTAGTGGACGAGTCAATAGCTGCAAAAAACCACGATGGCATGTGTATATCTATGTAACAAACCTGCACGTTCTGTACATGTATCCCATTTTTTTCTTTTTAGAAGAAATAAATAAAATAGAAAATCAATTGAAGCCTTCAAAATACCAGTATTTAAATATTAAATATCCCATAAAAACATAACAGATTTTGATTACAAAAACAACTCAATACTTACTCTAGACATGATTTATTGAAAAATAATCAGAGACAAATTAAAGACACTGAACTTGTCACTATTTTCATCTTGATATATGAAAAGAACCATGCAGTAACCCTACATAATAAAACTGAGCTGTAACTTTGTAGAAAAGAAAAACCCAATGAAAAAGTAAAGAGGACAATAAGCACATTTTATTTCTGACCTGATTTATTTCAAAGAAATGAAACAATTAAAAAGGTAAATCACAAAATAAATATCTCATGTTTAATATTTTTACATTTATGCAGTTGTATATTTTAATTGAAAACAAACGTGAAGACTCTAATATTGTCATATTTATTTTGGTTCCTAGTGAAAAGACAGGCTATTAGCCTTACTTAGAAAAAGGGACGTTATAGAATCATTTTCTTGAACCAAGATGTCAAAGTGATTTGACGAAAGATAAATGTTTTTCATTACATTTTAATTACCACATTGAATTTGAATGGAAAGATATTCATAAACGCTTGTATCACTTTTTATTTTTAACTATGCAGGAATGAGAAGTCACTAAGGTTGACTTGTAAATAACTATAGAACCATATCATACAAGGAATAATTTGAAGAAAGGCAAGAGTCAAGTTGTTATCAGTTAAAATATATTTAGGTTTTCTATCATCTACAGTTATACTAGAATTAAGAGTCATGACCACTCATAGGTATTATGGAAGGAAAATAGCCTATCATTGTACTTGCCATGTGCTTTGCATATATTGAAGGTGTCATATTTATAATCATAGAGGGGTCTGATATTCCACATACTGAAATTTAGTATCAAAGTAAATCTAGAGATTATTTCAGATAGATAACTTTACATTTACTACTCTTCTTCCAGTATTCTTAAGACAAGAATGGTTATATGTGGCTGGTCTTCTGCATAAATGATTTCTTTCTCCCCCAGGATTCTCCACTAATTGAGGAACGGAAGAGAATTCTAAGCAGAATTCTAACAATTTTGCTATCAAGGCACACGTTCTTCTCAAGTAAAGTTTCGTAACCTTCACAACATTAACATTTAGGGCTTGATAATTTTTGTTTTGAGGGACTGTCCTGTCCATCACAGAATGTTTAGCAGCATTTCTAACCTCTACCTACTAGCTGCACCTTCCCCCAAGTTATGACAATCTAGAATGTCTCCAGACTTTTTCTAATGTAGATAATTGTACTCCCCTCCCCTTGAGAATCATTGCACTAAAGTTAAAAAAAGAAAAGAGAGAGAGAGAGAGAGAGAGAGACATTATGGATTAGGAAATGTTTCTGCTTTCCCAATTATCAACAAAATACAGGTCACTGAGGGTTTCGTAGTTGATTGCTAAAGAGTTCCTTAAAATCAAATTCCGAGTATCAGTTGGAAGAAAATTTTTTGCACAGAGAAATAACATCTATACTTTCCTTTTGTAACTTTTTTGCTATGAGGACTAGTATTAAGATAGGAAGAATTTGCTGAGAGTGGATAGTTGTGATAATTCAATGAATAAGCCTTGGGAAACTGAATTTGGATTGGGCCATGACTTGTCCTGAATCACATGGAAAGGGGCTTATGATTTAGAGACAATAAAGTCCTTTAATGATTTTCTTTGCTAACAGGCTGGTTTACTCCTATATCCTTGCTAGTTACTAAGATATTCCCCAGAGTAATCCAGGACACTTTGTTGGTAGCATATATGACTCTCATCATGCTATTAGGATTGCCAGGACCTTTCCTCCTTCTTTCTTACTGTTACAAGATTCTTGCTAGTTACTAAGATATTCCCCCAGAGTAATGCAGGACACTGTTGGTAGCATGTCACTCTCATCATGCTATTAGGACTGACAGGACCTTTCTTCCCTCTTCTTTGCTGTTTCTATATCAGTGTTGGATAACACTAATCAATAATGGCACTCTTTCCCCCTGATCCCTTCACTGCCTCAGAATCCTCACCAGAGCTCTCTGAGAAATGTATGTCTTAGTAATTTCATGTCCAAAAGATAAGAATGGGTGGCAAACATTTGCATTGTTCTTTAAAAATAGAAAATGTTCAAAATTATTTTTTATTTGAGTTTCCATACAGCTTTTTGATATATAAACAGAAAATCTTACATTAGTTATGAGTGCAGTTAAGGGAGGTTGTTCAAGTTCTTGCGACTAGGAAGTTACAAAGACAGCCTACAGTATCTTTACTGTGGAAAAGAACTTCTCTACTTCCACCCCCAGAAAAAGATCCAATTTAAGGCAGACTAAAACTGTGACATATTCTGTATTTTTTATTTATGATATTAACTATATCTTAGATATTTTACTAATCTGTTTAATGATTGGATGTTTGTCTTGAAACAGCCCTAAGGGCAAGGTTCTTGTCCAAATAAAAAATATTTATAAATTTTGCCATATAACAAAGACATTTAAGAGGATTTCAGTGAATCGCAAATACATTCTCTTTCTGTTTTAACCAAATCAGACATTTTTATATAGTAGGAATCTCAACTTGAAACCAAGCAGTCATTAGCTTAGGTCATCATTGTCTTGTGCTTAAGAAACTGATAATGTCAGAGCTCTAGGATGGGTATGACTGCCTGGGGTCTAATTGGATTAAGGTCAAAGGAAAGAAAACAAACAACCACCAAATCTGGCTTAGAACAGTGTCTGAGAGACAGAAGGGAGACAGGATTCTGAGAATAACATGGTATGTCCCTCAAGTTATTGTAACATCTGGCACAGCCTCCACAGGTTTATGTCTGAATCATTCAGAGACACTGACTATAAGCAAAAACTAAAAGAGCTAATTGATTTAAAAATGCACATTATGACGATAATGAAAACAAGCCCAATAATCAAAGAAAATCTTGTGAGATGCTGAGAGCCTAAGCAGCTCTGCCTGTGAACTTAGGCAACAGAGTTACCTTCCCCAAGGAAGGGGTGAGGGGTTTTCTCCTATTCTCCATGCTTTGGCCCACATAGAGGGCTACAGAACATGGTGGTGACTCATTAGACATGCACAACTGTGACTTGGCACAGACCAGTTTGTGCCTGCAGTGCTGGTAGTCAGTGACTTGGCAGGAGCGGCGACAGAAGCCTCTGTACAGATAGGAGTTGCAGAGCTGCTTGAAGGACAACACAATTCAGGAGCCCCAACACCACAGAAGGAAAATAACTCATGTCACAGGGCAGCCAGAAGAATGTGTTCATTTCTATGTGCAACATGACCGAAAGACCACTTTTCTTCTAATGTGGATTCGGAAACCTAGACTGGGCATTACTGACTTGGTTTAATTTTTCCTTATATTACCATAACATCCTGAGAAAACATATGCAACTATTTAACACCTTTGATTGAGTTGACCAAAGAAGCCTAGTGAAAATCACATTAAAAGAGAATGGTGCTAGTGGTTTTATTTAACTCATTGATCCCCAGTCCAAATGTTCACTCTAGTTATATATCTTTTCTTAAGCTCCAGATTAAAGAGAAATAGTATATCTCAGTTGCTTTTCATTTACTAATTCATATTATTAATTGAAAACCTATTATCTGCCCTTCCTAGGTATTGAGAATAGAGTGGTAACGAGAGAAATGGTGCTTGTTCTCATAAGAGGCACATCCTTGTGGGAACCAAGTAAATAAGTAAATGAATTATATAATTTCAGGTAAGGGCAAGCACAAAGCAAAAATAAAATCAGGTGACATATGAGTGACTGTGAGGTGGGGGTCTGCTTTACATTGGCTTTGGGTTGGGGGCGTATTTCAATTGGACCTAAATAATGAGACAGAGCCAGACAAAAAAACTCTGGGGGAGACATTCTGGGAAAAGAGGTGTCCAGTGCAACGGTTGAATGAGGGGAAAAATTTGGCATGTTCAAGGAAGAAAAGAGAAGTCAGCATGACTAGAACTTAGTGAGACAGAGAAAGGAAGAGGTGAGGTTGAAGAGAGTCAGAGACAAATTCTATTTGGCTTTAGAGTCCGTGATAAAAACATAGATCTCATTCTAAGTGTGATGAGAAAGGCATGAAAGTATGAAGCAGGGGAATGTTTGATGTTATTAGCTGTGTGGAGGCTAGTTTTAGGGAGTCTGTGTAGTACTTCAGTTAAAAATTAAAAAGAAAACAGAACTTTCTCTCTAGAATCCAACACTTAGGACTGCAAAATTTACACTATTTTTTCTTCTTATGAAGATGATTACATTTGTTCATTAATGTCAAGAGTTTAATGACAATATTACTGACTTAACAGTAATATGTGGAAAAGAAAATCACTGTTAAGACTATAATGTCTGATTTTAATATTAGTGTCATTTATAACAAAGTTATGATGCTACACTGTATAAAATTCAGTCATAACCAGAGTATTTGTAAAAATTTTTAAAGTAATTATTGTGCCATTTTTAAGGTCAATAAGACAATTGCCTTTTTGAATTGAAGATACACATCAAATCAGCCATTTATCATTTTATTAACAATTATTAACAGGAGAAAGCCAATTTTGCCTTCAGTAAATACCTATTTTTAATAAATTCAAGTGAAGACAATTAAGGTTTCAATTGGTGTGTCTTTATAAATAATTAGGTTCCCTATATTTTAGACACTTGAACAACTTAATTCATCAATTACTGAATACTCAAATCTATTATTGCAACATGAAGTAAATAGACCATTAGTTGATGGGTTTGAAAAATCCTAGTTTTACTTTTTTTTTTTTTTTAACAAATGTAGACACTTGGATGACCATTTGTAATATAGAGAATATTTCAGTTTCATTCTCTATCCTAGTAGAAACAAGCATAGTTCCTTGTTCATAGCTGTAGTTTGAGAAATCTGTGGTTATTATTCTAAGCAAATCATTAGATGTTAATTTTCTTTTCTATAGACAGAATAAAGACATAAATTTTACTCTTTAGGTGATAGCACAATTTCTGGAGAGCCATTTTTATTAGAGTAAAATTCTAGAATTAAAAAAAAATTGTTAAAGGGCTAGTATTGGCTGGGTGCAGTGGCTCTCACCTGTAATCCCAGCACTTTGGGAGGCCGAGGTGGGCGGATCACGAGGTCAGGAGATCAAGACCATCCTGGCTAACATGGTGAAACCCCGTCTCTACTAAAAAATACAAAAAATTAGCCAGGCGTGGTGGCGGGCACCTGTAGTCCCAGCTACTTGGGAGGCTGAGGCAGGAGAATGGCATGAACCCAGGAGGCAGAGCTTGCAGTGAGCCAAAATCACACCACTGCACTCCAGCCTGGTCGACAGAGTGAGACTCTGTCTCAAAAAAAAAGTTTTTTTTAAAAAGGTTAGTATGGCTTCTTACTCTTTCAAATATAGAAAAACAATTCCATAAACTTTGCTAATATTTCCTTGAATTGTTTTTATATTTGAATAATAGTCTTTTGAGATATCCTGAGGCCAAAAAAGTATTATGAAAATAAAATGAATGTTATACACTATAACGATTTTACAAAATATTTTAAAGTAAAATCATATGATCCAGAAGCCATTTAAGTCAACTTCCTGCCTTCAAGTACAATAAACTATTTTAAAAACTGAACTTGAGTGTTTGTCATATCGAAGTATTATTTCATGATATATAAGCCACAAATAGAGAAATATCTGAGCTAGGATAAAAAGATGTATTTTGATGTCTAGTATCTCAAACAATACAAAGAATCACACATTATTATACCCATTTTATAGATAAGAAAAATAAGCCTCAAAAGAACTAAAACACAGATTGAGAAGCTCAGGTTGATTTAGTCCTAAAACTTTTATGATGTTTCCTTTCCCTGTGTTACTTGCATAGTTATTTATTAAAATAAATTCTCATCTATATTTAAAGAACATTGACATTTTGTTTCATATTTTAAATGTTTCATTGTAAAAGTTATGCACTAAAGTTACACATCACATAGGCTAGATACATGGGAAATGTACTACTTAATTAGCTGGTATACTTTTTCGATAGGCCTCTGCCTATAGAATTTAAGTTGCATAAAACTGTGATATTCAGACATTATTAATGTTCCTTTAGAAACAGTAAAATAAAAAACCAATAATTTTACTGCAGCTTGCTATTGAACTTGTATCAGACATTTAAAAAATGAATCAGTCCATTCAAGCACATATCATGTTAATTTTATAATTGAGTTTTAAGTAGGTCATCCAAAACGATATAGAAAAAATATATGCATATCCAAACTAGGGGAAACAATGAGGATCCAGAACACCATCATTCAATTCACATTTAGATCTTTTCAAATCACATTTAATGTGTTTTTTCAGGCAAATTCCCTTCATGAATCCTCTGCTCCAGTGAAATTATATGCTTTGAACTCGTCTTGTGTCTGCCTCTTTGTGTCTACCTTGCTGAACAGATGCCTCTCCTCTCTCCTTTGCCCAACTAAATCCTGTCTGCCCTTTAGATACGAATAAGTAATTACTGCCCTAACTATGATGTATTTTGTCATAAGCTCTTTCCCCTCTATAATCCAATAGCATTTAAAATTATGTCAATTCTTATATGCATTTTGAATATTTAGTGTATTTTAATGTTACAAAATGAAAGTTTGCATAAATATAATTTTTATAGATATATAACCTATACTTTTCCATATTTTCTTTCTATTTCAACTACAACCACAATCACTAAATATTTCTCTAAATATACAAGTTTCTAAGTATCTGTCTTATTTATTCTTTATATTCCTACATATTTTCTTAATTTCACTGAATATAAGAATTTTTGTTTGTTTTCTTCACAAATGTCTCCCCAGTGACTAAACAGTGTCAGGTGCATATCTTGGGCTCATGTAATATTTGTTGTGTCTCTATTCGGAGACTCTGTTAGGCCAAAAGGCAGAAGATAAAATCTTAGTCAATTCTAAGTAAACCCAGCAATTTGAAGCTTAACCCTCACTAATTCAGAATTCGCAGCAATTCTCTCATTCTTTTCCCCCAATTTGTTGGGCCTCATGTAGAGAAAATGGTGTTGGAAGAGGTCATCTATTTGTAATTACTAATCATTGTCCTCTTATTGATCACTCTCAATGGCATCTGCCCAGACGTTCAGTCTGTCTCCATGATCCTTTGAGATGATCTCCAGGGTTGGTCTGAGCACTCTGTACCTACTCATCTTTACTCATGGTATCTTTAAGTTTCCCAGCCTTCTCACAGTCACTCAAGTGCCTACTTCTGGGGCTTATGAAGATTCAGCCACATGACCCTTATCTCATAGGTGACAGTACCTAAGAATTACATATACTTCCTCTACTGTTCACTTCCTATATTTTCTAATGTTTCTGCCTCTCCAGCTTGTAGAATCATCTCTCCGCCTCTACCAACTTTCACTTATAGTTTAGGAACCAGTCTGTAGGAAGAACCAAAACGAATAGCTTCTATATCAGTGTTCTTCATCACACCATTAAGTAGGCTTCCCTACACCCTGATGCCATTTGTACCCATAACTTGAACTGGTAGGGACGGAAAATGAAACACTTGCATGGATGTGAAGGTCTGCTGAGTCAATTGACACTTTTTCCTTAACTGTTTTATCCTAATAGGTGAATTACCATAGGCCCAATGTCATTAACTCAAGAGAGAGGATGTCACTGTTTTTTATTAAAAGTTATAGATAGAATATAATAATCCATCTTAATCTAATGGTTGTAAAGAAAAACAGGCAAACAGAGAAACAAATAAACAAAAAAAAAAAAAGCAGAATTGAGAATATGGCCTGGTTAGCATCCTACAAACTTACCAAAGAAGATACTGAGTAAATCACACACCTTTAACCTTAGATTCAACCACTGAAACACAACTAAGTCTCCTTCATTCCCACCATGCCTGAGATCTGGTGCCCTTGTGCTAAACCCAGAGAAAACTTATACTACTTAATTTTAAAATTTATCATGCTCAGCATGTTCTAATTCTCTAATCCCTTTTTAAGGAAACTAGTTTCCTATTACAATAGGAACACAATGAAAAATGCTTCCTATTTATTGGATTCTTAGTGTATGTCAGAGTTTTTTTTTTTTAAAGTTCTAAGTGCTTTAAAAAGAGCAGTTATTTGTGCTCACAGCAACTTTATCAGGCCATCCTTATCATTCCCATTTTACACATGATAGATCCAGGTATTGAACAAATGAGTGAGTGGTTCAATGTTTTGCCCAGGATCATAGAGCTAGTACGTGGAAGACAAAGCCTCCTGACACCTAAATCTATACCTCTAACTTTTAAGCCAAACAGCTTCGAACAAAAGATTCTTATCCAGTGACTTTTTGAGGTTCCTCTGCTCCATGAACCATTATGTCCCATGCAGTTCCATCATATTTACTGGGCCCTGATTTTAAGGAAACATCTTGTGAAACAACTCAAAAGGTCCCTGACTATTTAATGACCACAGTGCATCCAGTATTTAAGTACCAATCAGAATTAAAGTGGATACAATTACACCTTCTCAGACAAGGTATTTCTCCAGAGACACTCTCAATAGTACCTCAGAAAATTTCACTAGCTCCTATTCTGCAGTGGTTTCTTCCTATGGTGGCTTCATACTCTGCCAACTTAACCAAGTTGGAACTGTTTCCCAGAATCCCTTTTTCCCATAGTTCTTGGGTAGGAGTGGCCACATTAGATTATTCCATGAGTTTTTGGAAGGAAAACGTAAAGCCACATTTATTCTCGGAAGATTAATGTAGGGTCAGAACACGTTGCAATTCGTATACATTTTCTTGGGCCTCATAGCCTGCCTTGCTGGCCTGAAGCAGCAGCAGATCAGCAGCTCTTTCAACTCTTGTCTGTTTTTCAGCTTCCCTGACTCCTAGGACATTGTGTATTTAACAACAAAATGAAGGGTGCCTGCTTCTCCTGCAAGTCAATCTCATCACTAAAATGAGTGGCCAACAGAGATTCCCGCTCATACAGGCTCTGCTTAATTCTGACTCTCCCCTGCTTCACGTCTATCTTTTCTTTCGAAGTGACTGCCCTGTGGACTTCAGGTCAGGCTCCAGAAGCAGAAATAACAGCAACATATAAAGTGCATTACAGATTGCATCTAGGGATTCTGCTTTCAAATCCTCCTCCTCCTCTTCTTTGACAATTTCCCCATATGCCTGCTAGCCCTCTCTTTGTGTGTATAGAAATAATTGAAGGAGAATCTTTAGTAAATTGCTTGTACCTAATAAGCACTTGTTTTATTAAACCTGCCTAAAACACCCGAAAACGGTGTACACATCAATGTTCTATACAGTCATAAAAGTTTTCGTAAATGTGGTCAACAAAGAGTAGAAGGGTGAAGGGGCATTTGAGTGGACTTTTCATGTATAAGCAAAATATGGCTGTTAGAGAGAATCTTCCAGAAAGCATCCATGCTCAGTGGGGAGGCAGTCTGGGATCCATTCACAATGGTATCAGTGTTGCAGATGAGTATTTCTCAAAATTTTGACATCCATGGGACTTTTAATGAGTGCTAGGCATTCACATAAAACACAAACTTTAGGAGCATAAATCTTTATGTGTTAAGTAATAAAGCATAATTAAATCGATAGTAGTCCCTAGTAAAGGTAATAAAAAACTAGTTTCATAGGAATGATAGGTTAAAACTGTGCTCCATAATTCATCACAATTCCTATATTCAGCTTGATGGCAAATAACCATAGGTAAATACCTACACCTAGTGGGTTTGTTTCTTATATGTCTTCTACTAAGTTGGGAAGTCCTAATTCACAATGATTCAACCTAAACATCTGGTAGCTCTGTTCTGAGCATTATGAGTTTTTTTGTTTGTTTGTTTAAACTAAAAGTAACACAGTGATTTAGCGATTTCTTGTTGAAGAAAATAGAGACTATTTTGATAGCCACACTACAATGAGTGGAAATAGGGGCTGGAAATGATTTTTTTTGTTGTGTTGTATGTAATTTAAATGTGATTTTTAAACGTGTAATAAAGTTTCTGAAGAACAAATAAAATGATTATGTGTGAGACAAACCTCAATCACAAAACTATTTTCTTTGCTTTTTTGAAACTTTATTATACCCATTCAAAAAAATGGTGTTACCTGCAAAAGATAGTACAGTCTTAAAAAGAGTGTCTTAAAAATCAGTGTTATTAAAAATATTTAACAAGGCAATTATTAATTGTTAATATTATATTATTATTAATATATTATTTATATTGTTAATATTATATTAAATTGTTAATATTATATTATATTATATTATATATATATAATTATAATATATAATTATATTATAATTAATATATTAATTATAATACTTGTACATATTTATGGGTTATAATGAGAGCATTTTTATCTTTACATTGTGTAATAATCAAATCAGGGTCTTTAACTGATATGGTTTTGTGGTGTCCCCACTCAAGTCTCATCTTGAATTGTAGCTCCCACGATTTCTACATGTTGTGGGAAGTAATTGAATCATGGGGATGGGACTTTCCCATGTTATTCTTGTGATGGTGAATAAGTCTCACAAGATCTGATGGTTTTATAAAGGGGAGATTCCCTGCACCAGCTCTCTTCTTTTGTCTGCCACCATGTGAGACGTGCCTTTCCCCTTCTGCCATGATTGTGAGGCCTCCCCAGCCATGTGGAACTGTGAGTCCATTAAACCTCTTTCTTCTGTAAATTGCCCAGTCTCAGGTATGTCTTTATCAGCAGCATGAAAACAGACTAATACAGTAAATTGGTACCAGTAGAGTGGGGCTCTGCTGAAAAGATACCCGAAAATGTGCAACTGACTTTGGAACTGGGTAATAGGCAGAGGTTGGAACAGTTTGCAGGGCTCAGAAGAAGACAGGAAAATGTGGGAGTTTGGAACTCCCTGGAGACTTGCTGAATGGCTTTGACCAATATGCTGATAATGATTTGGACAATGAAATTCAAGCTGAAGTGGTCTCAAAGATGAGGAACTTGTTGGGAACTGAAGCAAAGGTGACTCTTGTTATGTTTTAGCAAAGAGACTGGTGGCATTTTGTCACTGCCCTAGAGATTTGAGAACTTTGAACTAGAAAGATATGATTTAGGGTATCTGGCGGAAGAAATTTCCAATCAGTAAAGCAAGCAAGAGGTGACTTGGATGCTGTTAAAGGCATTCACTTTTAAAAGGGAAATAGAACGTGAAATAAAAGTTTGGAGAATTTGCACCTGACAATGCAATAGAAAAGAAAATCCCATTTTCTAAGGAAAAATTCGAGCCAGCTGCAGAAATTTGCATAAGTAACAAGAAGCCCAATGTTAATCCTCAAGACAATGGGGAATATGTCTCCAGGGCATGTCAGAGACCTTTGTCACAGCCCCTCCCATAACAGATTCAGAGGCCTAGGAGGAAAAAATGGTTTTGTGGGCTGGTACCAGAGTCCTTCTGCTGTGTGCAGTTTAGGGATTTGGTGCTCTGCATCCCAGTCATAACTAAAAGGGGCCAAGGTACTACTCAGTCCATGGCTTCAGAGGGTGCAAGCCCAAAACCTTGGCAGCTTCCACATGGTGTTGAGCCTGTGGCTGCACAGAAGTCAAGAATTAAGGTTTGGGAACCTCTACCTAGATTTCAGAGGATGCATGGAAACTCTTGGATGAGCAGGCAGAAGTTTGCTGCAGGGGCAGGGCCCTCATGGAGAACCTCTGCTAGGGCAGTGTGAAAGGGAAATATGGAATGTGAGCCCCCCCACACAGTCCCTACTGGGGCACTGCCTAGTGGAGCTGTGAGAAGAAGGTCATTGTCCTACAGAACCAGAGTGGTAGATCGATACACAGCTTGCACTGTGCATCTGGAAAAGCACAGACACTCAATCCCAGCCCGTGAAAGCAGCCGGGAAGGGGTCTATAACCTGCAAAGCCACAGTGCATTAGCATGACCTGGATGTGAGACATGGAGTCCAAGGAGATCATTTTGGAGCTTTAAGATTTGACTGCCCCATTGGATTTTTGGACTTGTAAGGGGCCTGTAGCCCCTTTGTTTTGGACAATTTATCCCATTTGGAAAGCGTGTATTTACCCAATGCCTCTATCCCCATTGTATCTAGGAAGTAATTAACTTGCTTTTGATTTTACAGGCTCATACGTGGAAAGGACATGCCTTGTCTCAGATGAGACTTTAGACTGTGGACTTTTGAGTTAATGATGAAATGAGTTAAGACTTTTGGGGACTGTTGGGAAGGCATGATTGGCTTTGAAATGTGAGGACATGAGATTTGAGAGGGGCCAGGGACAGAATAACATGGTTTGGCTGTGTCCCTACTGAAAACTCATCTTGAACTGTAACTCCCACAATTTTCATGTGTTGTGGGAGGGACCTGAAGGGAGGTAATTGAGTCATGGGGGTGAGTCTTTTCTGTGCCTTTCTCATTATAGTGAATAAGTCTCATGAAATCTGATGGTTTTATTAAGGGGAATTTCCCTGCACAAGCTCTCTTCTCTTGTCTGCCACCACATGAGACATGCTTTTCACTTTTCTCTATGATTGTGAGGCCTCCCCATTAAACCTCTTTCTTTTGTAGATTGCCTAGTCTTGGGTACGTCTTTATCAGCAGCGTGAAAATGGACTAATACATTAACACTTCCATTATCACAGATATTCATTCTTTATGGTGAGAACATTAAAATCCCCTCCTCTAGCTGTTTTGAAATATACCATATAAAATTGTTAACTATATCACTCTTCTGTACAATAGCACCCCAGAACTTATTCCTCCTAATTTATGACCCTGTGCCTATAAACAACCTGTTCTAACCCCTTTTCCTCCTCCCTTCCCCAGCCTCTGGTAACCACTATTCTACTGACTACTTCTGTGAGATCAGCTTTTTAAGATTCCACTGAGTGATATCTTGTGGTAGTTGCCTTTCTGTGCCTGGCTTACTTCACTTAACATGATGTCCTCCTGGTTCATCCATGTTGCTGCAAATGATAGAATTTCATTCTTTTTTATGGCTACATGGTACTTCATTGTGTATACATTCCACATTTTCTTTCTCCACTCATCCATTGATGGACACTTTGGTTGATTCCATATCTTGACCATTGCAAACACTGCTGCAATCAACATGGAAGTACACATATCTTTTTGACATACCAAAGAAATACTGATTTCTTTTTTTTTTTTTTTTTTTTTTTTTGCTGTATTCCCAGTAGTAGGAGTGCTGGATCATATGGTAGTTTTATATTTAATCTTCCGAGGAACCTCCACGCTGTTTTCCCTAGTGCCTGTGCTAATTCCCACCAACAATATATGAGAGTTTCTTTTTCTCTATATTCTTACTAGTATTTGTTATCTTTTGACTTTTAGATAATAGTAACAAGACAAAGTTTAATAATTTTGAAACTTTGAAAAATTAAGTTCAGGCTCTTTATGATCCCAAATACACTGTGAGATCCACTAGTATCTCAGTTGTATAGTATGTCAGTTGAAATCATAGTTGTATATTCGTTATTTTTTTAATCAATTTTTTCCCCAGAAATTATATGAGAATCTTTTCCCTTCAAAGTCACTAAACCTTAGTCACTGCATATCTCTTCACTGAAAAGACATAGTGTCTATGAGTTGGTAATTTCACCATTTTAACTTTCATCCCCACTGAACAAATATGATAGGTATATTCATTATTTTTTAAAATCAGTTTTTCCCCAGAAATTATATGAGAATCTTTTCCCTTCAAAGTCACTAAACTTTAGTCACTACATATCCCTTCACTAAAAATACATAGTATCTATGAGTTGGTAATTTCACCATTTAAAGCTTTCATCCCTACTGAACAAATAGTCACAGATATATTATTTGCCATCATTTCTGAGAAAATAAGGTACTGTATAGAGTTGCATTCAAATATAAATACATTTTAAAAAAGAATACCAGGCTTAATGAGTTAAATGAAGAGTACTCCACAAGTACCCACCCAGCACTCTGATTTCATGAGCCTTGCCCAGTCTATGCCACAAGTCATAAATCAATTGATAACTTTAAATGACAAAATTTTCTTGTATCCTGTTTTCCAGTGTTATAGACAGCAATAAATGTTTAACACTTCTCCATCACATATGTGCATACATGGAAAATTGAGTCATCTGCCTAATGGTAATTTAATTCAACTATATAAAATGGAACATTTATAATCTCATTTTAAATTAAAACTATTTTTTCAAATTAAATGCTATTAATATTATGAAATATCCAGCAGTGATACCAGATAGACAATTTTTGCTGATAGCCAGATTCTTGCTTTTTTTTCTAAGAATATTGGTCCTGAAGTACTGGTTTAATTAGCTTCTCAGCAATCTGGGACATGATATCTGTTCATGCCATGAATAAATTTCTAAAATAAGTAATTACTCTTTTTAAATTTTGTTTAAATTTTGCTATTCTCCTACCCCAATAGAGCAGTGATATTATTAAGAGATAAAAATGAATCTTTTTAATGATAAACCTCATTTTGCATACATACTAGAAAAACTCAGATGATTTACCAGAAGTCACATATAGAAAATGACAGAATTTTAATGACTTCTCAAAGCTCACATAAATTGTATTTGACAGTAGGATGAGTAACTATTGGCTTCCAGCCTAAATAGCTAATAATTTAGATATTCATTCATTTTTCCTTCTTCCTTTTCAATTACATGTGTGAAATTTTAACCCATGTAGTCACTTGTACCAGTGTACCAGTGGAGAAAGTTCCCCTTGAGTCTCTCACATTTCTGCACGCACTCTGAATAAAAGCATTCAGTTTTTGTTCTGAACTATGGACTATTGACTATTGACTTTGTTAGGGCTGCTATAACAAAATACCATAGACTGATAATAAATGTATTGCTCATAGTACTGGATACTGAGAAGTTTAAAATCATGGCACCAAGAGATTTGGTGTCTGATGATGGCCCCATTCCTCATATATGGTGCCTTCTTACTCTATCTTCAACATGAACAAGCTCCCTTGAGCTTCTTTTAGAAGGTCACTAATCCCATTCATCAGGGTTTCACTGTCATGAACTAATCAACTCCTAAAGTTCTGTCTTAATATTATTGCATTGAGATTAAATTTTAACATACTAATTTGGAAATGGGCAGAAATAGTCAAACCATAATAATTACTTTTTTATGGATGTTTATAGAAAACCTCAATTCTAGCTGACAGTCAGCTGACTTGTTTCTTCTTAACATCACATTTTCTTCCGGGGATGAAATCTTAAGCATGGCTTCCACATTCACATGTCTGATGCCTAACTAGTTGGATGGAACATCTGGGACTGGCCGTGTATTGTTTCCATGGAGCCCTTTCACATATCTAGCCTGAATTTCTTCATAGCATGGGCATCCCAAGATAGACTTAAGTGATCTCAACTTAGTCAGGCTTCTTACTTGGTATCTGTTTTACTATGCTTCCCACTTCAAGCTAACATTCCAGGAAGCCAGGGGGACTCTGGAAGGCTCTAAGGACTTAACCTTGGAACTCTCCAAACCTTGGAAGTTTACAGCCTTCTATTTGTCAAACAAGTGACTAGGGCTAGTCCAGATATATAAGAAAGAGAATTCCCACTTCTTAATGAGAGGAAAAGCAAATAATTTGCAGCAATTTTTATTCTACTGCCTCTATAAATACATTCCTGAAAGTTGAAAAACAATGACCTAAGGAACATTAAAATGTTTACAATTTAGTCTTGGTATTCCAAAGCTTTCTTACAAATATTATAACACTCATTTATTTACATAAAACCTATTTTTGCTTTCTTGGATAAATTTTTAGACTTTAAGTCAATGAAATCTCTGATGCAATTTCTATAAATAAATTGATATTATAAAATCAGTATGCCATCTTTAACATTTTTCCAGAGGGAATGTAGAAAATAGCAGTTCTGATATTTCCCAAGCAAATTTTCCATGTCATAATTCACATTGGTACCAATAAAAACCAACCATAGTGAAAACACATGTGGGATAAAAAATGTAAAAAGTAATGAAAATGCAAAGTTAAAGTTATCTTACTAACTTTTGAACTTTAACAAAGCAAAATAAGGCCAAAGAAAAAAATGTCTTAAAACTTCATTCTTGTGGAAAGAAAAGAGGATAAAAACCGATAAGGACAACAACAAAAAAAAGAAATTTAATTAGAAATGCATTGCAATCAATTGGAAATATTTAAGAAAAATAGCAAATGGGAAATTCTTGTTGAAACAGCAAAGCTAACAAAGAGTTACATAATAATTAAAATATAAAAATGCCTTATATAAATAAAAATATAAATTTATTAATAGAGAAAAACATGGAAATAGCCTTAGACTGATACATGACCTGCAGAGTTTGGTCTCAATACCAGTTTTAATTTATTCTCTAAGTGAACATGAACTAACCAAAATCTCTTTGGTCCCCTTTTGTTGGTTAAATTGAATTAGGTACAGGATTATATAGACTAGGTTTTTCCCCTATTGAAGAATTTGCTTCATTTTGTTCTTTGTAATCTTTTTAATACAAAATGTAGATCTAAATGTACACTTGTACAGTGGGTGTGCATATGTATACACACACACATATACATTGGTACACATACAAACACATATTCACACATAAATACACATTTAACTTCCAATATAAAATATACAAAAGATAATCGATGGTATAAGGTAATAAGTCAATTAGTTTATAATTATAAAATAATACATTCATATGATTAAAACTGCAAAGATTACAAATGATATATGCTGAAAAGTTAATCTTCCTGCTATACAAGACATCTGGTTCCAATTTCCAGAGTAGACTAAGGATAATAGTGTCTGACATATCTTCTCAGAAAGCTTCTGTTCATACCCATGAGCATGCACACATGCACACACACAAATACTCATATATACATATATTTTAAAGAAATGGAGATATTATGAACATATCAGCACAAATAGGTTTACTATACTGTTTTAATAATTTATTTTCATATTCTGTTTTATTATTCCACTATAAAAAAAGTATATATATATGTATATACATACTATTTGCATGCATGTTTAAAACATAGGGATTAATTCTTAGAAAGGGAATTGATGAACGATGAGTGTATATTCAGAAATCTGAAGCTATTTCTAAATTGGCTTATGAAAAATCTGCCAGTGATGCCCATTACTACTACTACCAGTGATGTGGGAAAGAGCATTTCCCCAAAACTCTGATAGCAGTTCAATTATCAAGTTTTTCAATCTTTATTTTTTATGCAAAAGGTAATATTTCATTGTTTCAACCACAGGTGAGGTTTTGTATATTTTCAAGTGTTTATTAGCTAAATATATTTACTTTTATGACATGCCAGTCTAATTCTTTTGACTAATTCTCTATTGTTATTTATTTTATGATTATTAGAGCATTTGAAATATTTTGTATGATAAATGTTATTTTTTTCAATTTTAAGTTCATTTTTTAATTTTTAAAGTATTTTTTAAATTTGTTGTTGAGTTTTAAAAATTATTACGAACACAATTTTATCTTCTTTTCTATTTGGGAATTCCAATTACTTACCACGTGATGCATTCACTGTTTGATCCTTAATATTCAATATAGCTTTATATGTAAAAACTGTTACTTCTCATTCCTAAACTTAGAAGACAGATCCATAGAGTGACACTTTCTGAAGTCACAGAAATAAATGCAACACATAAAAATCCAAGAAACAAACAAAATTCTTCCTAAAGCTCTCAAGTGGTGACTGATAAAAATGTGTGAACATTTAGCATCTTGTCTAATTTAGCTAAGGCTCTAAATCTTGACCTTCAGTTCATTTCAGTCGGTCTAACAGAAGAGTTACTGAGTTTTAGAGTTTTCTCTAAAATTCATACTCTTACCTATGGTTTGGAAACAGCTTCAGATATTAGTCAATAAATTAATAAGTACATGACTGACTTGGTTATATGTCCAGCAGTGTTCTAGGTATGCAAACTATGACAAGAAAAATATAAGACCTAGCTTTTTTTGCATTTAAGGCATATAAATACTAATTTGGGGGGACTAGTTACACTATATTAAACAAAAAGAGAATAATAACTGGATGTCTATGAGTCCAATTATAAATTTTAAGTGAAGGGAGAAGTCTATAATGGCAAACATAGATGAGGAGAAAATCTTAGTGTCTGAGCAGTACATTAAAATATTTATATTTTCTAGACAGGATTAAACTAAAAACGCTTGACAGTAGAGGGAATTAAACAAAAGGAATTAGGAAGAAGAATATGAGACTAATCTTACTAGATTGGAAATCTTGTCCTGAAGAGTAATGAGACTAAAGATGAAGTTTTAGGAAGAGTCCTAATTTGTACAGAAGGACGAAAACCATCCACAAGTTTTCCAGACATTACATGATAAGCTCAAAGTGCATTAGAAAGATTAGGTTTACCATTCAATGTGATAGAAATTGGATGAGGAGCTGGAAGCAGGGAAACCTGTTCTTGCAGTGACATCTGTGCCTTAAATGGCAAATATTTCATTTAAATCAATTAGTGGTAGAAATGGGGTAAGATAATGAATCCTAAAGTCATTTAGGAAGATTTATGAATGAGTCAAAGGCTAAAGCCTGGCAGCATGGTTTAATCTGTATCTATTGAGAAAAATGTCAATTGAGAAAATGATGCAATTTGAGGAAACAAAGATGTATTTGTTTTGCTTTAGTGTGGAAAAATATTGCTTTTTTTTTTCTCAATGAACTTCTAATTTTCACTTAAGTAATGATATTTTAAATTTGTTTTATGGTAGTTGGAATACGGCTTATACCATTGGGTAAAATTTGTATTTGATTAGAATAGTGGATAAACCCTCATCCACAGTTTTTCTAGGTTTAAAACAATTCTATTGCAAACGGTTTTAGATTATTAGGTTGGTATAAAAGTAATTGTGATTTTTGCCATTTCTTTTAATGAAATGTCAGAAATCAGCAGGATATATCTCTTAGATGTTGGGACCAAGACAGTATTAGACAACTTCTTCACCTAAACTAAGTCAAAAGAATTTCTTAGTAAATTTTCACAAGACTTTCCTAAGGTTATAAAATCTTTTCAAAAGGTGTCTTTGTGACAAAAAAAATTTCTTCTAATATATTGACTGCCCTTAAAAAGGGAGAGAAATAAGAAATTTACTCAATATTTGCCTTCATACATCCTAAGTGTTGTTCATGATAACATTGGAAAAGTTATCTCAAAATACAGTATTTGTTTGAAAATCTTGCTTGCAAATGTTGTTTAATGGAAAAGTATACTTGTTTGCAAGTGTTCTTTCTGTCCACCTTAGAAGTTAGGACTATTCTCATAATACCTTTATTTTCTATCAGTCCAAAATGTCCTACGATCATTTATTACTAGTCATTTATTACTAGTTTCTTTTGTAAAGAAACAAAAGCGACAATCCTAACTTTAAGAACCTATTAAGGCCAGGCACAGTGGTTCACGCTTGTAATCTCAGCACTTTGGGAGACCAAGGCGGGTGGATCAGTTCAGGTCAGGAGTTCGAGACCAGCCTAGCCAATATGGTGAAACCTTGTCTCTACTAAAAATACAAAACTTAGCCAGGCATGGTGGCATGTGCCTCTAATCCCAGCTACTCAGGAGGCTGAGGCAGGAGAATTACTTGAACCCAGGGGGTGGAGGTTGCAGTGAGCCAAGACAGCACCATTGCACTCCAACCTGGGCGACAGAACAAGACTCTGACAAAAAAACAAACAAACAAACAAACAAAAACCCAACTATTAAATATTCAACCACTATATCTCCTTATTATAATGGAACTTCAAAGTCACCTTAACTACCCATTTTGATAAGTGTTTTCTTAATTGGTGGAAACATCTTTACAACCAAATAATATTGATAGAGCACTTTCTGCCTAAGAATTTTAAAAGAAAAAAAGTAAGTTTATATTTTCTGATCTCATATCTACACTTTGCTTCATGTATAACATTTTTCTTTGTCAACATTTTTAGGATTTTAATTAAGATCCTCCTTCCTAACGGTTTTAAAAGTGTAAATATCAGCAAAATATCTTACCTGTACTGAATTTATCAATTAATGTATCTAAATTCCTTAATAATTCTCTTGTGCTGTTCACTATTATTATTCTGACACTAGCTGAAATTCTTGTTTGAAATGCTTTGCTGATATCCAAATAAGTAGAAAATTTTAGCAATTCATATACCTAGAGACACTTTAAAATTGTCTAAACTAGAAAAATGAATATTCCCAAGAGCATTAGTTAATTTAAAATACAATGAATATACATTTGTTTTATAGTTCACTTCAATTGAACCTAAAACTAATAGAATGCAAAAAGTACAAAAACTTGTGTAGAATCATATCTTTATGTCGATTAGGCACTATCAAATAAATGCATCACACCATATAACACTAATTGTATCATACAATTTTCCTTTATAAATACTCTTTTTTTCCATTTTCTGTCTGTAAAAATTAAAGCCCAGGATTTTTAACTTTGCATAAAATTCAGTCTGTATGTCTCCCTCCATTTCGCTTCCTGAAAAGTCTGCTCTGAATTCTGTGCACGGTCCAACTTGCAATCTACAGATTTAAATTTTCAATATACTCACATATTTTGGGCAATTCAATTCTTCTCTGCCTCTCTTAGCCAACTATGAAGGTGTGACTCAAATCACTTGCTCATACATTTCTATAACCATTTCACCTGAAGTTCTCATTTCTTCCCATGCATTCTAATACATAACACATATTCTGCAGCAGTTGATTAGTATATACTTCTTAAGGGCACTTATGCCATCTTCTTTTTTGCTATCAGTAAAAAAACACAGTATTCAATAAATGTTGATGAATTAAATAACTCATCTGGAAGCACAACTAAAAAGTTATAAGAAGAGATTATTATCTACAAATGACCTGGTAGAGTAGTTTTCAATGTATAAAATCTTTGATTGTATTTCTGAAGATTTGGCAGAGAAGAAAAGGCAGCACTTCTCTACTTGGAATGTAAGGCAATTTAATTTGCTTTATTCAATGTAGAGAGAGTTTCTGGAGGTGATACAGATTTCTCTCTTATTAGAAATCATTTTTCTATCATTTATTTTAATATCACTGCTAAATCTAAGTAAGGTTGGGCATTTGAACAAAAGACTGCTTTGTGAAGAAAATGTGTATAATTATAAAAAGTAAAAACAATATTTATTTCTATCAAATGACGAAGTGGTTATACAAATTATTGTCTATTCATAGACAGATTATTAATGAAAACTAAGCAGTGTATATATAAACACAGATTTAAAAATTTTAATGTTGAGTGAAGAGCACATGGCAAAATGATGGGTATAAGATGTACATTAAAAAATACTTCATTTAGATATGCCTATATAAAATGTCTACATTAAAGAGCATGTAATTGTTTTTTATGAGAAAAAAACCTAAAATATTTGAGAATAGAAAAGGGCGATTTAATTTTTTTCATAATATTCTTTTTATTTTATTAGAAACAAAACATAATTGTTAATATTTATTAATGGGGAAGTTTATTCATGTTAACCTATGTTATTCTCTGAACATTTCAGTGTTATGACATAATTTAAAATAAAAATATACTAGTCTATCAAAAATTGAGGCTAAGTATACATAAAGAAAACTCTCATTTATCTCCAACACCAACCCCATATGTTTTCATAGTAGGTCTTAAGTTAGGTGATTTCTCAAAGGTTATACGAAGAGAAAAAAATACAGCCTGAATAATAAATCTGAAGGCTTAGCTCCCATTGTAATGCCTTTTTCATTAAATCAGGCTTAAAGAGTTGATGCATTTTACATTATCAATGTAGAAACTCATCTTTATCTTCAATGAAATCCAGACAAAAATTGAGTTGGTTGAAAACTTCATGGTAACAGAGAATGTTTGAAGAAGGAAGAAGCAGGTTGGCATTAGCCAAATACATACAGACAACAAGAGTGCATGTGAAAACACTTCAGATATTTTGTATGAGTTTTTCTTTAACAGAAAATGATCGTCAACCTAGAAAGGTAAACAAATATTGCTAAAAAGAAATGGAAGCCCAAGATTGATGATGAAGTAGTAAAAGACCTCCTAGTTATTATAAATGAGCTCAAGTTTCTTGTGCAGGGTATTGAAGACATTTCTAAGTGAGGTCATGGAAATAATCTTGGTGATGTTAATGATATATATGTATATAAACATAGATATATAATATATATTGTGCTTTATAAGTATGTATATATATAAACATGTACAAATGTAAACACATACGTGTAAATATATTCACATACGTAAGGTCACTCTCTTTATACGTATACAGAAGGTGAGAGGGAGACTGACATTGGAGAGGGGTGAAACAGCCAATATTAATTTGTATTTTACCTATATTATTTCATTTAATCCTCTCGACAGAGGAGGAAAACTAGCAGAGAAAGGTTTGAATCATTCAAGTACTTACATCTTTTGAGCATTAGAGATGGGCTCCAAGTTCAGGAAGCTTGGCTTCCGAGCCCAGGTTTTTCAGAAATCTCTCTTCCCATTTTCAAGAGATGATTTTGAAAAGTATTTAGACCACCAAGTTTGACACTGATTTCAGGCAAATGCTGACTAGGTTATCATATACATTTCTGTTGTTTTTTGGAGAATTAACTTACATGATAGACTAAGCTGCTATATAAAAAGTTCTGTCTTACCTGATAGAAACAGTTACAAATGCCAGACACACAACCTAAAAAAAAAATCCTTAGCCTATATTTACTAGGGAATAAACAGCTACCCTTCATCACAATACTTATAATTAACAACTTCTCCCAAACTGATCAAGTGCAGCATCCATTAATTTCTTAATTAGACACAGGTCAAACTTAATAATTATGATGCTGGGACACATATTACTAGCAACAGTGTCCTTTTTGTAAGTTGACTTTCCTGGAAGGTCATCACTACAATTAAACAGAAAATCACAGTGAACTGAATTTGGAGATGTACATAAACTATGTATGGTATAATTTCTGACAAGCCAACATGGAAAGTGTAAACTAATGCCAGAAAAGATAAGTACATCAGATTATGCAAAAGGAGTTGTAATTTAGAACTTATGGGAGGAGGATGTTCAAATCCTCTGCAAAACTGGAAGCCTCAAAAGATTTTTGTCAGTGAAACTTGGCCAAGAAAAATTGCTAAATAACTGAGGAAAAGTTAGGAAGCCTGTGGAAGCATCAAGGGTTGTGAGCAGAAAAATAAAAGCAAAGTTCACTTATGAGTAATAAAAATCCCAGGTTAGCACTAAATGCAAGAGTGTTGTCTAATTTCATCATCAGAGCTCCTTCAGAGGCAAACAGAAAATTGCTCTGCAGGTAATTCCCACAATTCAGTGTATAGATGTGGGAATAAAGAAAAAGAAAAGGACAAAAAAGACCAGAAGATGTGTTCATGTTCAAAATTGCAGATCACACAAGATGACAAACTACCAACACTACCAGGTACTCACTATCAGGAGAAGGTCAACAGATGCAAAACAGATGACGAGAATCACCATAATAATAGAACAATGTTTGAAACATTATATACTGCTTAAACTATCTAAATAGACAAGGAATAAAAATATTCTGGAAATTAAATAATATATGTTACTAAATATTTAACACTTCAAGAGATTTCCAACTTCTATTCAGTGATGTAAAATGCTGGAAAGAATATTGTTCTCCCAAGAAAAATCTACAAAAACTCCAAATCCATAGCTTTTCTTTTTCTTTCTGAATTATTTATTTATTTATTTAGAGCTTTTATTTTAGGTGCAGGGGTACACATGGAGGTTTGTTATATAGGTAAATTGCATGTCACAGAGGTTTGGTGTATAGAGTATTTCACCACCCAGGAGATAAGCATAGGTAGATATGCTACGTATGCTGCCCAATAGGTAGGTTTTTGATCTTCACCCTCCTCCCTCTCTCCACCCTCAAGCAGGCCCCAGTGTCTGTTGTTCCTTTCTTTGTGAACATCTGTACTCAATATTTAGCTCCCATTTATAAGTGAGAACATGTGATATTTGGCCCTCTGTTACTGTGTTGGTTCACTTAGCATAATGGCCTCCAGCTCTGTCCATGTTACTGCAAAGGACATAATCTCATTCTTTTTTATGGCTGTATAGTATTTCATGGTGCATTTGTACCACATTTTCTTCATCCTGTCTACCATTGATTGGCATATAGGTTGATTCTATGTCTTTGCTACTGTGAGCAGTGCTGCAGTAAACATACACGTGCACATATCTTTATGGCAGAACAATGTATATTCCTTTGAGTATATACCCAATCATGGGATTGCTGAGTCAAACGGTAATTCTGCTTTGAGTTCTATGAGAAATTGCCAAACTGCTTTCTGCAATGGCTGAACTGATTTACAGTCCCACCGGTAGTGTGTAAGCACTCTTTTTTCTCCACAACCTCACAGCATGTTATTTTTTGACATTTTAATAACACCAATTTTGACTGGTATGACATGGTATTTCATTGTGGTTTTGATTGGCAGTCATTAGAGAGAGACCATCCCAGGGCAATCTGCTAACCTAATATCTGGGGAGAAACAGGCACCTGCAGCGAGTCAGGATTTGAATCTTTGCTTAACTAGTACAGACACTGGACAACACTAAGGAGAATTCAGCAAGAATAGTTGACAAATTGGTAGAGTGTGGAATGGCAGGTGAGCCTGGTGGCTGCAGAATTTTCGGTGAAAAACTTATTTATTTATTTATTATTTTTTTTTGAGATGGAGTCTTGCTCTGTTGCCCAGGCTGGAGTGCAGTGGCATGATCTTGGCTCACTGCAAGCTTCGCCTCCCGGGTTCATGCCATTCTCCTGCCTCAGCCTCCCGAGTAGCTGGGACTACAGGCACCCACCACCACGCCTGGCTATTTTTTTTGTATTTTTAGTAGAGACGGGGTTTCACTGGGTAAAAAACTTATTTTAAAAAAATCTCCTACAGACTGGAGGGTTTACTGGTGAACTTTACCAAACATTAAAGGAAAAATAATACCATTTCTACATAATCTCTTTCAGACACTTTAAGAAAATAAAAATACATTATATGAGCCCAACACTGTTGTAATGCCAAAACTGGAAAAAAAAATCATTACAAGAGAACTACATGCTAATATCTCTCATAAACATAGATGCAAAAATCCTGATAAAATATTTTAGCAAATTAATACCAAAACATAATATAAAAGTAATTGCATATCCTAGCCAAAGTTGGTCTATCCCAACAATACCAAACTGGTTCAACATGCAAGAATTGATCGATAAAATTAACAATATTAACATCATATTTAAAAAGAGGAATCATGTGATTAACTCTAGATGCAGAAACTGGATTTGACAAAATTCAATATCTATTTATTGAAGAATAGATATTGAATAGAATGTGGAAAAATCTTAGAACACTGGGAATAAAAACTTCTTTGACTCAATAAGGAAGAGGTACAAAAACATTTAACTTACATTATGTTTAATGATATAAACAAAGGATGTTTGTGCTAAGATTGGAAACAAGCCAAGCCAATATCATACTGGAAATCTTAGTTTAATAAGGCAAGAATAAAAAGTGTACAGATTAAAGGGAAAGAAATAATAATGTCTTTCTTTACAAACATGACTGATCCCATAGAAAATCCCATAGACTCTTTAAAAAGCTTCTAGAACTAATATGTGAGTTCAAAAAGATCTAAAGATAAAATATCACTCTGCAGAAAATCAATCGTATTTCTGCATACTAGCAATGAACCATATTACTTAAAAGATAAGAATGCTACCATCATCAATAAAACAAATTATGAGATATATATATATTTAATGCATACATGCATATTTCTGTATGCAGAAAATTATGTGGATAAAAGAAATCAAGTAAGGTCAAAATAAATGGAAAGATATACTGTGTTAATGGATTGAAAGACCCACTTTGTTAAAAATTCAATTATCTTAAGGTTAAATTATAAATCAAATGCAATACCAATCAAAATACCAATGATTTTTTCTCTAAATATATATATTAACAGATGATTATAAAATTTATGGAAAGAAAAAAGAAACAAAATAACCAAAACAACTTTGAAAAATAAGTAAAAAGTTAGATGATTCACGTTACTAGATGTCAAGACTGACTATGAAGCTATAGTGGTTAAGACAGTATGATATTAGCTGAAGGGCACACCTTTAGATAGATATAATGGATTAGAGTGCCCAGAAACAGACCCACCCAAACATAGTCAATTTAATTTTTTTGAGAAATGTACAGTCATTTCAACAGAGAAAGGATAGTCTTAACTGGAACTTGAACAACTGGATGTTCATACGTACAAAAATAAACCTTGACCCAAGCCACACACCTTACAAATTTGACTCAAAATGATCACAAGACAAATATTAAATATAGACAAATAATATAAAACAATAAAACATAAGGAAAATTGTATGAGCTTGGTTTAAGCTAAGAGTATTTAGATACAACAACAAAAGCACAATCCATAGAAACTTGGACCTTGTAAAAAATTATTTTTTCATCTACAACAGTATTATGAGGAGAAAAAGAAGACACAGACTGGGAGAAACAATCACATTTCTGACAAAGACAAATGAAATTATGTCCACGTAAAACCTGCATATAAATGTTTATAACAGCCTAACTTATAATTGCCAAAATCTGGTAGCAACAGGATATCCTTCCCCATGTAAATGGATTGGCAATCTATGTGAGATGTGGCTCACAATGTAATACTAGTCAGAAAAAAAAGTTAGAAACCATTGATTCAACAACTATTGATTTGAAAACAACATGGATGAATTTTTAAGTGATTCTTTGAATCTGGTTGCTAAGTGTGAAAGCAGCTGGACCCAAAAATGTGTGTCAGGGTTTCTCATCTTGAGCACTGCCGACATTTGGGGCCAGATAATTCTTTATTGTCCGGGGTTGTCCTGTGCATTGCAGGAGGTTGAGTGGCATCTCTAACCTCTTCCCACTAGAGGTCAGTAGTAACCCTCACTCCAGTCTTACCAATCAAAAAATGTCTTCAGACATTGTCAAATATCCCCTTGGGAACAAATTTGTCTCTCACTGAGAACCCCCAGTCTACATATTGTATGTTTCTACTTATATGATATCACGGAAAAGAAAACTATAGACTGAAAACAGGCCAGTAGTTGTCAGATTTAGGAAAATGGAGTGGGTAACAAGAGAATTTTTAGTGTGATGGACTGTTTTGTATCAGGACTATGAATATATGACTCCTCAAAACCCATAAAGCTACATACTACAAAAAGTGAATTTTACTGTATGTAAATCAAAAATAACCAGTATGTGGGGGAATCCCAAATCAAACACAAACTGTGACCTATGAACCTAAATGAACAACAAGTGAACAACAAAACCACACATAGTGTAATAGGAAACAAAAAGAAAACTAACTATAGTTACTTTGGAAAGCAGTGTTTTAACTAAATATTGTAAGGTTAAAGACAAAAATAATTGTTTTGGTTTGAACATTTGTTCCCTCCAAAACTCATGTTGAAATTTGGTTGCAGTGTTAGAAGGTGAGACCTTTGGGAGGTGATAGTTCCACCCTCAAGAGTGGGATTAATATTGTCATGAAAGGCCATATTTGGGCCCCCGTTGGCCTCTTTGCCTTTTGCTGTCTGCCATGTGAGGAAAGTGTTTCTTCTCTGCAGAGGATGCAACAAGAAGGCCCTTGAAATATGCCAGTGACTGAATCTTGGACTTCCCAGCCTCTAGAACTGCGAGAAAATAAATTTCTGTTCTTTATAAATTATCCAGTGTCAGGCATTATGTTATAGCAGAACAGACAGACCAAGAGAGAATAGTAAACAAATATTGCACTCTAGTTAGCAAACTTTTTAAATCAAATGCATGTGGGTTAGGAAATTTGAGACTAAATAATAAAGTTGAACAAATAAATAAATACATTTTATATACTGAGATTCTGGTTTCTCAATGGCAGAGAAAAAATTACTAGGACTGAAGTGGAACAGCTAGAATAAAACCTGTGGTTGTTAGAGTGATAGGTGAAACTATCATTATAAATATATGGTTTCTAAATATTTGTACAAATATTTAGATAGAGAAAATATATAAATGTTTTATGCATGTGTGTTTAATCTAAGCTTTAAGCTTTGTGAGCTGAGAAGTCCTGGAAACAATACTACTTCCGTAGCAGTGAGCACACCAGGTATTCAGACCTTAGTGTTTTAATTGCACTCTCCTTTACAAGGAACTTGAGCGCTTAAGAGGAGTGTTTGATTCCAGGTCAAGAAAAGAAAATATACAAGATGAGTCCAGAGCATCCTGGACATCAAAAAGTAAGGAAATGCTCATAAAAGGATGAGGGCACATTAAAAGGGCAGAGGGGACTCTGTGAAAGAGCTTCAATGACCAATATACAACAGTTTGAGCAACAAAATAATGTAGCATTGTATTATAGCTCACAGAATAATGTAAATATCCATGTGTCCAATTGATATAAATGTATAATTGAATAAGTAAATAAATGTGGGAGAATGGGTAGTTCTTCTTTGCAGAATAAATCCGATTAATAAGTGTAGAAGAAATGAAGAAAATAGAACATTTTCATTAGAATAACACAATAATAATTATTAGTGGCAAGATTGCATGCTAAAATTATGCACATTTTTAGAAGAGATACATTACAGGATATTTGTGTAGTGTCAGAATATCTTCCTCTAAGATATTTATCAATACAGAATGCAAAACAGTAACTTTACAGTAGATAAACCTGCCGTACACGACATCAACCACATGATCAAAGTTAATATCACCAGTTATAATGACATATGACATTCTGTACCTCCTGATACAATGCAGAGAAATGGACACATCCCTTCTGTGATATTATTGCCAAAAATGCATAACCTCAATCTAAACATGTAAAAATAACAGACAAAATAAGCCTAACAAAAGTGATACCTGCTCTGATAAGATGATGGAGAGTAGTAATGACTTATTAGATGAGTGTCATTTTTATTTGCCTCAAGAAAACTGAAACAATGCATAGCCAGTTTGGTGATTTTATGCACATGAATGAATCCCTGAACTTGGCTGGTTGGCACTCCACTTAGGAAAGGGTGAAGATAATCTCTCCTTTCCTTTCACTTCATAATACACTGGGAAATGAGTACATCAAAAATCATTTTTTGCAGGTTTATATGTTTGCTTTTTTCCTCTACATCCTTCTTAAAGTTATTCTACCTTTTTAAAATCAAGATTACTCAGACTGATTTAAAACAAAAACCCTGTAGGACTGCTGATCGTCTACAGCCTTTCAATGCCTCAGAGGCAGGCAGAGAAGCCACTAAACATTAGAGCAAAACTGATTTTCTTTCTGTACTGACTTCAGAAGGTGAATTGAAAGTTACCTTCAATTGAACATTCACTTTCAACGTGAAGACCCAGTGAAAGAATCTGAAACTGGATTTGATATATTTAAATAGAGCTAAGTTATTTCAAGGACTTTAGATCCTTCTGGTAAAGATTTAATAAAATAGTGATAGAGTGAAGTGTTTGGATATTTTAAGCTGAATAAATAGCCTGTTCAATCATTAAGCCTTTAACAGTTCCTTGAAACAGAACCAGTAATCCCTTCATCCAATGGTCTTATCTCAACTATAGAATTTATATAGCGTTTATTATATTAGACCTTGTCCTTTCCCCTTTATTTTACAGGTATGTAAGCCTGTTCTCGTCTACGAGACTTTATTTACATTTCTTGAGGTCAGAGTAGTATTATTTAACTAAATAATCACAGGGCCTTGACCAATGCCTTCTATATATTAGGGTACAGATAAAGGTTTATTGAATAAAATAGATTATGAGAGTAGTTTTGTTATCTTTTCTGAGAAGAAAATGGATATCTCTATCTCTATATCTGTACTTTACCTTTACCTGTATCTATATCTAATCTATATCTATCTGTATGTCTATGTATTTACATGGATATAAATATGGATATAGATATCAATATAGATACAATTCTGCATCTGGGTTACTTTTTAGTATACAACTGTTGCATTTTTATGGGTACACCATATTTATATATATGGCCAATCTTATTAATTCATACCAACAAATAATTTTTAAATGTTTTCCATTTCTAATATTCTTCATAATGCACTTAATGGTTTACCAATTACTTATAAGTACACAGATTGTAGGCAATGAAGCCAGTCCTCTGAATTCAAGAGCTCTTACTGCCTGTGTTCAATCTTTCAAAAAGTAACTTTCCACCAAATGAGAAACTGTGTAAGAATCACACCTACTCACATTTTTTTTCCCAAAATTTTGCACTTGAGGAGCAGAAAGATGAGGTTGTAATAATATCCACATTTTTTCCTACCAGCTCACCTGGCAATCTGTTTTAATCTTGGCATCCTCAATCCCGGAAGTTCACCCAGAGTTATACAGCAATTAGAGGGAAAATAAATTAGTATTTAAATATAATGTGTAGTTTTCTTCAGAGATACCTTAACATTTAATATGTTTTCTAAAAACATAACCAGACTCTCTCTATATATAGAGTTCAAATTATATATAAAAATAAATATATAATTATATATATGAAGGACAAATTTGGGTGACAAAAAGGAAACTGAATCGTAAGTCAGTTGATCCATATTAAAATTGCAGTACTATCATTTATAGGTTTTCTTTGGGTGAATGTTTTCATATTTTAACTCAGTTACCTTGTCTGTATAATGAAGATGATACTTCCTACCACATGGTTTTAGTCTTCCTTGCACAAAACATTTTGAGAAGATGATACGTGTGCAGTGAAAAAAAAGGAAGAGTTTTAATTAAATTTAGAAAAATTAGGCTAGACTTAATTTAAAATGTTTCCTATATAATGTTTTCCGCAGAGTAATTTACTAATGTGAATTATAAACACTAATGGGATAGATACTCTGTGTAGCATTTCATATGTATGTATGTGTATACACCCACCCCCACACACACACAGACTTTTTTTTAATCTCAAAATATTTTTTGTCTTTGGGCTGGGAAAATATGCACTACAGTTTATTGTCTGTCTGTAATTGATACACTTTGTAAAAGGACCATTACACATGTAGTAAGATTTATAGATATTTTAAAAACATTTCAGCAAATTGTTGATTACCTACAGGGTGTAGTTATAAAAATATCACTGCTGCTGGGTCTCTTTCTTCATACTTTCCCTGTGCTTTGCTGTGTCTCAGGGGAAGAAAAGCATGTTTAGGTAATTGTGCTTAGTTTTTATTATTAAGCATATTTTCTGGATGGTGCTTTTTGAAGGAACAACAAAGGTGACAATTATAACATGGAAAATAAAAAGAAAATAATTTCAAGAGGAGACAAACACCCTTTAAGTGATAAAATTAAAAATATTCTTCCATATAACTCATGCACAGATTAAATGTCAGCAATTAAAATGACCTTCACATTTATTTTTAAGTTGGGGTTAATTATAGCATTAATCAAATACCTTATAAACTGGGTATGCAAATAAAATCTCCTGGCATGTTATAGTAACAGAAATATTCACTTCAGGATTTATACATTAGAACCTATCCCACCTCATTGTCACTATGTTTAATTTATAACATCATTCTAATTGGAAAAAAATAAGGTAAGGGTGAACTCCATCAGTGCATATTACTGATTTTACCATACATTCACTTGTCATTCCTAAAATGTGCTAAATCTCGAGTGAAGATATTTATCTCAACAAACTAATGTAGAACTATATCAGTCCATCATTTTAGCTTTAGGAATGATTAAGTTCCTTAAAATTTTCACCAGAATGATTGTGATGTTGTATACAATTTGTATTACAAAATTGTCCTGATATCTTACTTTATATTGACAACAATTCATCACAACTACTGTGTCTCACAATCTGCTGAATTTATAGTCATGGGTCTATTATTCATAAAGAATTATAAAATCAACCTTTCACTCTTAAGTTAAATTACGGGGAAAAACTTCCATTTTCTAAAGGTCAAGATCTTTTTTATAAAGAAAATGACAGTTTATACCAATCCCATTATATATAGATATAAATAGTCATCATCATTTTAAAAGTATACTTTCTTTAGTGTACGAGTTTGAGTTAGTGCTATCAGAAACTGGTCGTACTGAGTACATTTTGTTGGGGGTGGAAATAAAAGATGCTTTAATAAAATCAATCTTTGGAGACACAAATTCACTTTTACTGAGAAGGTATACTTTATCCTAACTGTTGGACAATGATTTTTTTCTTCACATTGTCTCACATAACTTTAGTAAATTACTGACTTTGAAAAAAAGGTGCCGTTTTCAATCTTACTGTGATAAAGATAGAATGAAGGTGTAGTGAGACAAATATTGAAAAATAGGACATATGGAGGAAGAAGAGGAAAAGTCAGTGAAAGATCTGAGACTATTTATTCTGAGGGAATAACAGAGGAAATGATAAAAGCTTATCCTCATCATGGAGTTATCAAAATTGTCTGACAAATAGTTGCTGAAATCCATGTAGGCCAACTGAGAGCTTATTTGCACTAAAGGAAGAAAAATCTCAGGAATCACAGAGGTATTAGAATTAAGAGAGAAAGTATGGTTGGTTTAGGGACCAACCATGCTCTTTTTTGTGAAATGTAGAAGAAATAAACCATACTTTCTTTGTGAAATGTAGATGCAAGAATAAAATCAATGATCCTTCTTTAACAAAATCTGAATGAATGCATGGTGTCTACTTTCAAAAACCCCAATGCATACATTTTTAATCCTTATGTTACTTTATATAATACATTCAAACATAGAAGCTAAACTGCAATAATCTACTTTACATCTATATGTTTGATACAATTGTATTTTGTGACATACAGCCACCAGGCCTGGTATTCTGTCTTATTGAACAAATCAGGGAAGTCATAGCCCAGGAAGAAAGCTAATGAGAGACAGTGACAATTCTGAAGTTTAAGAAGTTATTACTCCTCAAACCCCAAACTTAATCTCGTTTTGGGATTAAGACTGTAGTATTCATTCTAAACTCAGCTGGTTGGAGACTAAGACTGTTGCAGACAAAATGAGCCCCCAAATTGGGAATTAGCCCCAGAAATTTTTTGGCTTTGTTCAGGAGAGAATTCAGGTAGGAGTCAGTAATAGAAGAAAACAGCTTTATCAAAGCGGCCGTATTACAGATCTGTGACTGCTCCTGCAAAGCAGAGCCACTCCATAGGCAGTGAAGAGGAGCAGCTCAGAAGCAGGTCTGTAGTCATATTTATACCCACTTGAATTACATGCAAATTGAGGGGTGGCTTATGCAGAAATTTCTAGAAAAAGGGTAGTAAATTTTGGGTCATTGGGTCATTGCCATTGAAAGGGGTGGTAACTTCCAGGTGTTGCTATGGCAATGGTAAACTGACATGACACTGGTGGGTGTGTCTAACAGAGGTGCTTTCACTTCTTCCCTGTTTCAGCTAGTCTTCAATCTGGTCCAGAGTTCAAGTCCTGCCTCCTACCTCAAGACTGCTAATATATGTATTGCCTGCTTAATCAGAATGGGTTCAGCAGTTTGGAGAGAACTGAGTTTTAGGCTAAGAATAGTAACTGATGTCTGTGGAAAAGCAGGGAAAATTGATATTGGCAAAAATAAATGTTAAAGGCAAATTATATGTTGCACTGGTAATGTACTGACCTTTTGAAAAGGTGGGGTATACTCCAGTCTAACAGTGGAAAAATGAACTAAAGGATTCCCAGAGATCTTGTCAAAAATTAAATGGGCAATAAAAATAATAGCTCCTTTATTTGAGTACTACATATGTGCAGTTACATATGCTGAGTTATTATATGAATTATCCCATTAAGTCTTCACAACACCTATACAAAATACATACCAGTGATAATCCATTTTAACAGTGTAGAATCTAAGACTTAGATTAAATGGGCTCAGAGGTTCAATTAGAGTCTGTGTTATTAGTTACATATTGCTCCGTAACAAACTATCTTAAAGTTTTAGTAGCTGAAAACACAAATGTTTATCACTATACTTTCAATGCATCATTATCCAGGAGTGGAATAGCTCGGTGTTTCTGCGTTAGGGTCTCAAGATCCTGCAATAAGGGTGCCATCTAGGATTGCAGTGATCTCAGGGCTTTACCGTTGAAAGAGTTGTTTTTTTTTTTTTTTTTGAGACAGAGTCTCCCTCTGTGGCCAGGCTGGAGTGCAGTGGCACGATCTCGGCTCACTGCAACCTCTGCCTCCCAGGTTCAAGCGATTCTCCTGCCTCACCTCCTGAGTAGCTGGGACTACAGGTGTGTACCACCAAGCCCAGCTAATTTTTTTTTTTTTTTGTATTTTTAGTAGAGACGGGGTTTCACCATGTTGGCCAGGATGGTCTCGATCTCTTGACCTCGTGATCCACCTGCCTCGGCCTCCCAACTCTTACAAGATCACACATGTGGCTTCTGATAGGGCTCAGAAGATATGCTTCCAAGCTCACTAAATGGAACTCTCCCCAAAGCTGCCTCAAAACATGACAACTGGCTCCACTCTGAGTGAACAATCCAAGAGTGAGTGCACCAAAAACAGAAGCCAGAGATATTTATAACCTAATCATGGTAGCAACATCCTATCACTTCTGCCACACTCTTGTTTAGAAGAAAGCCGATCAGTCCAACCCACACTCAAAGATGAGATTTCACAAGAGCCTGAATACCAAGAGGTAAAGATTATTGGGGGCCGTTCTAGAGCATGCCTGCCGTGCTATATTCTATATACTTCAGAAACTATACTTCCGACAACAGCACTTTAGCACTTTCCTCTTAATTTTTAAACTCTAAGTTACAATGCTTGGATTTTTCTAGCTACGTGGTCATAGATTTATAATATCATAAGCCAAGCAGAATAACTATTTCCTCCTTTTTTGCTTAGTTGATAACTGTCCTTTAGAAAAAGATGAACAGCCGTGAGAAAGGTAGCAAGTTCAATCTTCCCAAAGCATATATTTTTTACTGTGTAGCAGCTCCCTGCTATTAAGATAAGAAATAAAATGAAACTGAATTTTCAACCCTGCCTGTGAGGCATACTTTTTTCCCCCCTCTGATACTTTCTTTGTCAAATGTAGATGCAGAATAAAATCAATGATTCTTCTGTAAGAAAATCTGAATGAATGCATGATGTCTACTTTCAAAAACCCCAATGCATACATTTTTAATCTTTGTTTTACTTCATATAATAAATTCAAACATAGGAAGCTAAACTGCAATATTCTATGTGTTTGATACAATTGTATTTTGTAAGCAATTAGTTTTTTATATATTCTGATTTGTTAATATAAAACTATTTTTTCTGTTGAGTACAGAAAGAGAAAAATCAATTCTACAAAGGTTGTAAAATTTTAATATCTTTTTTGAAAACAGTAAAAAAAATCCCTTAATTTTATAAATATTTAAGTCTTATGTTCCTTTAAAATATTATTAGCTCCAGGCAATGACATTCAAACAGTCTGCTCCATTTCAATTACCATTTGGTTTACAAGAATTTAGGTATTCTTCAGATAAATAATTAATTTAATTTAATCTTTTTATCATCTTGAAAGCATAATCCTACTAGTATTACATACACAAAATGTGAGTCAATTTTAGTGGTTATCTAGAAAAGGCAGGGTATTAGAAAGTTGATAAGGACCCATTTTATGAAAGTGTGTCAGAATTGACTCCATTTTTCAGTTAAATTTTAATGAAAAAAATGTATAAATATGTTTCTAAAAGGCAAATAGTAGTTAAAAGTGTGTAACAAAATGCACTATTTTCTATCCTTCTCTTCCCAACCCATTAATCTTATTCCCCAGAACCAACCTTATTACACCTTTAGCTGTTTCCCTATTTAGCATGCTTGTACTGCTATTTCTTCAACTTACAATTTTAGACAGTTATTTAATTTTCAAGAGTAATTTGAAAGAGGATTTACCTGGCTTACAAAACACCCACACAGGGCAGACAGATACATAAGCACAAGGCTCACAAATACACAACCTATAACTTGTAATGTCATTACATCATAATAGTTAACTAAATTGATGTACAGTGCTCAAATTGTTCTGACTGGGTAATTATTCAATGAAACGAAGTATTGTACCATGATTACAATTCTCTCCTGAAGATAATAATTGCCTATTACTTTTCATTTCTTATCCCATAAATTTAAATGCATTTACGAATTGCTGCTAGCCGTATTGAACTACCATAAATGTTTATTGTACACATACGTTGACACATGCAAGATTATTTCTAAGATTTTACCACTTGAGACTGGTTTCCTCAGGTTGTTTCACCACGGATTGTTTTACTTAGGGGCAGATTTCATCTGGAACTTCCAAAATTAGTCAAGACACGATGCTAAGATACAATCCACACAACTTTACACTCAGATCTACTATGTGGCACTGCTACAATTGTATGCCCTAAAAAAACAGGAATTCAGTAAAAATCTATTTTTGGCACAATTTCCATCAAGAAGAAACATGAAGTGTATTTATAGTCATGCAGCCTGTATTATCCAGTATATTCCTCGCTGGAGAGAATGTCTATTTTTTTCTAGGATTTGATGAGAACAAAATGTTCTGCTTACCATTTATACACATGATGGCTGTTTAATTTTTTCACCAACTATTTTGGCCCCTGTAAATTTTACATCTTTTATCTCTTTTCCTACCCATGTCCTCTGGTGTTAGCTGTGGAAGGATACAGTCTTAGTGTGATAAATCCCTGACTGAACTTTGATGCCACCAATCCAGATAAATTGGCATAATGGTCGGGGGGAGATTATCAGACGCCATTCTTACACTGAGACAGCTGATAAAGATGTAATTACACACGGGAATGATGTGAGCTTTGTAAATATGTCCTACTAAACACCAAATAGTGTATTTATAATAATCTTCTTCTTAGCTGGACTTCAAAAACAGCTGCAGCCAGCTCCTCCAGGACACCTGTATGAGGAACTATAACAGGCTTTGCAGGAGGACAGGTCCGCAGCTGATGTTGGCTGACCGAGTTCTTATTACCCTTGCCTGCAGTTTTCCGAATAATTGTAGAATATGCCCAGAATGCGATATCCTGTGATAATGAGGATATTTTCAGATCTTTTCAGGCTCTGTTCTCATCCATCCTAGAGCAGGACATCCGGCAATGCTTGTGCCCAGTGATCCAAGTTGCCCCTGGGGTGTAAAACCCAGAGTTGAGTGCCTTGAGAGTCTCTCAGCTGTGGTGCAAGGTGGGAAATGCACAGGAAAGACTGTATCCTATGTATCCTACCTGGGAGGCTTTCTGAGCTTGGGAGATTGGCTTGCCATGGATTCTAGGCTTCTGTTGATTCTTGCTGCCTGTGAGTAACGAAGTTGCTTTACCTGACCTGTGTGAGCATTCTGTCTCACCAGACTAGATCTAAAAATGAAAGTGGTAGAGGTGTGACTGCTGTAGCAGTTGTATCTGTTTTAAGCTCCTGCCAGAGACCAGAACACTTGCAGAACTCTGGCAGCTGGGTTAGTCCAAAACCTTCTTTCAGACTTAGAAAACTGAAGTCCTGATCTTAGCCAAGATGGTAGGAAGCAGTAGCTTCTTAATCAATAGTGGCTAAATAATATTTCTTCTAAATGTTCACCAAATCATTTGATCATGTTAACACATTGCTAGGGTCACTTCCATCCATTGAAAGGTGCTTGTGCAAATGAGGGACTCTTAAGCCAAAGCTTCATTAACTTCATAGTAAATCCACCTTTGTTCCTTTATTAAGTATATGCAGCAGTGGCTTCCAGAGAAAAGGAGTATGAGAAGTTAACACAGGAGCCCTTTCATGTCTAAAGATGTCTGTAGCCCACCTTTACATTTAATTATTAGTTCTGTGTGTAAAGACTTCTAGGTTGAAAATCATTTTCCCTCAGAACCTTGAAGGTATATTGAATAGTCCAATGTCATTCTGAATCCACTTATATTTATGTGATTTGTTATATCTATATAAAAATTTTCTTTCTGCATGATGTTAAGACTTGTTATGGGTTAAATTGTGTTCTCTAAAAATTAATATGTTGAAGCCCTCCCCACTCACTACCTCAAAATATAAACTTATTTGGAAATAGTATCCTTCCAGACATATAAGATGATGTCACTTAGGTGGGCCCTAATCCAAATCCAATGTAACTGATGTCCTTATAAAAAGGAAATATTAGAACATGGAAACAGATACATGTAGAGAGAAGATGATGTCAAGAGAACAGAAAGAAGACAGTTATCTATTAGCCAAGGTAAGAGATCTGGACTAGATATATATTTCTCTAGGCTCCCAAAAGAAACCAACCTAACTGACACCTTGATATTATACTTCTAACAGTCAGAGATGTCAGACAATAAATTTCTGTTTTTTAAGGCACTCCACTTGATTTTGGGCATTTTGTTCCAGGAGCCCTAGGAAATTAATACAGGGTCTTCTGTTTAGTGTGCTAAAATTTGAACATGATGTGCTTTGTCTGTTTTTTTCCTGGAATCCTTTTAATTTGGAAATATATCCCCTTCAGTTCTAGGATATGCTTTTTAACATCATGTCTTCGATACCTTGCTACTCTCCATTTTCTGATTTCCTTTTTTGAAAATTTGCATTTGTATTCATATTGAACTTTTTGGTTTAATTCCTTAATTTTCTCAACTCAAGTGCATTTTTTCTATATTACTGTTGTTCCCCCTCCCCACTTACTGCATGATTTCATCAACTTTTTATTCTGGGAGTTTGAATAACTCCTAAAATATTTCTATCCTTTTAGTTGAAATTTAAGAACTCTTTCTTGCTCTCTGAGTGTTTCTTTTTTTGTATCATTCTGGGTTCGTTGTTGTCTATTTCTTTTCCATTTTAAAATTTTAGTTCACAATTCAGCAGAATTGGAAGTTTGTGCTGATTCCAATTTGGAAGATTTCATTGGTCTTGGTTTGGTTTACTCATGTATTTGTGATCAGCTCCTGAGTGGGCTAGGGGCTCATTTTTGTTTCACATTTTTTTTTTTATCCTCCATCACGCCAGCCCAAACATGTTCACATGAAGCTGGACATGATTTCTCACCTTAAATAGTCTTGAGTGCTTTTTAGTCATGCTTTTATTCCTATTTCTCCATGAAATTTTTCTCATCAAGGTCACTAATGATTCAATGCTGAAAAGTAAAACGATCAGATCTTAATTCTTATCTTACCTGGCTTATCAGCGGTTGCTCAAGCATTTCTCTTTAAAACACTTTTACAAACTTTTGCTTCTGAGACATCATACTTGACTCCAATTCCTAATACATTTCTGAGTGGACCACAGAAGTCTCTTTTGCTGGTACACCTCATGATTACATTTCTAAATATGGATGTGCCACATGCCTCATTCTTCAAGCTGTTTTGCTTTTTTAAGAATATACATCAAGTTTTTGTCATCTCATCCTCTCAAGACATGGAAAATCCTATATCTAATGACTTCCAAAAGTGTATCTACAACCAGGCTTCTCCCCTAGGCTTTAGACTTATATCTAAATACCTACCCAACACGACAACTGGAACATCTAAGAGGGATCTCACACTTATCATTCCAAAATTGAACTTCTTATATTCCCATCACCCACGTGTATTCCTCTTGCAGTTTTTTCTATATTCTAAACGGTAACATCACTTTTTCTGTTTCTCAAACTAAAAACCTTGGAGTTCACCATGACTTCTCTCTTTCTCTCATAATGCATATCAAATTTATCACTATATCCTGCGTTGCTGTCTTCAAAATATGTCAAAAAATGTCACAACTCCTTTCTATCTCTACTCCTACAATCTTGGCAAAGTTGCCATAATCTTCTCCTGAATTATAGCAACAACTTTTAAAATGACTATACTTAGTCTATCTTTGTGCCACCCTTGCTTTAGTTTATTTGTAGAGCGGCCAGAGTAACTAAAATATAATCTATACCATATCACTTCTCTTTTAAACTCTTACGATGGCTTCTCCGCTCATCATAAGTAACAGTCCACTTTAGGATGAAAAAACATAATGTTAGAAGGAACAAATCTTACACATAATGTAAAAAATTGTAAAACTTTATAGAAACTCATAAAAGGGTTGTTAAATACATTTTGGAATATGTAGATCTAGTTTATGTTTATAAATAGAAAAATTTTCTAATACAAAATAAAAATTATCCAAAACTTGATCTGCTACTCCAGTCAAATTGCAAATTGCCAAAAATAACCAGCTCCTGAAAAACAAAAACTAGTATCATATGACAAGAACTATTATAAATTCGTATCACTAAAATACTCTATTATTAGCACAATGGTATGACATTGACCAATGGAAGAAGGGAGAGATTAGAAATAAAGTGATGCACATACAAAAATCAGTATGACAATTTATATTGTTTTCCAACAAGAAAGGTGCATGTTCATCCACACATACATATCAATTTTAGGTGGATTTTGGATTCACGTATGAAAAGTAAAAATTTAAAATTCTTAGAAGAAGATGTAATAGGCAACCTTGATAAGTTTTAAAATGAGTTTTTTAAACAAAAAAAATTAAAAAGCACAAAAGCCACAAAGAAAATTATGATGAATTGAACTCGATTAAAATTATAAACTTTTATTCATCAAAATGATCATAAAGACAACCAGGAAAGATATTTTCAATAGATAAAACAGAGAATTAGTCAATATAACATATAAAGTTCTCCCACAAATAAATATAGAATAGATGAAAGAATTAGAAACAGAAAAATGCCAACAGTCATAAAGATGCATTTTACTGAGAGGAAAGATGGTTTGCCAAGAAATATATAAAAAGACACTAATCTTCCTTTGCAGGAAAATGATCAAATACCCTCTCACACTAATGAAACAATTATACTAAATATAGATGAGTATGTTTATCAATAGTCATTCTTATATTTTTTGACAGGGTTATAAACTGATACAATCTATTTGAAAAAATATTTGATATTATCAATAGAACTAGAATCCTCTCTTAGATATTGTAGCTAGAGAAGAGAGGAGGCTTGTGGACATTATCTTCTCAAGATTGACCAGAGGAGGGACTTAATAAAATAATACTGTGTATGCTCAGTATAATTCAGTCCAATTTATTATTAGAACAATAGCACCGGCTATGGTAGATAATACTTACATAAACCCAGAGAAATAACTTGCACATACAGTTTTAAAATTTTGGAAGACCTAGATCTATTTGACAGGTCTGATTTGCATAGAATCACAGAAGTAATGATGTTTCTTGTGGAGAAACATACAAAAAAGAATTTGGGTTTTGCTCAAGTCTCCTAGATGTAGTGTTTAGAAGTTTCTGAAATAAGGTGTATGTGACTGGAGTATGTATATCAACTAACCTGATTCCAAGTTGTATCAGATGACATGCAGCCTGCCTCATGTTCCAAACAAACCCTTTAGGAAAGAGAAGCCACTCTAAGGTCTGATGATTGATTCAGCAGAAGTTGATTTGTTTGTTGTTGTTTAGTTAATTAAAACAAAATCCCTACTTTAAGATACCTTCCAATTACTTTTAATACGTTTTATCTCAAGGAAAAGCCCCAAAACATCTGAAAGGAGGCAGCAATTTTAGAACAAGTACAATCGCAAGCCTCAGTATTCTCTAAAAAGTTATTATGTATGTGTTTATTTTGGTTTTACTAAGGCATTATTTTGGGTTTTTTTCATGAGTCATTATATAATGAACAAGATATTACTTTCAACACTTTTCCAAATTAAAAATATTGTCACTGAAATACTTGAACAACTATGACGAGTTACCAAATTTACTAAATTATACTTTTACAAATAAAATTAGACAACAGTTTGAAATTAAATACCCAACTTCCTTATAACCACTAAGTTAGTCTTAAATTGGTTATTTTAAAATGAACATCAGAAAATAACATTTGTACTAGTATTATATATTTGCACATTTTAGAAGCTCTGAAATTCTAAACTTTCCTGTGTTTACAAAAACCACTATTTCATTTTGCCCTTTACAACTTAAAATGCACTGGAAAAATCTGAAGTCCTATGTGTATTAATGTCTGAAGTCTAAAGTCTTGTATGTATTTTTTCAAACACTTATATAACAGATAATATTAAATATATATAACCAAGAGTAACCCCCTATCCATTTTTATTGCTTTTAGTAAAATAAATTTTCTCCATTAGCATATGAGGTTTCTGAATTTTCAATTACACTTTTTGTCATTACTGCCCTTTGTTTTAGTCTTGCTTTTTGGAATGCATTTTTGAGACACAAAAACGTTATATTTTCACGTCTTTCAAAAGTGTTCCCATGTAACTAGGATGGTGCTGATAGAAGGCTCATGTACAAAGAAAAATCAATCTACTTTTAATTATGATGTCTGAAGGGTTAAAATCTGTCAATAGTTTTTATGATAAGTAGTTTATAATTAAAATATAGTTTATGGAAGAAGAAAAGGATTTAGAGATTTTGAAGCATATCAAAATTTTTGAATTATTTCCGGGAAGTAACTCTTAATCACAAAAACAATCATAAAAATAATTCTGACTTTAATTTTGCTCTAGGAATTATGTCCTTTACAGCATATTTGAAAGGGTTGAATTCTAATGCTTATAACTCAAAATGCATTAACAAAAGGCAAAGAATTATCTCTAAAGCTTATTGCACCATAATGTTTTCCTGGGTTGTTGACAATATGTTCTGGTGAAAAGATTCATTTGTTTATGCTCCAAAGACTGATCATTCAAGTTAATTAAGCATGAAGCAGAAAACATCTTTGGAGCGCTTGTCTCTAGAACCTCTTTCACTTCTTTTGTGGTGATTCACAGTATATCCTGTTTTTGACAGTCGCTAGGTTGCTGATAACTAAATAGGTTTTCAAGTTTGAGAAGTTTATTGAGCATCTTGTCTCATGAGGCCAAAGTACCTACCTACTAAAGCTACCAGGCTGCTGTTGGTACAATGGAAACAAAAATTAGCAAATGAGGAGAGCAAGAGCAGAGGGGGAGAGTGGTTATAGGATTCTGTATTTTAATTGGGGAAGGCTGTCTAGAGAAATATTCTCCCTAATCTTTGCTGTCAGAGAATCTGTCATCACACCATGGACCAGATGGACTCCACCAACGTTTCTGTGATTCTAAGATTCCTAGCAGTAACCTTGAAAACTGCACAAACACTACTAGTTAACATCTGTGAGCAAAAACCCATACAGCCAAAACCTTTAATTAATTAATATGCCATTTGAGGTCCGAAGCCACAGACAGAAATATCTGAAGCTTTGACAGGGTCTTTAAAATGCTGTAATAATTAAATCATGCACATATCATAATAGAAGTTTCATACTCTGTCAGTGACAGAAAGCCTCCCTTTTTATAAGTCCCTTTTATACTGCAGACACTTACTTATCTTGATTTTCCAAAGGAAATGTATTTTCCAAGTTAACACAGGGACAGAGTCTATTCTACAGACTAACAAATACATATATTTTCAGATTTAAACATAGTTATTTATGAGATTCTTTCTCTTCCCTTGTACCTAAAAGGTAAATATTACTTTTTACTCTGAAAATGATTGAGTAGTTGAGTCTGGTATAGCTTGAAATGTCAAACAACCCCACTGTGAATTTTTGGAAGTCTGTGTATACTTTTTCTAGATGTTAAATTTTCAAATATATTGCATTCAATGTTCAATTAGCTTTAAAATCAAATGAACATGTAGATCATAACAGTTAACTTATAATAATATAATTTCAATCCTTTATAGTTCAGTCAATAAAATATATGTTCACTGCCAGAAAACCTGTGTGACTCTTATAACCAGTCCTGACTTTTTTCCTCTTAGGCATGTCTATAGTCAGAAAAATGATAGTACTATTGTTTCCTGAATTTGAAAATGGAAAATCAAGTAATTCAGTTCAAAATTATTTTCAAAATATTTCAAAAGTATTTCCACAATGATTTATAGGTCTATGTTTCTTTATAGCCAAGGCAATTGTAAAACAATCATAAAAATAATTCTGATTTTAATTTTGCTCTGGGAATTGAGTCATTTTTAGCATATTTGGAAGGGATGAATTCTAATGTTTGTAATTCAATTTGTGAAGAACTTTCTTTACTTGACTTTCGGTTGAATATTTTTCTTTATGATATTTTTCCTGTATCTTCTCCTTAATATATTCCTAATAATAATAATAATGACAAAACTACCAAATTCCAAATTTTAACAACAGTTTGATAAACTTCCCACTGACATAAGCAAAATATTCTTTTTCAGTTATTTAACCTCAACAGTAACAAAATATTCCCGGCTCTAATGTGTTTTTAAATATATGTCTTCACGTGAGCTTTAACATACAAAAAATATTCATGCATGTAAGTTTCTACTTAGACATGCTTATAGACTTTCTTAACTTATATTATTATTAAGTGGCTTTTAAATATTTAAACTATCCATTCCTTTTCCTATACTTCAGTGACTGTAGTCAATAGAAAGTCTCTAGAACATGTGGAGAAGCCCCCATGCCCCAGGCACACTTAAAATTGCTATGTAATACATGCGTATTTTATTATTTATTATGTCTACTACTTTATTCAGACCTATTTACTTTATTCAGGCCTATACTTTTGAGACTATATGAATTGTCTCCTATTTTGAGCAGAAGGGAGAGATGGAATTTTTTTTTCCTGTCTTTGGTACATGTTTGCTTGTGCAGGAATCAATGGCCTGCAGCTATTTATATGCTTTCATCCCTTATTTTGGTTATTTTTCTCAAAGCATTGGGGAAGATAAAAGGATTGAATAATTTGCCTTGGTGCCAAACCTCATTGACTGACCCTTAAAAATGCGTTGAAATTGAAAATCCTTCTAACCAAACTGAAACAGTATTTGAAAGAGAGTGAATATGGCATTGGTTTTTGTACCTGGAAATTGAGCTTTATGGCCATTTATTAATTTTACCTTTTCCATAATCCCATGAGAAGGAAGGATAGAAAACTGCAATTTCTAGAGCCACAATCAGACAATAAACGAACCGATCCATGTACAGTTTCATATTTTCATTCTGAGGTTGAAAGAATGGAAATGAAACAAATGGTTTAAAATTCTAAGAGAAAAATGGAAACTTAGTGATGGGAATCCAGAAGGATTTTATAGAAATTTGTGATTGACCTAAGACATTCAAGGGGAAAACGAACCTTGGATACTCTCTGTATCAGTGACTCTTAACTCTAGCTATTCATTAGAAAAAGCCTTGGGAACTTTTATAATATACCAATGCTCAGACACCATATCCCAGAGAATCTGGTAGAATTTATTTGGAGTGTGGCATAGGCATAGGTATTTTGTTCAAAGCTCATAGGTGATTCTACCTTACAGTCAGGATTGAGAATCATTAATCTAAATCAGAGAATAGGAATTATCTTAGGATCTTATAAAAACGAAGAATCTGACTCAGCAGGTCTGGGCGAGACTGACAGCCTAACAAGCTCCCACATGAGGTGACTGCTGCTGCCACTGCTACACATTTGACTAGCAAAGGTGCCACAGTACTGCTCTATGAGTTTTCATCTGTCCTCCAGAGAAGGTGCTATAGCAGGTGCTCAGCTTTGGTGAGTGCTCCCATCAGCTTGTGCATTTTTCACTGGAATTTTAAGAATGTTTCTTTTTAAATTTTACAAATGGACACTTTTAACATTTATCCCTCAAAGTATCAGTGTATCATTCAGACACATATTTTTAAAATAATTTATTAACTGATATGTGTTATTTGTTGGGTTCCTCAAGAAGAAGACAATGAGACTAAAATTAACCTATGGGAAATAGTAAAGGTTGTTCTTGGGAAAAAAAGAGCTGTGGAAAGAGAGGAAAGGAGAAAGTAGAAGTGGGCAGGGGTGAAGGTGGTCAGTGATGCAGTGTCAACAAAGGAGGCCTCTGTCAATCCCATGCCCTTCTCACTTGTTCCATGTTGGTACAAGGGGAGGGGAGATTATCCCCCAGCATTGAATAGTCATTGCATATTGGCTGCCCAGGTCAGAAATACGACTTTCTGTGAGGTGGCCACCGAGTGCTGTCTGACGGCAGTAGCACTACCAGAAGCTAAGAGAATAAGTCATTCAATCCTACAGGAGGATCTGGGCAGTGCAGCACAGAATCCACTAACGTCTAGTCCTCGTGCTGCTTGAGTATTCTTATAAACTGTTTCCTAATTTCTATAAAAGCTTCCTAATTTCAAATTCTTTGGAATGTAAATGAATGGCTGGCATCATATTTTTATCTGCCTTTGAAATACAAGAACACACTTCTGGGAGAGAAGTTTCTCAATCTCTCCTGAGGTCCTTAACTATTTATTCAGTCATCCAATTTCTATACTTGTCCTTTAACTTAAATCCAGGTATAGAAAAACTAAAAACAAAAACAAAATATTTACAGTAGAGCTTATCTTTGGAGGAAGGGAAAGACAGATATGAATGTGAGAGGATGCAGTTCATGCAAGGTTGAGATAGGCTACTTTTATTAAGGGAAACTTATATAAGAGGATGATCAGTGGGACAAACGACAGCTGTCATTGCTGCAGCTGCTATCAGAACCATCATGACTGGCACTCATGATCTCTGTTTTCCATTTTAGATTCTTCTCTCCCTCAAAAAGCACCTCTGCAGATCTCCATGGCTTGCGGGGTGCATAGTCCTTCATTCTGGAGTGATCTGCGCCCTGGATATTTTATGTACTTCTCAGGTTGTGGCTGCTATACACATGTATTTCCTATTAAAATTGTATGAGGAATTATCAAGAAGTGCCCAAGTGGATGAACAAGGTGCCTCATTCTTCACTATTGTATAGCAGCATCCCTACCTTCTGATCATGAGTCAATTAATGCAGCCAGGATAATGACCCTTTTTCTCATCTTCTGGTCTGCAAACACGAGGAGCCCCAACTTTCACACAGGTGTCATAGCTTATAATTCAGTGAAGATTTTTCTGTGTTCATGGTGAATCTCGTGAGTACTTTTAGGAAATAGGAATTCTAAAGCCTCAGAGCCCACAGAATATATAATACAAAGAATATGTATTCCACTGCTGCTGATGGTTAGTTTTTGATATCTATGTTTATTTATTTTGCCCCGAAAATAAACATGAAGCTTCTGGACTGGGGGAAGACTATTATTACAGTAGTAAGCACATTGGTTTCCTGTACCCTATTTCTCCCCTTCAAAGTGATGCAATGAGAGCCAGGTCTGCAAGTGTATAAAAGAAGATTTTTGTACCAAAGGCGAGGAATCCCAAAATTACAATTCTGGGAGCTTATGTGGGCTATAAACTGCCCAGCTGCTACCTTCTCCTCCAGAGATTGGGGATAATTTTATCTACTTCATGTAAACAAATCTTCTCTGGGAAGAGAAGAGGAAGTTTCCTAATTTCAAATTCTTTGGAATGTAAATGAATGACTGGCATCATATTTTTATCTGCCTTTGAAATATAAGAACACACTTCTGGGAGAGAAGTTTCTCAATCTCTCCTGAGGTCCTTAACTATTTATTCAGTCATCCAATTTCTATACTTGTCCTTTAACTTAAATCCAGGTATAGAAAAACTAAAAACAAAAACAAAATATTTACAGTAGAGCTTATCTTTGGAGTAAGGGAAAGACAGATATGAATGTGAGAGGATGCATGAGGGCTTCAAAACATTAGTTATAACCTATTTCTTAAGCTGGGCACACAAGTTTCATTTCACTTTTATAGCTTCTATACAGTTTAAAATGTATGTTGTATGTTGATGAAATATTATAAAATAAGTGGTTAATTTATAATTTAAGAAGACAATATCAGGACTAATTCTCCATGACTCATGTTGGTGTTTACTTTAGCAACCAGCAGAAATCTTGCTCACTAAGAGTGGGTGTCACACTCCTAACTTGACATAAATCTTCCACAGCTTGCCAATGCTTTCCACTAATTCCTCTGGAACCTATGGTCAGTTATCCTCATTTTAGCATTTATTATCCTCACTACTCTTCATCTAGATGCCTCAGTTTAGGAATCAACAAACAGCCCACAAGCAAAATCTATCCTGTTGCCTGTTTTGTACAAAAAGTTTTATTGAAACACTCATTTATTTACTTAATATCTATGGCTGCTTTTCTACTTCAAGAACAGAGTTGAGTAGTTGTGACAGAGACCACCTGGCCCACAAAGCCTGAAATATGTGCTATCCGGCTCTCTACAGAAACAGTTTGCCAATTCCTGGCTTATCTGAAACCTCACATTTCCTCAGGCCACAACCTCCACCTAGCTCTTTCAAGAAAAGGCTGTTTTTTATTTCCTTTGCATGTACCTCACAACTAGAGACAACAAAGGGGGTGTTGCTAACACTTCTAAACTATGTTTCCTTCCTTTGTTTTTCTAAAAACCAAAACATGAAGCACATGCCATTGCACTATGCACTCTTTTTGATGGCCATCACTCTTAAAGACCTCCCTGTCACTCTTCCTTACTCACCTCACCCGTGAGTCTAGCACCTGGATTGCTGTCAGCCAGTCCCACCCATGATTGTAAATTTGACCATGCCATCATTGATAACCCCATTAACTCACTTTGTATTCAGCTTAGATTTAACATTGCTGGCTTTGACCATGCCATCCCATCCTTTCATTTAATTTATCCCACAGCCCACATTCTAACACATCCAGTTCACTTTTCCATCCTCCATTATCCACTTATTCGCATTTGGGAATCTTGTTAAAAATGCAGCTTCTGATTTAGGGAGTTCTGAGTATTTTTTTTTTTCTAACCATCTCCCAGGAATGCCAGTGTTGCTGGTCCTCAGATCACAGTAGTAAAGCCCTAGATTTCATGGTCTATTATTTTAATAGAAGTTATGGGGGGAATCTGATCAGTGGAAGGTGGTAAGCATGACTTATTCCTGAGTGTGTAAAAGTGTTTCTCTGTTCTTAGGCCATTTGTGTCTGCTAATCAGTGCCTAATTAGCACACCACTGCACACAGTCAGGCAGAAACTGGGGCAAATTCTCCCTTTCTCTGCCATTTGTTCTGTTCCAGCCCTCAATAGATTGATGATGCTCATCCACATAAGTGAAGGCAGTTAGTTTCATTGAGTCCACCAATTCAAATGCTAATGTCATGTGGAAACACCCTCACACACACACCCAGAAATCCTGTTTAGCCAGTCTGCTAATTGATGTTAGATTCCTACTCTCTTACAGAGACTGGAAGATGAGGGCATTATCTTCTTAATGATTACATTTCAAAGGGATGGCTTCCACGTCTTTAAGAAAGTCATTCTTAGGTTGTAAACCTGTCAAGACATTTAAAATGATTTACATCTTAAAAGTTTTCTAAAGTAAATGCTCTAAGAAAAGGGAGATCAGGAGCCTAGAGTCAGGAAGAAGCTTGTCAGTTGAGCTGTGGAAAACTTTATGGCCATCTTGGTCAAATGTCTCATATTTATCACTGCTTCCTAATCTCTCCCCTATATATCTAAATCTCTCCCTTATCCTCCTTCCTGCACATGCATTATTTTTTTATCTCCACTTTAATATGTAGTAGGCCTTTCATACTTATTATGTCCAGTATTGTCTTATGTCCTCACCAATCCTATGCTATGAAAATCTACTTTTGTCTCAGTATTCCTCATCATCAGCAAATGTTACCATCATCCACACCAAATGCTCAACCAGAATCCTAGGAGTAATCATTTTTTCCTCTCTTTCCCTAAACCCTCATACCAAATTCAGCAGCAAGTCCTATTTGTGTCTATCTCAAAAATATATTTCTTATCCATCCACTTATCCTCATTTCTACTGCTACCGTGGATATATAAGTAACACAGGCCATTGCCATACTCTGCTAAACAGTTTTACAAGAATTGTTTAAAGTCTTTCAAACTGAGTGGTTATTTCAATATGGTATTCTGAGCTGAGATACTTGCATACAGGGTTATTTATAATCTTGCCTTTATGAAACACTTATAAAATATTAGCATTTCCAATAGTGTGGTTAACTTAATGATGCTGAGCTTTCCTAACATTATTTAAATAATCTTGTTATAGGAAAGGGGTATCGATCCAGACCCCAAGAGAGGGTTATTGGCTCTCACGCCAGAAGGAATTCAGGGTGAGTCCACAGTGCAAAGCGAAAGCAAGTTTATTCAGAAAGTAAAGGAATAAAAGAATCGCTACTCCATAGACAGAGCAGCCCCAAGGGCTGCTGGTTCCTCTTTTTTTATGGTTATTTCTTGATGATATGCTAAACAAGGGGTGGATTATTCATGCCTCCCATTTTTAGACCATATAGGGTAACTTCCTGACATTGCCATGGCATTTGTAAACTGTCATGGTGCTGGTGGGAGTGTAGCAGTGAGGATGACCAGAGGTCACTCTCGTCACCATTTTGGTTTTGGTGGGTTTTGGCCCACACCTTTACTGCAACCTGTTTTATCAGCAAGGTCTTTATGACCTGTATTTTGTGCTGACCTCCTGTCTCATACTGTGACTTAGAATGCCTTAACCATCTGGGAATGCAGCCCAATAGGTTTCAGCCTCATTTTACCCAGCTCCTATTTAAGATGGAGTTGCTCTGGTTCACACACCTGTGACATTCTCCAATATTTGATATCATATGACAAATTTTTATTTTCACTATAAGAATGAGTTTCAGTGCATTTGTATTAATTATTCCTGCAAGTAGTGGATAAACATGATTTATATATTTTTAAATAAAATAGCTCCTTCATTAATAAATTTATGTTTGTCTCAAAAGTCAATGCTTTCTGAGTCTAATAAAGGTTACTTCAACTTTGTCTATGAACCTTTTTTAAATAGAGGACTAAAATCTAGATTTCATTATGTGAAAGACATTATAACCCAAAGTAGCAGTATGTGATTACCAGCCAAAAGTCATTACATCCAGAATTTCTTCTTAAAAAGTAAAAAAGATTAGTTAATACAAAAATTTTATTATCAGCTTTTGACATAGATTGTTGACATATCTTATTGAAAGATAAATACTGTCCAGAAATCAACCTATTTCAAGTAATAATTTGACACCATTCCCATCATTTTTACTAGAATAAATTATTGTCTTAGTCCATTTGCATTGCTATAACAAAGTAACATAAAATATGTGGTTTTAAAATAAGAGAAATTTATTTTTTATAGTTCCAGAGGCTGAGAAGTTCAAGATGAAGGTGCCAGCAGATTCAGTGTATGGCAAAGCCTGACCTCTTGCTTTATAGATGGCTGTCTTCTCCACATTCTCACATGGCCAAAGAGGCAAGGTACTCTCTTATAAGGGATATAATAACTTGAGAAGACTTCAAGAAAATAAACTCTATCCAATGTCTTTTTCCAATACCTGCTATCAACATTTGACCATTTATCAAGAACATTTTGGTGAATAGACATAAATAAAAGATAAAAAAAAATGCTTTCACATATCGTTTAAGCAAAAAAACTAAACCAAACCAAAACAAAAACAAAGAAACCAAACAAAACAAAAAATAAAAAGAATGTCCAGGTTCTTTTTGCAATATTTTGTACAACGATGTCATTTTAGTTGAATGACTAACTAGATAAAAATGTTGTCTTTTCCTTTTTTCTTTAGAAATATATTATTTACTTGACATTTCTTTAATTAAAATAACTTATCCAGGATATCATTGTGTAAGACTTGTAGTTGATACTGGCTTATATGATCTATTTTACTATTATTATTAGAATCTGGAGAATTGCTATCTGTATATCTATCTATATATATTTTACATATATTTATATATACACATATCTATAAAATAAATCTATATTCATATGCTTATAGATACATGTATGGGAAATAAATCTTATATATGCATATATATATAATGAGATTTATTATAGAAACTGGTTCACATGACCATGGAGGCTAAGAAATCTCACAATCTGCCACCAGCAAGCTGGAAAGCAAGAAAGCTGGTAGTATAGTTTGAAGCCATGAGAGCTGGACAGTTGATGGTATAAATCCCAGTCAGTCTGAAGGTCTGAGTACCAGGAGCTTTGAGGGCAAGAGAAAAAGATGGATGTCCCAGCTCACATTTGCCTGAAACTGGGGCAAATTCTCCCTTTCTCTGCCATTTGTTCTGTTCAAGCCCTCAATAGATTGATGATGCTCATCCACATAGGTGAAGGCAGTCAGTTTCATTGAGTGAATTCAAATTCACCCACTTCAAATGCTAACCTCATGTGGAAACACCGTCACATACACATACCCAGAAATACTGTTTAGTCAGTTTGGGCATCCCTGATCTAGTCAGGTAGACACACAAAATTAACCATCACAGGAGATAATGAGTAGGTTAAGAAAAATCAACAGGAAGCAATTTGGCATAAAAGCTTTGATTCCACAACACAGCCAGCGTGGCTTGGGGTACAATGTTGGGGAGTATGGAAAGTATCTCTCTGTAACTGTTTTCTCGTGTGATATACACCGGAAGAAAAGAGGCATGTATAAATTTTGAAAACAGAATAAGCTATTAATAAATTCTGTAACACTTTATGGCCCTAAACAACATCTCTAATAAAGTAATGCAAACTACAGATGCAGTTATTCTCTCACCTGCCAAAGCCATCAGAGCATCATGAAAGTTGAGTATTTCAATAAGCACCTAGAGAAATCAGCAGAATGCAAACGTTCACGGTAGATCTTCAGCTCATAAAGCATGAAATATCAAACACTAAGCAATATCAGCTTATTAGAAGTGAGAGTACCTCAGTATTTAAATATATTTGTAAGTACAAATATGTATCCTATTTTTTTTATTTTTTAAATTTTCTTTAAAAACTTGGCATTAAAAAAATTCCAAATTTTTCGAGTATGTTTTATTTTCTATGACCACATTTTCCAGAGATATGCTGGCTTTACTCTTCTAATTTTTCTTTCAGAGGACCAGTTATTAGTTATTCATTAATTCTGCTTTTTTAAATCAATGTGTAATTTTATATTTATTTCATCCCAATTTCTTAAGTTTTCATAAGGTTTGGTTCTTTTAAAATATTTCAGTGATTAATTTAATTGCTCTCATCCTTTAGCAAAATATAGTTTAAAAGGCAGAAATTTCTGTGAGTAATATTTGGGCTGCATTGTGTATGAGTTTCAATGTACAGTGCAATTGCCTTTATTATTTTCTAAAAAAAATTAAGTAAATTTTATTTTAATCAAGTATATATAATGGAAACAAAGTACTATTTAAAATTTATTATTTTAAATTAAAAACAGGTAGATCATATAATCAATGGACACAAAAAGGACTGTCATTCAGTGCTGTCTACCCCAGGGCTATATAGTCCATTCTTTGATTCTTTTCATTTTCCTGTTATTACAATTTATGAGTGGTTTTATTACTTTGGCAATCCAGTGCAATTCCTGTCTTAATATACATTAAAGACTACCTAATAACTTTAAATCCAATTAGTTCTTTTCAAATGTTTGAAAATTATATCAGAAACTAGTAGCAAATTTATGCAAGAAGGCTAAATTATTTAAATGTTATCTCTAATAGATGCAAGCTAGTATTAAATTTAAATATGTTAAAATATAATATATTATCATCTGTAATACTTCCCATGTTGATTCATTTGGAGAGATGTTTTTAACGAATCACTGGAATTGATTAGAAAATGTCCATCTATTTAGGTGGAACATTTGTGTTTAGGGAGACATAATAGATGATCTATTCTACCACAAAGTAAGTCAGAAAGATTCTCTTCTGCATTGTCTTTTTCTGAGTATGGGGCTAATGCAATTTTCCAATGTTCTGCTGTGTATACTAGTGATTAGTCATTTATTATTTTAGGTACAGACCGGGGATTATAACAAGAGCACAGTTATATAAACAGTATACAAAGATGATGTAACTTTAAGTCGGTCACAAGGATTAATATCACTAATTTTAACAGTACTAATAAAGTGAACTATCAAAATATTTAAGATATGTAAAGTAATAAAAATATTTTAGTGTAAAGCAATATGAATAAAATATCTTTTTAAAAGTACATGTCTGATTGTTGAGAAATCTTTAACATTGTACATTCAATATTAATATCCTAGATAAATTAATTTATAGCCATTAATAGCATAGTTAGTAAAAACATGTCACGTGTCATGGTTACCTTAAGTTTTCAAGATAAAATCTTCGAATGCAAAAGGTTTAATTAAACTCGTTCATAGATATTGTATCATATGGCATTAAATTCATTTTTAAAAGGGAGGTAGATAAATTTCCTCTGAAATACCTTACAAAATATTCTTGATGTGGAACAAAATCCAAACAGAATGTTTCAAAGTTAAAAAAAGCTAATTACTGCTCCCTTTTAAGTCTTTTTTGAAAATATCTTTTAAAGCTTGCCAGACAAGCAGCAACTTGCCCAAAAGGGAAATGCAGAAATTATTCATAAAGTCACATTTTACATCTAGGAACATTTCCTGGAAATTAAAAGCTGTTTGGAGAAATTAAAAGGCTTTGGGGAAATGGGCAATGAATTGTAAACATTTTAGATTATGGAGTGAGATGTAATGTCACTTTCCATTTTAAACGAGGAAATAGTTTTAGAAAAGGTTTGAAAGAGACTGATCAAGATATACCAAATAAATATTTTTTTTTTTTTTTTTTTGAGACAGAGTCTCGCTCTGTCGCCCAGGCTGGAGTGCAGCGGCGCCACTGCAAGCTCCACCTCCCGGGTTCACGCCATTCTCCTGCCTCAGCCTCCCGTGTAGCTGGGACTACAGGCGCCTGCCACCATGCCCGGCTAATTTTTTGTATTTTTAGTAGAGACGGGGTTTCACCTTGTTAGCCAGGATGGTCTCCATCTCCTGACCTTGTGATCTGCCCGCCTCAGCCTCCCAAAGTGCTGGGATTACAGGCTTGAGCCACCGCGCCCAGCCAAATTTAAATAAATGTTTGTATTTGTGTCTATTTTCATGTTTATATTCATATTTAGGGCAAAATAATTTCCTCATTGAAAAACAAGAAAGGTAAAATTATAAATCTAGAAACTAAATAACTCCTGAAGCCATGAGGTCAGATTGATAAAAGCAATAGAAACCCATAGAAAAACATATTCAGGTATTCAGAGGGCAATGAAGGGAGAGGACTGTAATGGGAGTATCTACCTGCAGAAAACAGCTGTAAAACCTCAGCATAACATACGAATCAGCACCTTGAAGTCCATGAAGAATGAACAGAAGCAACAGACTCTGGTGGGCAGTTCATTCTTGGAGATGGGGGAAAGTATGATGCAAGTTTTCATTTTCTGTGGCTTCAGTTAGGAAAGGCATAACAGGACATAAATAGCTGTAGAATTTTTTTTGAAAACGATTTTATTTCCTTTTGGAACACATTTTTAATTCATAGGGGGAAGACAACAAAGACTGTCAACTTTAGGGCACTAGGAAAAAACAACTGCAATAAGGAGAAAGAACCAGAAAACACTAACACCTGGGGAGAGGGAGGAAAACATCTTGAGCCAAAGGCTGCAGCTGAAGCACGGCAGGAGAAATTGTGAAGGCCACAATCTTAATATTTAGAAACACAGAAACTGCCTAAGATTAAGGCATAATAATAAATTATCAGAAAACACCTCCACCATGCTCTTTATGACTGGGATAATGAATACAGAAGCAAATCTCATGGAGGTACAGTACAAAAGGAAGACTGAAAGTTGAAGACGGAGCTGGTACTGAGAAATTGTAAATTGGTCCCCACTCTAAACAATCCTCAAGCCAACTAGCCCCCATCCTAAACCAAAGGTTTTGCCAGAGGAATTTGAAGTCTGTGATGCACTGTGGGTAACTATAGCAACAAATTTCAAGCCCAGTCCAACCTCTGACTATAGTAATTCAGACACCTATACTGAAGGCCTAGCAAAAGGAAATATATCTATTTAACTATATCTAGTAAAAACAAAATGTCTTTCCAAAAAAAGAAGTAAAGTCTTTCTCAAACAAAAATGGAAAGAATTCATTTCCAGCCTACACTATAAGAAATATTAAACGAAGTTCTTTGGATGAAAGACAACAATGTAGACAGCAATACAGATCTGCACAGTAAAAAGAATACTAGCATAAATAATAGTTTAAAATTCTTTACTTATTTCTTGTTTTTCATTGCTTTAGAAGATAACTGATATGTAAGTTAAAAATAGTATAAAGTAAATGTACATTTATAGCATATGTAAAAGTAAAATATATGCCAACCACAATACAAAGATGGGAGAGCGAAATTAGGAATATACCATTGTGAAGTACTTATATGTGAAATATCATATTATTTGAAGATGCAGTGGTTAATCAAAGATGTTTATTGTATAACATAGGGCAACCATTATGATTTTTTAAATGTTGTAATTACTAACTTGATCTAATTGACATTTAAAGAATACCCAAAAATTGCAGATATACATTTTTTTTCAAGTGCAGATGAAGCAATCACCAAGATATGCTCTATTCTGGGTCATAAAACAATTCTTAACAGATGTACAAGAATAGAAATTCAACAAAGTGTGTTTCCAATAACATACTTAAACTAGATGTCAATTACAAAAGAAAAGCTATTTGAAAAAATCCCCTGAAAACCTGGAAGTTAAACACCATACTTCTGAATAACCTATGCATGAAAGAAGAAATATTAAATGCAACTCTATGTTTAACTGAGTGTAAATGAAAATACAACAGATCAAAATGATTGGAATGCCACTAGAGGTATGCTTAGAGAAAAATGTACAGCACTAAGTGTTTATTTTAGAAAAGAAGAAAAGTCTTAAATCAGTAATCTATGCTTCCATGATAAGAAATTTAAGAAAATAAACCCAAATAAAGCAAAAACATCAACAATTATACAGATAAAAACAGAAACCAAGGTAGGGTGATATTAATGAAAAGATGAACACATCAATCAATAGAGTAGAACAGAAAGCCCAGAATAGACCTCCACTGTCAACTGATATTTTTTTCTAGGTGCAAAGGCAAGTGAATGGTTAAAGGATACATCTTTAAAAGAAATGCTGCTTGAAAATTTGAACATCCATACACAAAACTGTGTACCTCAATTCATCTTATACCTTATCTAAAAAATAATTTAAAATGTATTACAACATTTAAATGCAAACCACAAAGTTATAAAACATCTAGAAAAAGATTATAATGAGAATATTTGTGATCTTGGATTTGGACCCAAAGAGTTTTTAGATAGGACACTGAGAGCATGACTCATAAATGAAAATATAAATTGTACTTTCTGTCTGGAAAAGACATTGTTGAAAGACTGAAAAGATAGATACAGCTGGACAAAAATACTTGTTAAATGCATATATTTCTGTCACATGACTTGCATCCAGAAATTATAGGAAACTCTCACAAATCAACAATTGGAAAATAAATAAATTAAAAATGGAAAAGATCTAAACAGAAACCACCAAAGAAGATATATGGTGGCGAATAAACATTTGAAAAGAGTACTTAACTTCATTGGTTGTTAGAATGCAGATCAAAAATATGACATAACACTACACACTCTATAGAATGGTTAAAAAAAAACAATTAAAATAAACAGAGAGCATGAAGTGCTGAAAACCCCCAACTGAAATATTTATATATTCTTAGATGTAAAGTGGAACAACCACTTTCAAAAATGGTTTGGCCATTCTTCATGCAATTAATCAAACATTTATCATATTATCAAGCAACCCTACTCGTAGGCATTTACCCAAGAGAAAAGAAAACTTATATTCACACACACAAAAAACCTATATGGCACAGTTACTAGCCACTTCATACACTCCAAGAATTGGAAACAAGATATCTTTCAATCAGCAAATGAAAGAAGAAACTGGTATATCTATACAATGTAATACTAGTCAGCAACAAAAAAGAATAGCAATAAAAAATCATTGCTCTGTAGTCTTCCATGCCATGACTATATAATAATTCAATCATATAGTTAAGGAATGATAAAAGTATAGATGATTTCCAGTTTGAACTTTTACAAATAATGTTATTTTACGTACATACGTATCTTGAGAAGATGCAATAAGAAAGAGAGTTAGTGGATCCATGAATACATGTATCTTCAGTTTTATCAGATGATACCAAACTTTGCAAAGTGGTTATGCCAATTCCTCAAGGGCATGGAAGTTCCATTATTTCATATGCTCAGGAAACCTTCCTATTGTCAAACTAGTTCATTTTTCCAATATGATGGGCATATTGCTCCATGTAATATTTTTTATTTGCACATAATAATTGCTAATAAAGCAAAATACCATTCCATACATTAACATGTCATTTGAATTTTTCCCCTTTATTCACTTTCCTACTAGCTAGGTTTCCTTTTATTTTCTTAATTATTTGTAGGAGCATTTTTTTAGTGTTCTGGATACAAAGTATTGGTCAAACTCATTTTACAAATACCTTTTTTGATTTCATGACTTGTTTTATCACTTTCACAATAGTGTATAATCTCTTGATAAAAAGCTTTTAATTTTTTATGGTTAAATTTACCCATCTTTCTTTTCCTGTCAGTGCTTTTTACTTAAAAAATCTCTTCCCTGTCAAAATGTAATGAAAATTCTTCTATAATATTATCTTAAATTTTAGACTTTTGCTTTTCAGATCTAATAATCTACCTTTTGTATGGTGTCAAGTTGAAGCCCAATTACATTTTTCTACATGCATGGATTGCCAATTGTTTCAGCACAATTATACAAAAAGGGTATTTTATCCCACTGCTTTTTAATGCCCTGTCTCTCATAAGTCAATATCTGATTACCTATTACTTTGCTTTTAGGGCCTCTAGGTTTTCTTTGGTTTCTTTGTCAATTCCTGAGTCAAAGAGCACCTATCTAAATTATTATATTTTTATAATAAATCTTGCTATCTTCTAAGTTACTTCACTTTGTTTTGGTTTTGGGTTTTTATTGACAGTTTTTGTTTTTGTGGGGTTTTGTTATTTCTCTAGTCATGCAATTTTGTAGTTCACAAGTTGTTTTACTTGGAAAAAAATAAGTAATAATATAGCAATGCAGTATAGGACATAATTTTGTAACTCAAAGGTGAAGACACTCCATTTAATTTTGTTTCAACTCACGAGTGTGTTGTTGAAATGGAGAATTATGTAGGTTTGAGCTGAGCCTAACTCCAGTCTGGAAAGGGGACAGATAACAGCCAAAGTGATGCGCTTTGTTCCACTTAAAAAACAACTGGCTTTTATCTTGGGTAAAATAAAACTACCATATCAGAGTTGAGAAATCCTTTTTCATATTTCATGTAAGATTAGTTGAAAAGTCTTCTCTCAAAAGCCTTTATTGACCTAGAGAAATAAGACTTTGTTACCCCTGAAAGATTCTGAGTTCTTGAGATGGTGGTGTCTACAGACAGTTCAATCATTTGAAGACCAAGTGATGGGGAAAAGCTCAGAGAGTATCAGGATTATTAGTGGTCTCATTGGATTGATAAATAAATGAAAGCTAGTAAATCTTAGGATGATGGCAAGTATGCATGGTCTATTGACAATTATGCTGAGGATCTGTATGATAATAAAACAGCTGACAAAAGTTTCTGAAATACACAGCTATGAAGTCTTTATATAGCAACAGCTGATGAGATTCCGAGAGGACAGCAAGGAACAGAGAAGCAGATATTTCCTGCTCAGCATTGTCTCTTCTGGAAAAATAGCCCTGGGTAGTGAGGTTGGCCACAGAACAAGAGATTTACTACCATCTCAATATCAAATGATTCAGAAGCCACCTGCAGTGAAATGACTGTCAGAAATGCAGCTGGTTCTGAAAACTTTATTCTGAAATTGTTTTGTGCCTTATTGATACCTATCAAAAAACATACTGATATCTACATACTAGTAGTGTCAACAAAACGACTCCATTCATTTGACAACATAAATTTTGTGTCTACGATATTCTTAGAAAAACATTCTATAATCATTCCTACCAAGGAAGAGAAACAAGGAAGTAATGACATCTAGATTTCAATTAACCTTGAAGTTCATTATCATGAAAAATCAAGCCACTGATTTTAGTAAATGGTTTTAGAAGTCCTACAAAGTAATGTTTAATGGGGTTGGTCCTAGGTGCTTGCTAAAGTGTGTTTGTGTGTGTATTTGTATAAATCCTTTGGGATCTTGTTACTATTAGAGATTCTGTTGCAGTATTCTGAAACGGGACCTAATATTCGCCATTTCCAACAAGCCCCCAAGATGATGCTGAGACCAACTATTCTGTGATCTGTATTTGGAATTGCAAAAACCTAGAATACAGAATGTTTTTCAACAGTGGGTAAACCTCAGAAACACCTTATACATGCCCAGATTTCACCAAAGAAACTGCTACAGTAAATCTAAGGGCAAAAACAAGCTGTGACAAATGTAAGAAATACTGATAGCTTAAAACATACATCTGAAGGTTATCTCACTTTATATCATTACTGTAAAAAAAATCCTTAAATCTAGTCTAGAAAATCTACTTTAGCATATACTATGAATACATTTTAGCAAAATTTCTCAAAAACTGGGAAAATAAACATCATATATCAGAAAACCTATATTGATTTTCAAATGTTATGTATTTGAAAATTCATTTAGAAACAATATTAAATTGGAAAATCATGTTATCAAACTTCCCATCATTTTACCTCAGCAAGGATCACATAATATTTTGAAGACTACTATCTATTTGACAAAACATTATTAAATTTCAGTTCATTGAGGTATTATAAATGAATCTCTCCTCAATTTATGGCCACCTCTGAGTTGAGAAATAAAGTTGTTTTTCAGGTATAATTTATTCATTGATTTTATTTTATATTATTTGTACTTCAGAATATAAAATAGATACCTAACTAAACTGAGATTAGAAATGCCATTTCTTTAGCATAATACTACTTCAGGCAATAAAAGGAAAACAAAACAATTGCCAAGTCTAGGTGAATTCTTTCTTCTGATCACGATGATACCTTGTCATTTTGTATGCTATTGCTGTGGTAGAATTTTATTTTTAACTTTAAACTTTTTTTTCTACTTTTTCCTAAACCTTTTACTTTGTTAAACTGTTTATGTCATATATTTAAAAATTATTTTTTATCACTTTATAATTTAATTTTACTTTCATTTTTATATGTAGTCAGTCATCTATATCTATGGGTTCCACACCAATGAATTCAACCAATTGTGGATCAAAAAGTTTGAAAAAAAAATGCATCCGTATTGAATATGTAAGACTTTTTTGGTCATTATTCCCTAAACAATACAGTATAACAACGATTTACACAGCATTACATTGTATTACAAGATGATTTAAAGTATACAGGAGAATATGCATAGGTTATAAGCAAATATTACACCATTTTATATAAGGGACTTCAGCATCTGTGGATTTTGGTACCCGCAGGAGGTCCTGAAACCAATTCCCCATGGACACTGAAGACTGACTGCATATGTGTGTGTATGTGTGTGTGTGTATAATATATATGTACTTTTATGTATATATTATACATGAGTGTATATATGTACAGTCTATACACATACATACAAATACAGTATATACACATATGTGTATACACAAGTATATGTATAAAGTAGTTTTACAAATATAAATAAATATATACAATATATTTATTTGTAGATATACAGAATAAAATATGGAATATTTTAAAATAAAATTAATTTGAAGAACTAAGTACATATTTAAAGAAGATAAACAATATCAAAGTCAAAATAAGTTCTCCTAGTCACTTCAGAGGTTTCTTTGTCAAGGTCCTTGTTTATTAAGGTCATAAATACTTTGTATAAGCAGGGCTAGTGACCATATGTGTGTATTTTCTAAAAGTATACCTAAAAAGTAATGTATCTCTCATCTTAGGTTATTTAACAATATTGTCATGTTGAAGCTTTAATTTAGTCTTTAAATATTTAAGTAATACATTTAAATGCATTCCCCATTAGTCATCTGTTAAATTATTTAATTGCTTATATATTAAAGCTAAAACATAAAATATAGATAAGGAAAACATTGAAATTTATAACTATTAATAATACCATGTAATTAAATATTCAGTTCAGTCTTACTCAATTTTTATGTCTAATTTATGACACTAAAATATAACAACACTGTGATAGGAGTCAATTCAAGCAGCAGATAATTTATAAATATAGTGTAAAGATCATAAAACTATACAAAACAAAATGGATAAGTGAGAAGTGCCACATTTTTTTTTCTTTTGACTTATGCTAAACATGCACCAACATTGAAGATGTTTATTTGGATTCTGCTGAATGCAGTATAGTCATTATTTCATCAGTGTGTTATTTCCATTGCATACTTTATGGCACCATATATAGCAAGAATGCATTTACATAATTATTGCACCAACAAAATTACTTTTAGGTAAATATATACAAATCACTTATCCCTCAAGAATAGTATTTTCATAAACTCTCTTGTTAAAATAATTTTCTAATTTCTGAGGGTCTCTGAATCTCTATACTTTTAATCAGTAAATAAAATTCACCCTTACTTCTGAACTCGACTATCTACAAATAATGGAATGAACTTTCAGTCTTGGTGCATAGAAATAATTACCATTTGCATATAGTTATTTTAGGGTATTTTGACATTCAGCTGATGTTATTAAATCTCACCCCCAGTATTCATGACACATCACATTATACATTGTTAGCATTAAATAAACTACATAATACTACTACTTTTTTCCAATTTAATGAGTAGCTCTGAGTCTAAAATGCTTGTCTAAGTAAAATTTAGTACTTATTTTACTGCTGCACCTCTCAGAGCCTGTAATGTATTAATATACATTATGAATTTTTTATTTTTTATTTATTTATTTTTTTTTTAGGTAGGTTCTCACTCTGTTTCCCAGGCTGAGTAGCAAGATCATGGCTCACTGCAGCCTTGACCTCCTGAGCTCAGGTGGTCCTCCCGCTTCAGCCTCCTGGGTAGCTGGGACTACAGACATGTGCCACCACATCTGGCTAATTTTTAAATATTTTTTGTAGCGATATGGTTTTGCCATGTTGCCCAGGCTGGTCTTGAACTCCCAGGCTCAAGCAATCCACTTGCCTTGGCCTTCCACAGCGCTGGGATTACAGGCATGAGCCACTGTGCCTGGCCATATGACATCTTAAGGGAAAGCTTTCTCAGAATTTCCTAATTATTTTTTGTCATGGAACCTTTGTTATGTAGAATCTCTCAAGATATTGTTGAGCAAAACTTCGTTTTTTTGGGAGCAGGTGACATAGAGTATTTTGCAAGAAATAAAAAGATATGAATATTTTTAAATGGCCACTCATCTTAATACATACTTACATGAGTATACATTCATTAAAAGGACAATATAGCACTTTTATAAAGCATACAAAATGGGATTCAGAAATGAAATTATATTTATAAGAGTTAAGATATAAAGGACCCATCAGATTATAATTTATTTGGCACCAATTAGAATACACGTTGTGGTAGAAAAAAGTTAGAACCAGATCTGGTAGGTCTGAAGGCATTTGGTTCTATTCTGTAGGATTTAGATAACCCCTAGAGGATTCTGTACAATGTTAGGCAACAATTTAAGGGACAAAGTTTTACCTGATGAGAACAGAGGAGTTAAGATGGCTAAATATGCTTGAATGTGATACATAAAAGGGTTAGGAACATTTTCTCCAGGTTTAATATCCTAGAGAAATGAAAGCTCAAGAGACACACAATAATTAACATTCAACTTTAGAAAGGTTATTGTATGAAAAATGATTCAATTTTTTTAAATGAATTGATAATAAGATGAGGTAGATTTCAGTTAAATATAAAATATTGACATAACTCTCTAAAGTTAACTGTTCAAAAGTGTAAAGAACTTCTTGGGGAAGTATGAATTACCCAGGAACTGGGAGTACTATAACACAGGCAAATCCATTATTTCTTTCTTAGATTCCGATAAGACAATACAAGAGTCAAATGAAATGTTGCAAAAAAAACAAAACAAAACAAAACAAAAAACCCAACAGATAGAAGATTTTTTAAAGTTAATATTTATGAGTCTGTGCTCTACTAATGAAAAAGCAATCTATTTTGTAATATGTGGATTTACATATTCTGAGATAAAGGAAATAAATTAGTCATACACTGGAGAAATTTGCCTCATATCTAGTTAATCAATGTATAAGTGCTGAATACATAATTAACACCAACATCCTAAGAAACCCAATGGCTCTGGGCTCTTGCCCAAAATAACTACCTTCTGTGATTCTACTTGACCTTTTATATAAAAAACATTATCTCCAGATCATTAGGTTTGAATTACTATTAAAATTAGTATAATTTTAAAACATTGGATGAATGGGAGGACAGTATAATTATCTCAAATAACAGGGACAAACATATTTTTATAAATGATTTTGGGACTACTGGATAGCCATTTGGAAAGGGATAAAATCAGATTCTATAAAGTTTCACATACCCAAGTTCTAAGAGAAAACATGCAGTATTCTTCTATTACCTGAATGTATAGGTAACATAATAGTTTAATATTATACAGCAAATACAGAATACAAAATATCTATTATAAATAGACAATATAAAGCAAAATACAGAATACAAAATGAGTATATTGATAAATTTCACTACACATAAATTAAAAAGAACATAGTTTTACATTGATAAAACACCTCAAGCAAAGTCAAATATAAATAAAAATTGGGGGAAAATGTTTGCAAAATATATCACATACAAAAGGTTAAATCTATGATATATAAAAATAAAAAATGTAGAAACTCCAGCTTCTAGTCAAAATGTAGTAGGATAGATCAGATTTACCTGAACAATTGTGACAAAATATATGGTACAATAGCATTCAAGATATTGAGCATCAGACATTGAAAGACAATGGTCCCTGAGGGACTGGAATGAAACTAAGTAAGCCCGACAGTTGTCTCAGGTTACAATTGTCCTGGAGAAGCTTTCTGAAGAGTCGTATAGGGAGGAGAAAACTGGGTGAATTACAGTGGTCTCTGTGGGTTGAAGAGATGGAGCTGGAATTTGAGGAAGCCAAGACAGCTTCATAGGGCAATTTTATAAGACAGAACACTGGAGAAGAAAGAACTGCACATAGAGTGAATATCATGTATCTGAAAGGATCCCTGTCAATATTCTCTTGAATATTGACCATTGCATTTGTGTATGGAAATTCAGATTGTGGGAAGGTTCACCTGAAAAGATTATAAGGAACGGAATACGGCTCATACAAGGCTAAACAAGATTACTGTCCTTACCTGCCTTAGATTAAAAAAAAAAAATCTCATCTTGCATTAGTAGTGGGGAAAGATTAACCCTAACCTAAACACAGCCCTGATTCTGCCTACTAAAAAGCAAGACCCACATGATCGAATTCTTTTCAAGTAATTTAATTATGTGCCAGAAAAAAAAGGTTCAAGAATATTTATACCAAAATGAAAAATAGTCCTCACATAAGATAAAATTCATGATGTCCATCACCTAATTTAACAAATGACCAGGAATGCAAAAAAGTAGGAAAATATAACTTAAAATGAGGTTAAAAAAGATCAACCCATTAAATCTGTCAATGACAACAAAATGTCAGAGATAAAAATACACTGAATAGGATTAATGAAAAGTTAGATATTACAAAGGAAAAGATTAGAGAATTTGAAGACACAGCAATAAAAATCCTACAAAATGAAACAGAGAGATAAAAAGATGGAAGGCACCTGAAAACCACAGCCTGTTGGCCAAATCCAGCCATGCCCACTTGTTTTCCTTTTGTTTATGGCCGCTTTCCCACTATAATAGCTGATTTGAGTTTGTGACAAAGACCGTAAAGGCCCACGAACCCCAAAATATTTAATATCTGTCTCTTTACAGAAATGTTTACCAATCCTTGTTCTAGCCTGTAAAATAAGGCAAATATGATAATGATAATAACAAACCATGCCATTTGCTTAGAAAAATAAAGCTTGTATTCACAGATAACATAATTGTCTATACAGAAAATTTCACTGAATCTATTAAAAAGCTACCAGAACTCATGAGTTATTTAGCAAAATTATTGAATGAAACGTTTAAATGTGAAAATCAACTGTATTGTTATATACTATCAATGAACAATCAGAAATATGCAAACAATACCACTTACACAGTTAGCATAGGAAATATTTAGAAGTAAAGCTGACGCAGATTTTCAATAGCTATATATTGAAAACTATAACACTTTACTGAGAGAAATGTAAAAAGACTTAAATGGCAGGAGGGTATTGACTGAAAAGGTTCACAAATGATCTTTTTTGGAGTAATATAAATATTCTATTTCTTGATAGCGGTGGTTGCATGACTATATATTGTCAGAAATCATCACAAAAATAAAGTCGCATGGCAAAAATGGTGAATTTTATTGCATTTAAATTATAATACAGTAAGTTTGTCTCAGACAAATCATGAAGAATGGGACAAAAATATAAACTTTAAAAAATATCCAAGATTAAATATATGAATGATGTAAACTTATGGTAAGGGACATGAAAATAACTATATTATAATATAATTTCTCATCTAATAAACATGCCGACATTTAAAATTTAACGAAGTACTCTGTCAGTTTGGCTGTAAGAAAACAGGTATTCTTATACACTGATGTTGGGAATGCAAAAAGCACCAGGATCACAGATGAATTTTACAATACATAGCATATGTCTGCCGGACTCCCTAGAAGCCCAGTGAAAATTGAAAGCCTCAGGCAACTTAAGAATTTTCTCTCTTTGAATGTGTTCCTCAAACCACACACACAATTCAGAAAGCAGAGGGTGGAAACCTTAATTGTTTAAAGTATCTGAGCATAGCTACATTTAAAACCTTGGCCTTAAAATATGCCCTCAACATTGGAGATCTCAACAGTAAATGAAAACATAGAGACAGCATACAACAGAAAAACAGATTTCGCATTGTGTGTCCAGAAAAGTTAATTACTTAATTAAACAAACAAATAAAAATACAGAAACTCTCAAAAAAAACAAAATAGAATCAGGAGTTGCTACATTATATTATTTAAAATATATAGTTTTTCACAAATTATTACTAGATGTGTAATGAGAGAAAATGATCACCAATAACAGAGGCGGAAAAAGGGCCAATAGGAAGGAATCTGAATGTCTTAGTATGCCCAGACATTAGATATAGCAATGACTTCAAAGCAGCTATTATACATATGTTGAAAAATTAAAGAAAAACAAAGAATTGTAGTATTGTGTGCTAAAAATCCGTGAACAAATAGGAAATCTCGTAAGAGAAATAAGAACCATGAAATAATCAAATGGAAATTTTAGAGTTGGTTAAAAAAAAAAAACAAAGCACAATGACTAAAAAGAAAAGCATTATCTAGATAGGACTGACATTAGTTTTGAGATGTTGGAGAAAGAATCATTGAACTAGAAGGCAGACCAGTAGAAACTGTCTAATCTCAAAAACAGCAAAATTATACTGAAGAAAAATAAAAGAATCTCAAAGATATGTGGCATAATATCAAGAATTTCATATTAAATGCAAGTGGAGTTTCAGAAGAAGAAAAATGAAAGACAAATCACAGGAAAAATACTTGAAGAAACAATGGCCAGAAACATCCCAAATTTACTGTAAAGCAATAACTTTCAGATCCAAGAGTAACAAATTCCACACAGAAAAATGCAAAGGAAATCACATATAGATCTGTCATAATACAACTGCTATAGAAACTAAAGTTATAAGATTAACAAGAGCAAGAGAAAATTAATACACACTTACAGGGAAAGAAAATTTTTAATGACATATTACATCAGAAATACCAGAGGCCAGAAGAATGGGATATGAAAGCCTTTGAAAGAAAAAAAATTGTCAAGGAAGGTTTTTATATCTAGTAAAACTATCCTTCAAAAATTAAAGTGTATAAAGATATTTCTACATTTTTATATGAATAAAAACTAAATTTGTTGCCACCAGACTTGTACCATGAGAAACGCTAGTGGAAGTGCCTTAGACTAAAGAAAAGTGCACCAAGGGTAACTTAGATTCACAGGAAGGAATGAAGACACTGCAAACAATAAATATGGAGATAATTGTAAATGTGTACGTACATTCTTCTTTTAATTTCTCTAAAGTCAAAAAAATTCAAAGAAAATATTATAAAACTATATTCTTGAATTTATATTATAATAAATGTGTAAAACATATCACAACAATAGTACAAAAAAGGAGAGGAAATCAGGTTATACTGGTACAAAGTTTTTACATTTAAAAAAGTAACTATGTATTTATTTGAAATACAGTGTGATAGATTAAAATGCATGCTACTTTTTAAGAGAAGCCAGTAAAAACTATGTAAATACAGCTAAAAAGTCAATAGAGGAATGAAAATTGTTTAATAAAGATATTTTAACACAAAAGAAAGCAGTCAAGGAGAAATACAGGAGCAAAGAAGTAATAAGACAAACAGAAAATAAAAAATTAAGAAAAAATAATAAATAATTACATATTTTAAGGCAAATATTGTTAGACTAGATTATAGGAAACATCCAACCACATGCTTTCTACAAGACATGCATATTAAAATCAGAGAGACTAAGGGGGTTTTCATCCCCTGCTACAAGTAGTCTTGTTACTTTTGTAACAGAATACAAACACAAATCAAAGGAGACATGAGTAAACTATATTTAAATAAGAAAATATAGACTTTAAAATAAGACAAAGTAGAAATAAAGATGGACCTTTTCATGACTACACAAGGGTCAATACAGCAGGAAGATATAACAATTACAAATATGCTTAACAAGAGAGCTTCAAAAATCTGGCAGCAAAAGCAAAAGAAAAAACAGAGAAATGATCGATTGTAGTTTAAAATTTTAATATTGTTTTCTTAATAATTCATAGAAAAAGTGGATAGAAAATCGGTAAGAATATGGAAGACCTGAAAACAATATCAACCTGCAAGACATAATAGACAGTTATATAACACTTTACTCAACAGCAGAAAAATATATATAACTTGCAAACACTCATGGAAAATTCATTGACATAGAAGATAAGCCAAGCCAAAACAAGTGTCAATAAATTTAAAAGGTTGAAATCACACATATATTACCAAAATCAATTCAAGAAGAAATTAAGAAATCTGGATATCTCTATATCAAATCAAGGAAAATGTAGGCTACAAGATCAATAAACACAATTGTATTTTCTGAGTTGCATTTCTATACAATAACAAAAACCTTCCTAAAAAATTAATGCAAATATTCCATTCATAACAACATAAAAATGAGGCAGTTACATATTAACAAAACGTATAAGACCTATATATTAAAAAATAAAAACTGCTAGAACTTAAAGAAGACCCAGTTAAATGGAGAGATGCATATGTCCATGAATTGGAAGAATCAGTAAATGTTAAGATATCAAGATGTCAATTTTCCTCAAATATATCTATAGTTCCCATATAATGCCAATCTAATTTCTGCAGCCTTTTTGCATAAGTTGACAAATTGACTCAAAAAGTTTAATGAAAATACAAAAGATACAATATATTCAAAATAATTTTGAAAAAAATATAATAATGCTGGAGGATCTACACCTGGATTCAAAGACTGCCTAGAAATCTGCAGTACTCAACATAATATGGTATTGGTATAAGAATACGCGTATATCCTTATATCAAAGAGACAACATAGATTCAAAGAAGAAATCCACATAAGGCCAATCAACATTTTCCAAAGGTGTCAGGTAATTCACTGGAGAAATGATAGTTGTGTTATTTATTTTTTTTCAATACATGATATTGGAATAACAGGATATTCTTGTGTAAATAAAGGAATATTTACTGTTTTGTTTAATGGATTATATTCTATTATTTTCTGATTTATTTTGATGTACAAATTATCCTTTATTTGACTTTCTGGAGCATTTCATCGTCTCTTTAGTATAAGCAATGGAATTGGAAAAATCCCCATTTTCCAATTGTTATAATAAAAATTGATCTGAGCAGGAATCATCAATTGATTCTATCTCTAAGGGGCATTTTTATGAGAAAACAAAGATAAACCCAAAGTAAGAAATATTTTATTTTAAAAACTGACTTGTCTTCCTCACAAATGTTATGGAAAGACTGAAAATACCAAGTTAAAGGAGACTAAAGGAACACGACAGCTAAAGTAGCATGTGATCATAAAGAAGGTCCTGCAGGGTAGGGGAAAATAATATTATAAAAGGGCAATATTGCTACTGCTAACTGCTTTGGGGTATGGATTATAGATTAAAGTATTATTTCAATATTTAATTTCTTGAACTTTATAATTATACAATAATTTAACAAATATACAGATAAATAACATTAGAAAAATATACACAGAACTATTAATGTTTTAAGACATAGTGATGAATCAAATATGCCAAATGTTTAAAAATGATGAGTCTGCGTAAAAGATATACTGGGGTTTTATGTATTATTATTACCTTTGCAACATTATTTGTCCATGTAAAATCATTTTGAAATATAAGGTTAAAAATAATAATCACATATAAGGTAGCAAAACATGCGAGATATTTCAAGAAAAGGCAATTTATGAAGAGAAAAAGTAAAAATCAGAATTTTTTTAAATTTAATGTAGGAAGAGTAGAATTACATCATATTAAGGAAGTGTGAGCAAAAAATATGAAAAACCTCATGAGAAAGTAAACATTATGTGAAAATAAGTTTGCTCCTTTTATTTTCCACAAGGCTAAGCAACAACCTGTGGGTGGGTGGATAATAAGATAAAGATAATAAATAATATAGTCAAAGATATAATTTTTAATATAAATATGAAAACAGTCTGCTAATATTTTAACCCTTTAAAAATACAAATATGTGGGATGTTCTTAAGTTATAGTTTATCCCCCAACACTGTGATAGAACAATACATCATTCATAAATTAAAAGATATGCATTTTGTGAGTCAATCTCAATAACCATCTGTTCTGTGAAATGGTTTGGAGTTTACACACAGGAACAATTAGTTTTTGATGCATTTATGCATATTTATGGTAATATTGTTAATTGAAGCCAAATATTTTAATCTTCTCAATCCTCAGTTCACCAACTAAACCATCTGAGCTTGGGTGAACAGGGTTCAGAACCAAAGAGAAAGGCTCTTAAATTTATGGGGCACAAATGGAATAAAAGAAAATGTCCCTCTGGTCCTCCAATATTCAGAAATTATTATAATTATCTTAGAATTATGACTGGCATTTAGCAAATTAATGAGACTTAGGTACATGAAATACAGTCCAAGGACACTTAAAATAGTAGAAAAATGTACCCATATTTTCAACTTTCTGTGCAATGCTCTTTTTATTTGACTACATTTTAAAATCCTGTGGATAAAATTATAACTAATATAGAAATACTTCATAAATTATATATGTGAGTGCATACATATGTATTATCATTGCAATTCACAGAAGTACTTTTATTTGGTCAAAAATGTGTTAAAAATCAGGGAAATAGAATAGTCAAAGCAATGTTGAGCAAAAAGAACAAATCTGGAGATAACACACTATCTGACTTCAAAATTTACTACAAAGCTATAATAATCAAAACAACATGGTACTGGCATAAAAACAGACACATAAACCAATGTAGCATAATTCATACTCCACAAATAAATCTGCACATTTATGGTCAATTGATATTCAACAAAACTGTGAAGGCCACACAATGGGGAAAGGACAGTATTCAATAAATGGTGCTGAAAAAAATGGATATCCGCATGCAGAATGAAATTAGATCTTTCTCTCACACCATATACAAGAATCAACTCAAAATATTTGGGAATCTCAGCACTCCATTTTCTGCATTGGACTTATCTTTGAGGCAGAATATCAACAAAGAACTATCAAACCTAATTTATTTGTCCTATAGACCAAATGAACCACAGACACATACAGGACATTTCAATAAACAGCTACAGAATATATGTTATTTTAATCAGCACATAAAATATTCTTTAGGATAAAATATATATTAGGCCAAAAACAAGCCTCAAAAATCTTAAATATTAAAATGATATCAAGCATTTTCTGACCACAAATGGAATAAAACCAGGAATCAATGACAAGCGGATATTTGGAAACTGTACAAAGACACAGAAGTTAAACAATTTGCTATTGAATGACAGTTGGGTCAATGAAGAAATTAAGAAATAAATCAAGAAGTTCCTTGAAATAAACAAAAAATGAAAACACAGCATATCAATACCTATGGTGCACAGCAAAAACAATGCTAAGAGGAAAGTTTATAGCAATGAACACCTATATCAAAAATGTAGAAATATTTCAAGTTATCAACCTAACAATGCAGCTCAAGGAACTAGGAATGTAAGAACAAACCAAATCCCAAATTATTAGAAAAAAAAGAAAGAAAGAATAAACATCAGGGCAAAACTAAACAAAACAGAGACTAATATCAATACAGAAGATCAATGAAACAAAAAGTTCATTGTTTGAAAAGATAAGCAAAATCAATAAATCGTGAGGTAGACTAACCAACAAAAAAGACCCAAATAAATAAAATCAGAAATGAAAAAAGAGATGTTACAATTGATACCACAGAAATATAACACAAAGGATTACTATAGAGACTATTATGACCAAAGATACATTAAAAAGTAGAAGAAATGAGTAAATTTCTGGACATATACAACTTATCAAGACTGAATCAGGAAGGAATAAAAAATATGAACACACCAATAATGAGTAATGAGAATGAATCAGTAATAAATAGGCTCCCAACAAAGAAAAGCCCATCACTGGATGGCTTTACTGCTGAAGCTACCAAACTTAGGAGAACTACTCAAACTACTTCAAAATATTGAAGAAGAGGGAATTATTCCTGGCTCATTCTATGAAACCAGCATTATCCTGATACCAAAGCCAGACAAAAACAAAATTAGAAATTAAAACTACAGGCCAATATCCCTGATGAACGTAGATGCAAAAATCCTCAAAAAATATTAGCAAACTGCTTCCAAAAACTCATGAAAAAGATAATAAACCATGATCAAGTAGAATTTATCCCAAGGAAGTAAGGAAAGTTCAACATATGAAAATCAACAAATGTGATATCAACAGAATGAAGGACAAAAACAAAAATATTTTAATAGATGCAGAAGTGTTTGATAAAATTCAACATCTCTTCATATTAAAAACTTCCAACAAATTAAGCATAGAAGGAACATACTTCAACATAATAAAGGTCATATGTGACAAACCTACAAATAACATGATACTGAATGTGGAAAAGCTGAAAGACTTTAAGAACTGGAACAAGACAAAGATGCCCACTTTTGCCACTCTTATTCAACGTAGAACTGGAAGTCCTTACCAGAGCAATCAGGCAAGATAAAGAAATAGAAGGCACTGAAATTGGAAAAGAGGAAGTCAAATTATGCCTTTTTGCAGATGACATGATCTTATATATAGAAACACCTCAGGAATCCACACACACACAAACACACACAAACACACACAAAACGTTTAGAACTGATAAACAAATTCAGCAAAGTTGTAGGATAAAAAGCATGATGGAAAATTTGTGGTGTTTTTATAAATCAAAAACGAATTAGCTAAAAAAAAAATTAAGAAAGCAATACTATTTGCATTGGCTACAAAAACAATAAAATTCCTAGCAATAAGTTTTCTAAAGAGGTAAAAAAATGTCCATAATTAAAACGACAAAACACTCATGATAGAAATTGAAGAGGGTAGAAACAAATAAAAAGACATCCTATGTGCATGGATCAGAAGAATTAATATTTCTAAATGACCATACTAGCTAAAGCAACCTAAAGATCAATGCAATATTTACCAAAATACCAATGATATTCTTCACAGAAATAGAAAAGTAATCTCAACATTTCTATAGAGCCATAAAAGACTCTGAATAGCCAAAGCGATACTGAGCCAAAACAACAACAACAACAACAACAACAACGCTGAAATTATCACACTATCTGATTTCAAAATATACTACAAAGGTATCATAACCAAAGCAGCATGGTATTGGTATAAAAACAGACATGCAGAGCAAAGGAAAAGAATAGATAAGCCAAATATAAATCCGCATATTTATAGCTAACTAATTTTTGACAAAGGTGCAAAACACTTACATTGGGGAAAGAACATTCTCTTCAATAAATGTTGCTGGGAAAACCATACTCTCATATGCATAAGAATAAAATTAGATCCCTATCTCTTACCATATATAAAAACCATCTCAAAATGGATTTAAACCTTAGAAGTAGGACTTGAAACTATAAAACTACTAGAAACAAATATAGAGGAAATGCTTCAGAATATTGGTCTAGACAAAAAAAATTGGCTGACATTTCAAAAGCAAAGGCAACAAAAACAAAAGTAGACAAATGAGAGTATATTAAATTAAAAAGCTTCTGCATAACAAAAGAAACAACATAGTGAAGAGACAATCTGTAGAAATGGAGAAAAAAAATGGCAGATGATTTAGTCCCTAACAAGGGACTAAAACCCAGAATATACAAGGAGTTCAAACAACTCAAGAGCAATAATAATAATTTTAATAATCCCATTAAATGGGCAAAGACACTTCTAAACAAAAGACATACAGATCAGTAAGTATACGAAAAACAGATGCTCAACATCACACATTATCAGGGAAATGCAAATCAAAACCACAATGAGATATCATCTCATTCCAATTAAAATGGCTATTATCAAAAAGATAAAAATAACAATATAGCATGGAAATTTCTCATAAAACTAGAAATAGATCTATTATATGATGCAGTAATCCCATTACTGAGTATTTATCCAAAGGAAAGATAATCAGTATATCAAAGTGATACCTGCACCCCATGTTTAATGCAGCATATTATTCACAATAGCTAAGATACACAATCAAGAGTCCATCAATTAGATAAAGAAAACGTGGTATATATACATAACGGAATATTATTCAGATATAAAAAAGACTGAAATTCTGTCATTTTCAGCAACATGGATGAAACTGGAGGTTAACATGCTGAGTGAAATAAGCCAGGCAGAGAAATACAATTATTGCATTTTGTCATTCATATGTGGTATCCATAAAAAGTTGATCTCATGGAGGTAGAGAGTAGAATGACAGTTACCAGAAGCTGGGAAGGGTGGTGGGAATGGGAAAGATAAGGAGAAGTTGTTTAATATGTACAAACATACAGTTAGAATAAGTTCTAGTGTTCAATAGCAAAATAGGGTTAACTATAACTTACAATAATTTATTGTATATTTCAATATCGCTAGAAGAGAAGATTTGAAATATTCCTAACATAAACTAATTATGAATGTTTGAAGTGATGGATATCCTAAATATCTTGATTTGATCATTATATACTGTATGCATGTATCAAATGCATGAATGAATGGATAAATAAAATCTGGTATATATATATATATATATATATATGTATATATATATATATACACCTCTCACTCTCTATATATGTATATGTACATAGAATATATATATATAGAGAGAGAGAATAGAATACTATTCAGATATAAAAAAGAATGAAATCCTATCATTTTCAGCAATATGGATGTAACCAAAGGTTATTATTTTAAAATTATTATTAAATATTATTATTATTAAAACAAGCCAGACACAGAGAGACAATTATCATATGTTCTAATTCATATGTGGGAATATCCACTGTGAATATTTATCCAATTTTCTTTATCCATTTATCAGTTGATGGAAACTTAGGTTGATTCCATATCTTGGCTATTGTGACTAGTGCTGCAATAAATATGGAGGTGCAGGTATCCCTTTCATGTACTGATTGTCTTTCCTTTGAATAAATACTCAGTAGTGAGATTATTGGATCATATAACAGTTCTAGTGTTCAATAGCAAAGTAGAGTAAATATAATTTATAATAATTTATTATATATTTCAAAATAGCTAGAATAGAAGATTTTAAATGTCCCCAATATAAACTAATGATAAATGTTTGAGGTAATGGATACCCTAAATATTATATCCTGATTTGACCATTACACATTGCATGTGTAATGGTATCAAAATATCAAATATACCACATAAACATGTAAAATTATTATGTGCCAATAAAAAACCTATTTAAAATGGATTAAAGGCTTGCTTTCAAGACTTGAAACTATAAAACTACTAATAGAAAACATAAAGAAAAAGCTCCATGACAATGTCTAGACAATGATATTTTTAATATTACTCTAAAACCACAGGCAATAAAAATGAAAATAGGCAAGTTAAACTACATCAAACTAAAAACCTTCTTCACAACAAAATAAACAATTAGTAAATTAAAAAGACAACATATGGGATGGGAGAAAATATTTACAAACCACAATCTGAAAAGGGGTTAATGTCCAAAATATATAATGAACTCAAACAACCCAATAATAACAAAACAAATAACCCCATTTTAAAATGGGAAAAGGATCTGCATAGACATTACTCAAAAGAAGACATACAAGTGGCCAATAGGTATATGAAAATATTCTCAATATCATTAATAATTAGGGAAATTAAAACCACAGTGAGATATCACCTCATACCTGTTAGAATGGCCATTATTAAAAAGATGAAAAATAAATGTTGACAAGATGTGGAGAAAAGACACAGTGTCCCACCAAAGGAACACTGATGGAAATTACTTGTAAATTATTACAGCCATTGTGGAAAATAGTATGGAGATTCCTCAAAAAATTAAAAATAAAGCTACCATATTATATCAATCAATCCTCCTACTAGGTATGTAACCAAAGAAAATGAAATCGATATGTTGAAGAGATATCTGCTTTTTTTGCTTTCATTGCAGCTTTATTCCCAAGAGCCAAGATAAAGAATCACCTAAATGTCTGTTAGGTAATGAATGGATAAAGAAAACGTGATATATACACCCCGTGGGATACTATTTAGTGTTAAAAAAAGAAGGGTCTCCTGCCATTTTCAACAACATGGATGAACCTGGAGGATATTGTATAAAGTGAAATAAACCAGGCCCAGAAAGACAAATACTGCATGATTTCACTTACATGTGGAATCTAAAAATGTCAAGTTTATAGAAGTAAAGAATAGAACTGTTGTTACCATGGGCTTTGGGAAAGAAGGGAGTGAAGAGATGTTGGTCAAAGAATAAAAAATTTCAATTAGATAGGAGGAATAATTTCCAGAGATCTATTGTACAACATAGTAACTACAGTTAATAACAATGAATTTTATTCTTGAAAATCACTGAAAGAGCAGATTTTAAGTATTCTCAACACAAAATAAAACGGTAGCTATATGAGGTAATGCATATGTTAATTAGCTCTATTTAGCCATTCCACAGTGTATTCATATTTCAAAATGCCACAATGTACATCATAAATATATACATTTTTAATTGTCAATTTTAAAAAATTAATTTTTTAAAATTAGGAAAATAATTTTTAACATTTCTTATCAAGGTAATACAGGAAAAATTGAAATAGATTAAATCCCCATTACAAAATATTCACATTTCAGATGATCAAATTTACATAGCATGTAAACTCCTAGAGTTATAGAGCAAAAGCATGTTTTTCTTCATAGTGGAGCAAAATTCTTTATTTGAAAATCAACTCTTGATGTACTATTAGACCCTAGTATAGACTGACTAAGGAGCACTAAATAACCTGAAGCTTATCATGAGCTGGTGTTATCACAGCTACCAAATCACAAGAGTGAGTGTACATAGCCAAACAACAACAATAACAACCAAAAAAAACAAAACAGAATATGGTGAAAGTTATTTACTTATAATTGGGCTTAATCAGGTCCAGAAGGCAAGTCTAGTTGACCTACCCCGGTGGCGCTAATGCCTCTCAGTTCATAACCTATGGCCTTATGGTTGTTTCCTATGACCAGCTGACTTAAAAGGACTTGAGCCTGGTGTATCAATGCAAAACATTGGTTGAAGCCAGAAATGGATTGCTGCCCTTAAGGGTAGTCCAGGAGGAGAATAATGAAGGAAAATTTTTTCCAGAAGGCAGAACTGCAAGCAGTACACTTGATTATAGACACATGGAAAAATTGTTGGCCTGCAGTATGGGTATATATTGATTCTTGGGTAATGAGGACAAGCTTGGCTAGTGGGCTAACCATCTGAAAGCACTAACACTGAAGAATCGGGGATAAGATGTCTAGAGAAGAGGCATGAATGTGTGTATCTTTATATCTCACATGATACCAACTAGAGAAAATATGCATTAGAAAAGATGGAAAAAATGGCCTGTCTTGAGGATGTGACAGACATACTCTCATCAGCTACTCCAGCAATTGCACGATGGGCCCCTGCTTTTGCAAAAACAGTGGTTATGGATGACCTAATAGCATAAGTTTCCTCCAGGTTGATTTAGCTATTGATACTACTGAATAAGCCACTTGCCAGAAGCCAAGAATTATTTTGACTTCCTTACATGACACCATTCTTCATGAAGGTCATTCAGCTACCTGGTGACAAGTCAATTAAGTTAAACTCTTTCAACCTTAAAAGATTCAGTGAAATTTTCTTAAAGAATTGATAAACACTCCAAATATGATCTTGCAGATCATCCAACAATACAAATAAAAAGCCAAAATGCCATCTAAAAAAAAAAAAAAGAAGAAGGAGAAAGAAAGTTCTAAAATGAGTGATGGGAAAGGGAAATAGTAAATAATAATTATGGCGAAAGGTGTAGTTGTAGCTTTGTTTTCTAATCCTCATTAGTCTTTTCAATAATATTGCAAATAGCTTTAACCCTGAATGATTAAGCTTGCAACAAATTTACAAGAAATAAATGAACAACACTATTAAAAAGTGTGCAAATGACATGAACACTTTTTAAAATTAGACATACATGTGACCAATAAGCATATGAAAAAAAGCTCAACACCACTGATCATTAGAGAAATGCAAATCAAAACAACAATGAGATGCCATCTCACACCAGTCAGAATGGCTATAATTAAGAAGTCAAAAAATAACAGGTGCTGGCAAGGTTGAAGAGAAAAAGTAACAATTATACACTGTTGGTGGGAGTATATGTTAGTTCATCCACTGTGGAAAACAGTGTGGCAATTCCTCAAAGGCCTAAAAACAGAACTGCCCTTAGACCCAGCAATCCCATTACAAAGTATATACACAAAGGAATATAAATTGTTCTATCATAAAGACACATACTGTGTATGTTCATTGCAACACTATTCACAATGGTGAATAGACATGAAATCAACCTAAATGTCTATCAATAGTAGGCTGGATAAAGAAAATGTGGTATCTACACATCATGAAATATTATGCAGCCATTAAAAAAACCATGATGGAGCTGGAGGCCATTTTCCCTAGCAAACTAAGACAGAAACAGAAAACCAAATACTACATGTTCTCACTTATAAAAGTGAGCTAAATAGTGAGAACACGTGGACACATAGAGGGGAACAACAGGCACTGGGGCTTATCGAGGGTGAAGGGTGGGAGGAAAGAGAAGATAAGAAAAAATAACTAATGGGTACTAGGTTTAATATGCAGTTGATGAAATAATCTGTACAACTCCCCATAACGCAAGTTTACCTATATAACAAACCTGTACATGTAGCCCTGAACATAAGTTAAGGTGAGCACCACCTCTTCCTATTTCATAACTCTAGATCTGGGTATCATAGGAGTATGAGAAAGAATCCAAGTGGCCCATGGGGTGAATTGTATCACATGAAACACATGTAACTCTCCTGATTTATTTGATTGTACATGGTTCCTGATCCCCAGGCATTTGTTCAATGGAGTGCTCCAACTGCTATTACTTTTATAATATGGTTTGGCTTTGTCTCCACCCAAATCTCATCTTTAATTGTAGCTCTCCAAATTCCCACATGTTGTGGGAGAGACCTGGTGGAATATAATTGAATCATAGGTGTGGGTCTTTCCCATGCTATTCTTGTGATAGTGAATAAGTCTCACGAGATCTGATGGTTTTAAAACAGGAAGTTTCCCTGCACAAGCTCTCTTCTCTCGTCTGCTGCCATGAGAGACATGCTTTCACCTTCTGCCATGATTGTGAGGCCTCCCCAGCCACATAGAACTGTGAGACCACTAAACCTCTTTCTTTTGTAAATTTCCAAGTCTTGGGTATGTCTTTATCAGCAGCATGAAAATGGACTAATATATTTGACTTCACCTGTTAAGATTCATGGATAATTCAGGGTTTCCCACAGTGAGGGCTAGGCTCTGATAGAGGATTGACTGCCCCAGTTAAGCAAAAGCTCCAGCAACTATGGCACCAAAGCTTGGACTAATACCACCAATAGAGTCTTTGGCTATTCCTACAAACCTCAGACTCAAATGGTATGCCCTGTTGATGGCTATGATTGAGGATTCTTCAGCAGCTGTCCAGTAGGCTGAGGCAATACCATCTGGAAGGGTGAGGAAATAAATGCCCTTTGGGCATATTTTGATTAATGAGAGACAACCCATGGGAAGGATCTACAGGATTAATTCCTCTGTTTTGCTCTCCATAGGGGATTATTTTGAGGTACCATAGCTCCATATGACCTAACCAGAGACCTTTGCATGATTTAGAGAGCAGCTGTGTTTATACAACTGTAACCATCTTGGGAATACACCAACATTTATTTGCTTTTCTTCTTCTTCATTTCTTTTTTCTTTCACTATTGGTTCCCTGAGTTTGCACTTCTCAGTTTGGCATTACTACATAGTTTCTGCTTTTGAGAACCCAGACTAACACATTGGCATAAAATAAAATTTCTTTGTTACGCACTTTAAAAAATTATATAGGTTTTTTAAGCAAAAATGGATTGACTACTCTACCTTAGCTTTAGAATGATAGATGATTCTAATTAGGTATTTCTGCAGGAAAAAAACCCTCCAAAACTGAATGACTTAAAGAAAGAATTATTATCTCTCATGGGTCTGTGAGTTGATTGAGTTCAGTTGGATGATTTTAACTTGGGTTTCTTGTATGATCATAGTCGATATCAGCTGGAGATGTAGTCATCTGAAGGCTTGACTGTGATGGATTTACAAGATGGCATAGACAGAATGTCTATACATGGCCCCCAGTAGCTTTGGCTTCTCATAATGTGGTGATTAGGTATACAGAGGAAACATCGTAATAGTGAGAGTTCCATGAGGCAAAAAGCAGAGGCTTCCACAGTGGTTAAGGGGTTTGCTGGAAACTGACACATTGTCTCTCTGTCCTATCCTGTTGGTCAAAGATGTAACAAGTTCCAACCAGATTCATGAGAGTAGAGATATAAACTCTGCCTCTTGATGGGGGAATAACATGTACACATGGCTTTATAGAGAGCTTGTGGGATAAGAGATGTTGTCACCAATGCTGGAAAATGCATTCTGTTACAATGACATTATCACTTACTAACATAGATAAGGACAAAAGACAAGAGAGGGTGTAAAGCAATACTTGAGTAGTTTCTCCTACTGTTGACACTTATAACAGGAGCAGGCATTTTCTTTCCTTTATAGATCTACTTATTCAGAGAAAAAATTTACTTTTTGTCTTATTGAATGTATACTTTTTCCTAATCTTGCAATTCTCAACTGCATTTCATGGCACTTCCTGTACTATCTAAAGTGTTACCACTTTGTTTGTAACCTTATCATGTGATAATGCAGGTTTTGCTTAACTAAGTCCATTGATGAGTTATTCACCCCTAATAGAGATGAGTTTGAATAAGTATATTGAAAGATCAGGACAAAGACTGCAATCACAATGCATTTTTAATTTTTCTCTTGATGAATTGTTTAAATCCTTGATTTGGGCTAGCTGTTTATCCCTGAATGAAAATTTTACACAGTACTCAGCTCTTATATTTTACAAAATAAAAAGTCTTCTAATCACTTTAGTTTCTGATACAGTCAGTCCCTTATAAGAATTTAAGGTGTCTAGCCATTGTGAAAATCACAATTTCCAAATTTCATTCACAATTGTTCTCCTTTAGTTTATACCTGTGAAAGTCAAAATTTAGAAAATCATCATAGTGATTTCTTTATTTTCTCTCCTGGCTTCTATTTCCCTCTTTCCTCAGATTGCTGGAACCTGAGTTTCTGATCCTTCTGGCTTGAGTCAAAGATAGGGGGCAGGAATAATATTACTTGACTTGTACTGTTATGAGCTAGCCTCAGGTATTACAAAGCTGAGAAAACTGCCATAGAGAAATTTTTTGGGTTATGTATAAGATTCTCTTTGCCAGGGATCTCTTATAGGCAGGATCATTGTTGTATGTAATGTGACTTGTTGCGGGAAGTCAGGGACCCCGAACAGAGGGACCAGCTGGAGCTGCGGCAGAGGAACATAAATTGTGAAGATTTCATGGATATTTATCAGCTCCCAAAATTAATCCTTTTGTAATTTCTTATGCCTGTCTTTACTGCAATCTCTGAACATAAATTGTGAAGATTTCATGGACATTTATTGGTTCCCAAATAATACTCTTACAATTTCTTATGCCTGTCTTTACTTTTATCTCTTAATCCTGTTATCTTCATAAGCTGAGAATGTATGTCACCTCAGGACCAGTACTGTACAAATTGATTGTCAAACATGTGTGTTTGAACAATATGAAATCAGTGCATCTTGAAAAAGAACAGAATAACAGTGATTTTAGGGAACAAGGGAAGACAAAGATCTAACTGCCTGTGGGGTCGGGCAGAATAGAGCCATATTTTTCTTCTTGCAGAGAGCACATAAATGGACGTGGAAGTAGGAGAGATATTGCTGAATTCTTTTCCCAGCAAGGAATAATATTAATAATTTTTAATAATTATTAATATAATTAATACCCCAGGGAAGGAATGCATTCCTGGGGGAGGTCTAATTAACAGCCTCTCTGGGAGTGTCTGTCTTATGAGGTTGAGATAAGGACTGAAATACGCCCTGGTCTCCTACAGTACCCTCAGGCTCACTAGATGGGGAAAACCCCACCCTGGTCAAAGTGAGGTCAGACCGGTTCTCTGCTCTTGAACTCTGTTTTCTGTTGTTTAAGATGTTTATCAAGACAATACGTGAACATAGACCCTCATCAGGAGTTTCTGACTTTGCCCTTTGCCTTGTGATCTTTGTTTTGCCCTTTGCCTTGTGATCTTTTTGCCCTTTGAAGCATGTGATCTTTGTGACCTACTTCCTGTTCTTGCACCCCCTCCCCTTTTGAAGTCCTTAATAAAAACCTGCTGGTTTTGCTGCTCAGGTTACATCACGGACCTACTGATATGTGATGTCACCCCCGGTGGCCCAGCTGTAAAATTCCTCTCTTTGTACTCTTTCTCTTTATTTCTCAGACTGGCCAACACTAAGGGAACATAGAAAGAACCTATGTTGAAATATTATGGGGGCTTCCCCCAATAGTGACTCCTCTGCTTGGTTATTTACAGTAATACTTTCAGCCCATGGTCAATCAGAGATGTTTTTCTAGATCCTTCTGCTGAAGTTTCCTCATGCTTCCATGTTGTTCAGGACTTGAGAATATAGAAGTCAAGTTCCAATGTGGCCTACACAGTTTCATAGCAAATAGCACCTTATGGCCCACTATCAGTGTTACTATAGATACTTCCTGACGATAGTCTTTTATTTTGTCACCATGGATTATAGAAGCCAGCCCCTTGTCATTCAGATTCTTGCAACCACTGTCCATGGTGTCTCCCAAACTCCCAGTTTTTTTTTTCAATTTGGCATAAAATTAATAATAGGAATTGAGACTAATATTCTGACTCCTCCAGATTAATTATGTGTCCGCTGCACAACTTTTCAACCTAAATTATAACTAGGTAGTCAACTATGATTCACAAAACCCTCTCTTAGTTATCTCCTTTGCAAGTGCTGTTGCAAGTCCTGCTTAGGATTCAGCACTTTCCTTTGCTTTGGAAAGTGAAAATTCTTGTTATCTATGGTCTTTTTGTAAAAGAGATCCAAGACTTCTTAGCCTTTGCTCCTAATTCTAAACTGAGGGAGAAAGTCCCAAATATTAATATCTTGTAAATGGAAAGATAGGGAGAAGAGAGACAGAAAAAAAAAATCAACATTTAAATGAAATGTCTCAAATTCTGTCCTCTAAGTCCATCTTCACCAAAAAGAACCACCTGATGATGCTTACTGTGGTATACCTCACTATCTTTGATTAGAGGAAGTGAATGTTAAATAGTAGATACATATATTCCAGTTGCAACAAACATATTATAAAGTACATGTTGTCATTATAATTTATCTATCAGTTGTGTATAATTTGGTTGCCTTATTGTTTAGCCTTCCTATTTGATATGCACTAAATGAATTCTCCCTTAGAAAAACACCTTTAAGTATCTCTGTTTTGTAAATGTTAATGTTCATATACTTGTCAGCAGAGGCATCTTCTTTTTTTTTTTTTTAATGGAGTCTCACTCTGTCATGTGCAGGCTGGAGTGCAATGGCGCAATCTCGGCTCACTGCCACCTCTGCCTCCTGGGTTCAAGCAATTCTCCTACCTCAGCCTCCCGGGTAGCTGGGATTACAGGCACCCACCACCACGCCTGGCTAATTTTTTGTATTTTTAGTAGAGACAGGGTTTCACCATGTTGGTCAGGTTGGTCTCGAACTCCTGACCTCAGATAATCCGCCTGCAATGGCCTCCCAAAGTGCTGGGATTACAGGCATGAGCCACCGCGCCCGGTGACAGGCATCTTCTATTATATAATTAAATTATATAACTTTTCTATAATATCAAGTAATTTTTTTTTTTTTGAGACAGAGTCTCGCATTGTCACCCATGCTGGAGTGCAGTGGCACGATCTCGGCTCACTGCAACCTCCGCCTCCTGAATTCAAGCGATTCTCCTGCCTCAGCCTCCCAAGTAGCTGGGATTACAGGAGCTCGCCATCCCACTCAGCTATTTTTGTTTTTTTTGTATTTTTTTAGTAGAGACGGGGTTTCACTATGTTGGCCAGGCTGGTCTCAAACTCCTAACCCTGTGATCCACCCGCCTCAGCCTCCCAAAGTGCTGGGATTACAGGCGGAAGCCACTGCGCCCAGCCAATATCCAATAAATTTTTAAATATAATGCGTATGGTAATATCTAAGATGGATTAAACTCAAAAACCATTTAACTTATTCTTCAAAAGACACTTGCTAACATAAGTAAATTTTACTTAGTTATTTATGCATATCTAGAATAGGTAATTTGAGATTTTTAAAAATTATTATTTCTTTTTCAAATAGGGCCATTGTATTGCTATGTTGCCCAAGCTGGTCTCAAATTCTTGGGCTCAAGCACTCCTCCTGCCTTGGCCCCTGCAAAGTGTTGGGATTACAGTTGTGAGCCACCGCATCTAGCCACTAATTTGAGGTTTTATCCCTTACTATCACAGTATCACAGCTGACAGTGCCTAGCTGCAACTCAGAGTAGAATGTTGACTAAACTGGAAATAAACATTTGTTCTCTCTGCATTTTACGCTTTCCTGTAATATATTTTTGTAACAGTAGGTTAGTAAAATAAGGTATACCAGTTTCTCATTGATTAAATAAGTAACTTTTGAGTTTCAGAAATGTTTTATTATTGAATAAACAAATTGCCATATAATTGACTATAAGTCAATTCCTATAAGCCTTGGTAGACTTAATTGATAGAAATAGCTGTTCTTTATTTCAGCTGATAAAAGAGTGCATTCTTACATGTTTTTATTTATAGTAAACTGATGAAAATAGGTTTTATCCTCCAGTTCATTCCTTTTTATGTAGTTTATAAACTCTAATAATCTGCTTAACTACTCCCATGTAGATGTGACTTCAGAATGTCTGAAAACTTTATGTTACTGCTCTTCTTATCCGTATCTTCTAGGGATCATATCCAAATTTTATTTTTATTTTTAGCCTAAAGTTATTTAACTATCCAGATCCCCTTTACTCTCTATAAATAAAAAAAGTTTCAAGAATTTACCAGAAATGACCTTCATTGCAAGAATAACAAATAAAATCTTATTGCATTACTATCATGAATAGCCTTTCCTTCTTTTTATATTGTATGGAAAACTTTAAAATTTATTAGTGAGAATAATCTCATAGCATCACAAATAACACATTGGAGTGGTAAGGTGGTGATGGGAATCTGGCTGTAAAATAGGAAAACCTAGATTGAAATCCCACCCCTGACTATATACCTCTAGGAAACATACAGAATCCTTTGAGTCTCAGCATCTCTTAAAGACCAAAAAAAAAAAAAAAAAAAAAATGGGGGCTGTTCAGAAGCTCTTTAGTTTAATTAGATCCCATTTGTCAATTTTGGCTTTTGTTGCCATTGCTTTTGGTGTTTTAGACATGAAGTCCTTGCCCATGCCTACATTCTGAATGGTATTGCCCAGGTGCCCAGGTTTTCTTCTAGGATTTTTATGGTCCTAGGTCTTACATTTAAGTCTTTGATCCATCTTGAATTGATTTTTGTATAAGGTGTAAGAAAGTGGTCCAGTTTCAGTTTTCTGCATATGGCTAGCCAGTTTTCCCAATGACACTTATTAAATAGGGAATCTTTTCCCTATTGCTTGTTTGTTTCAGGTTTGTCAAAGATCAGATGGTTGTAGATGTGTGGTGTTATTTCTGAGGCCTCTATTCTGTTCCATTGGTCTATATATCTGTTTTGGTAACAGTACCCTGCTCTTTTGGTTACTGTAGCCTTGTAGTATAGTTTGAAGTCAGGTAGCATGATGCCTCCAGCTTTGTTCTTCTTGCCCAGGAAAAGAAACTATCAGCAGATTGAACAGGCCACCTATGGAATGAGAGAAAATTTTTGCAATCTATCCATCTGACAAAGGGCTACCATCTAGAATCTACAAAGAACTTAAACAAATTTACAAGAAAAAACAAACAGCTCCATCAAAAAGTGGGCAAAGGATATGAACAGACACTTCTAAAAAGAAGAGATTTATGCAGCCAACAAACTTACGAAAAAATGCTCATCATCACTGGTCATTAGAGAAATGCAAATCAAAACCACAGTGAGATACCATCTCATGCCAGTTAGAATGGCCATCAATAAAAAGTCAGGAAACAGATGCTGGAGAGGATATAGAGAAATAGGAACGCTTTTACACCATTGGTGGGAGTGTAAATTAGTTCAACCATTGTGGAAGACAGTGTGGCAATTCCTCAAGGATCTAGAACCAGAAGTACCATTTGACCCAGCAATCCCATTACTGGGTATATACCCAAAGGATTATAAATCATTCTACTTTAAAGACACATGCACACCTATGGTTTTTGTGGCACTATTCACAATAGCAAAGACTTGGAACCAACCCAAATGCCCATCAATAATAGAGTGCATAAAGAAAATGTGGCACATATACACCATGGAATACTATGCAACCATAAAAAAGGATGAGTTCATGTCCTTTGCAGGGACATGGATGAAGCTGGAAACTATCATTCTTAGCAAACTATCACAAGAACAGAAAACTAAACACCGTATGTTCTCACTCATAAGTGAGAGTTGAACAATGAGAACAGATGAACACAGGGAGGGGAAAACCACACACTGGGGCCTGTTGGGGGTGGGGGGGTGGGGGAGCGATAAGATTAGGAGAAATACCTAATGTAGATGATGGATTGATGGGTGCAGCAAACCTCCATGGCACGTGTGTACCTATGTAACAAACCTGCACATTACGCACATGTACTCCAGAACTTAAAGTATAAACAAAGGGGCTGTTATAAAGACTATTTAATATTGAATAATACATAGCACTTAATATGTGCTCAGAAATTATGCATTTTGTTTTTTATAATTCTTCAAATATTGGCTGTTTTTATAAATAGGAATACTGTTGAATTTCTTTTATCACTAATTTCAGAGCTAATTGATCATAGATTTGTTTTCAGGGTTATTCAGACAAGTAAGTAATATATATTCAAAGACATCTGAACCTCCCTGAATTTGAGGTTGAAAAGACACTTTCATTACACAGTAGTAAATTGTCTACAAATCCTGTAAGGCTCCAGTTCAGTTTCATTTTAAAGTTTGTTTTTCTGTGAAATACCTCAAGAATTATCTGATAGTAAAATGTTGCTCTTTCCAATGTTGAAACATTTAGAACCTGTAAAGATGAATGTAGCTGGGGAATAAGAAATAAAATGCCTAGTAAAAGACTATAGAAATGCTAAAATTTTTATAGGGAAAAAATGAGGTGAAAAATTGGGAAGCAATTTAGAGTTACAATGAATGTATTCATACATTTAAGCATTAAAGCCAAATTAAAGAGATTTTCACAAAAAATTCTGAAGAAACAGAAAAGGTGACTTGTGGGTATAATTTAATTATAAGCCTGTCCTCTGAAATCATACTGATTTATCATTTCTTAACTCTGGCTCATGGATTGAAAAAGACAAATAGCATAGTGCTTTCCTTCTGGAACTCTTCAATGTTACTGAATTATTCTTACACATAAGAAATAATGAAGAATTATTTAAATCTGGGGATCATTTCCTAACCCATGAGCCAATGATAAAAAAGTTATTTAAACATATTAATAAATACTTTTTCTCATCAATAATATTTTGTCAACAGGCATGAAATAGGGTAACACATTGCTGGACTATTAGGTTCCTAATTTGTTTTGATTGGGTTCCTAATTTTTCAGAAAAACCATTTTTTAGAGGACCTAAGTTTTTTCATTTAAACTACCAGAATAAACACTGCCTAATCCAACTTTTTAAAAAGTACTTATTATTTTTCAAAGTAATAAAATATTAGTTGGATTTTTTCACACAGAGTCTCATTTATTCTTACAAATATTAAACAAGGAAAAAAATACAAGATGTCAACCAAATGGTGACCTTACAATCTTTGTTACCAATGCACTTTAAAAATTGTGAGTAGTGTATATACAAGTCTGTGTAAACTAGAGAGACATATGTTAGTGACATGGAGTTCATTGATTACATTTTTGTACTCTACTGCCTTAGTAGTCCTGTGTTTACTTAGATATGTCTATAGTTAAGAATCCATGAAGCTGTCAGCAGGTAATCCTGGAGTTCTATGGAACAATCACTAACCCATGATGAAATTTCTACAGTATAAAGAAAATTAATGACTACTTTACAGATATTTATGTAGTATTTATAATATACAATACATTTGTTGTGCAGAATACAAAGAATATTTTTAAGGTTTCTGTCTTTAGAAGTTGAAAACCAAGTTGAAAAGATAATATACACATATATGAAGAATTTAGTGAAAGACCAAGGTAGAGGAAAATAATAAGAAAAAAATATATATTTTAAGACACAAGACTTGAGTTATTCAACTCTCTAATTCCAATCCACTGTCTTTCTCACATGAATCACCCCACATTTTTGTACCTTGAGTGGTACCAACAATGAAACCTAATTGAAAAACTGGCCTCCCATGCTCCCTCAAATAAGCCTCTGTCCTGCCTGAAAAAGCGAAATCACCTTATAAGAGCACTCATAGCCAAGAAAGAGATAGAATAGTCCGTAGGATTTAGCAGCAGGTAGAAGAAAATTACATAGATAGGATAGGTGATATAGATAGATAGATAGATAGATAGATAGATAGATGATAGATAGATAGATGATACACAGATAGATGATACATAGAAGATATAGACTAAGAACACAAACTAGTTGAGGTATTTTGAAGTATGATGTAACTGTCTGACAATAATAAAACATTATCTTGCCTGAGACAATTTTAAGACAAATAAGTATTTGTAGTGCCTCTTATTAAGGTAAATAGAAATCAGAACATTATTATGTATATTGAATGTGATCTCCTTTTTAAACAACCAAAGTTATATGAATTAAACAGCAATTAATTTCAAAAACACTGATGAAAGACAGAGTTCGAACAAGATTTAAGAATCCAGAATGCCCTGGACAGAACAGAGCCTAAGCATATTTACTGATTTGTGAATTTTAACCCAATTTATAAGACAATTTATGTTTCTAGGTATCTTTTCACACAATCTTTGCCTTAAATTGTAAGACAAACTGGAGCTTTCTTCTCTGAGAGCCAGTGACAAATTTTCAAAAAATATGAATACTCTTACTCTGTCTTTAGTATCATAATTTAAAAATAATCATTACTTCTGGGATCTCTCTTTTAACGACTACCACCATTTTATTCATTACAATAGCTCGAAAGCTTGTAACCTTTCCTATTCCTGTTTCTTCAGGTATCGAGCCCTAATTATACAAATAATAAGATGTTAGAAACATAATACGTTCTGTTTAAAGTTGGGAAGTACTTTCATGTTTCAAAGTGAGGTGCCAGATCATCTTTGTAAAACTATACATAAATCTAAAATATTTGGCAATCCTTGGTCCAATAACTACCTCAAAAGTATGAGAGAGACTGAATGGCACTAACCCAAACAGGGAAATAATTTGTTTGAAAAAAAAAGATATTAAGTTTCTGTGGCACAGTTTTGTTCCTCCCTATCACACTTCTATCCTCACATGGTAGAGAAGAGGGGATTCAAAGTGATCATAAAATATGAATCATGACCCCCAGCAGTATGCGGATACAAAGATCACAGCAGGAGTCAAATGGAAAATTATGGCTGGCTAAATTTCTGACAATAGAGAAGAACGAAACGGCAATACTAGGAACATCCTGCCAGATGTTCCTATCAGAGCTTGTTGAGGACAAGATTTTATCAGGAAGGGAAAAAGCATTGGTTTGGAGGGTGGAGGGATTGTAAAGAGACTTTTTTCCCAAGACAGGTATCTGCAGGAGCCATGAGACTCTGACATAGTTCATAAGAGTGGAAAGAATTATAAACAACAGAAAGGTAAGCAAAGGAGACATTTGGGAATTAAGGGCACTGAAAGCAAAGAAATCCAAAGTGATAAGGGGTCTCTCAGAAGCCCACAAAAGCCCTCTATGAGATAAAGGATCAGCTGTCAATAAGAGGCTCCTTAACTGCTTCTGCCAAGCACGGAGAGCACTGATGCCAGAAGACAGTGACATTCAAGTACCACCTTGCCTTGTGTCTCCTCTCTGCTAGCTCAAACATGAAAAGGTCAGAAAACAAAGTCAGACTGTTAGTGCAGAGGAGCAGAAGAGAAAAGTGGGAAAATTGAAAGGGAAGCCATTGGTTTTCCACTATCACATTGTAGGCTTTCAGGCTTGTAGCCTGCTTGAGCTAGGAAAGGGAGAAATTTGATCTACCTTCTGTGAAATTTAAGATATTGGTTATTACCCAGAAGCAATCATTTTAAATTATTCAAATGTCATGTTTATAGCATCTAGAAATTTAGACTATTTACTACCTAAGAGCAATAGAAAGGGTAGTGCTTATCTGTCAGAGATCTCCTCTAAAGGCAGTAAAGCAAGTAGACCCACACAGGGAAATGAGAAAGTCAGGTTACTTTCTGTTTACATGCTGTAGAGCTCTGTTTTGTTTTTGTTTTTATTTTCCCCCGAATGAGTATTTTTAACTAAGTAAGAATTCTGAGACCCTTGGCAAAGATCTGGAGAACCACATTACTTGATAACTCTCTAAAATACTGATTATCTTTTGGATCTTTTGGATATTTCTAACTAAACTAAAAAATGAAATGAAGATTGTTCTTGTAGGTTTCTCCCATATCAACTCTTCTCTAATTCAAGGGCAATTCCCACGGGTCCTGGGAGGAACTCAGCGGGAGGTGATTGAATTTTAGGGGTGGGTCTTTCCTGTGCTGTTCTTGTGATAGTGAATGAGTCTCATGAGATCCGATGGTTTTAAAAGGGGGAGTTTCCCTGCACAAGCTCTTTTCTCTTTTCTACCACCACGTGAGAAGTGCCTTTTATTTTCTGCCATGACTATGAGGCCTCCCCAGCCACCAGGCACCGTGAGAGCATTAAACCTCTTCCTTTTGTAAATTGCCCAGTCTCAGGTATGTCTTTATCAGCAGTTTGAAAATGGACTAATACAACGTAGTTGGAACCAAATTATTTAGGAAATTTTCAAAGGAGGTGCTCAACATAATCATCAGGGAAATAAAAATCAAATCTACAATGAGATATCACCTCACACCTATTAGAATGGCTATTATCCGTAAACAAAAGATAAGTGTTGGTGAGGGTGTAGAGAAAGGGGAACCCTTGCACACTGTTGGTGGGAATGTAAACTGGCACAGCCACTGTGGAAAACAGTATGGAGTTTCCTCAAAGCATTAAAAATAAAACTACCATATAGTCCAGCAATCCCCTATCTGGCTATATAACCAAAACAATTGAAATCAGGGTCTCAAAGAGATATTTGCACCTCCGTGTTCATTGCAGCACTATTCACAATAGCCATGACCATCAACAGATGAGTGAATGAAGAAAATGTGGTATATACCTATAATGGAATATTATTCAACCTTTAAAAAGAAAGAAACCCTGCCACTTGCAACAACATAGATGAATCTAGTGGACATTATGCTAAGTGTGCTAAGTGAAATAAGCTAGACACATAAGGACAAGTACTACATGAAACCATTTATATGAAGAATCTAAAGTAGTAAAAATCACAGAAGAGAGTGAAATGGTGGTTTCCAGGGGCTGGAGGGAAGGGAAAATGGAGAAGTGTCAGTCAAATTGTACAAAGTTTCAGTTACACAGGATAAATAAGTCCTAGAGGTCTACTATACAGCATAGTGCCGTAACAGTGTAATAGTTAATAATTCTGTATCCTATACTTAAAAATTTGCTAAGAAAGTAGATCTTATATTGTGTTCTCATCAGAAATAATAACATTAAACAAATATAGCAGGAGGAACATTTTGAAGGTGATGGCTATGTTTATGGTACTGATTGTGGTGATGGTTTCATGAATTTATACTTAACTCCAAACTCATTTAGTTGTATAAATTAAATATATACAGCTTTTTTTGTCAATCACATCTCAGTAAAATGGATTTAAAACACAAAATAAAATAAGCAAGTTATGACTCCAATGTATGACCTCCCAAAAGCTTCCTGAAGGCTCATCTCCTTTTGACACCTTTAAGCCATTCTCAATGTATTATCATATTCTTTTTGTAGAAGTCCAATTTAATAATATACTTCTTAGTAATGCAGATTTTACCAAATATTTTATTTGGAAACTAGAAAGAAACTTTACATTGTGCATCATATTGCAATTCCCTAAAAATTTCCTAATAATTCTTATTAGGTACCTCAATTCTTCCTCTCAGGTCCCTCTCTCAATAAAAGCCATATTTTGCTAACATTGGGAACTATTTATCTCTGGTATTTAACTTTTCTTCACCGACTACTAAAAAACAAAATCCTGTGATTAGCAGACCACCTCTTCTTAGAGAATACTTTATATATTCTAACTCAATGTATTGGTTATTACAAATTATCCCCCAAATTAGTGGCTTCAAACATATTTACAGTTTCTGTAGATTAGGAACTGAGTGTAGCTTATCGGGGTCATCTGCGTCAAGGTCTGTCAAGGCTGCAGTCAAAGTTTCAGTCAGGACTGAAGTCATCTAAAGACTCCAAGAACCTATTTCCATGTTTAATTATTTGGCAGTTGACAATATTTAATTCCTCACTGGTTATAGGCTATAGGCTGCTCACAGCTCTTTGCCATGTTGGCCTCTTCATAGGGCAATTCAGACATGGCAGTTTGCTTCATCAGAGCACAATATTGGGAAAAGACAGAGAGACGGGATGCAAGAGGGAAGTCAAAGAGATTATAACCTAATCTCGAAAATGGTATCCCATCACTTTTGAATATTCTATTTGTTAGAAGAAATTTACTAGGTTGCGTCCACATTCACATGGAGGGGAATACACAAGGACCTCAACCCTCGGAGGCAGTAATTACTGAGGGTCATTTTAGCGGGCAGCTTATCACACTAAATCAAGACTTTAGTGAGGTCTCATTTTCTATCCTAATAGACTTAATAATAGATTGACTCAATAACAACTGATCTCTTCCTAAGGAGGGATTCTATTGCTAAGAAAATGATATTTATTCATAAATCACCAACAAACGAACATGCACCTAAAAATATACACAAAAGCATATGTACATAACATGAAAATATTTTTATAAATAGCTAAAATAACAACAAATAATTATCTTGTTTGGAAATGATTTTCCCTTTACAATAGGATTCAAAACAGGACTGTTTTAAGTGGAACATACTTCTGTACATATACAAAATATGCAATTTATAAACACAGTCAAATATATTTCAATTATATAAGAACAAATATTCACATATATCACATATTTTTGTCTCAAATTATATCAAATTATTTTTACTATAGCTTATTAACACAGTTTCATGAAGTTAAAATATGAAATGACAGTATGAGACGTTTTTGAAATGGAAGTTACAAGAAAGATGATTATAAAACATCTGTGTTCACTAAAAGTTTTTCTAATATTTCTTACCCAGCACAACAGTAGTATGTTAATTCCAAAACATAAAAATAATTTATTCTCTACTTATGAAAATTCCTTGCAAGCCCTATTCTTGAGTCTGTCTTCTTAGAAAAGAGTAGAATGACTAGCTAACCTTAGAATGTTTCATTCCCCTCTACACTTCCAAATTTATGTCAACTAAGCAGAGAAGGAAATACTAGCCTTTGAAATAGAACAGAAATAAACTGAAAATATAAAGTAAAACATGAGTGGAATTTAGAGACTACCTAAATTCATCTAATGGTTTGTGACACTGAACACCTGGAATCATGTGTGAAAAGTACAGAAATTGTTCTGTTACACCTACCCCTATCAAGTTTAGATGTCTCTGGTTGTCTAGGAATATAGAGCTGAAATTAAGAAAAAAAAATAAGATGTCACTGGAAATGAAAAATGATTAAAAGAAGCAAAAAAATCACCAATGCCAAAATATTGAAACTAGAAATTATTCCAATATTATGCCACAGCAATTGAGGATATCTTGCTAATATAATATGCAAAAAATACAACTAAAAGAAATGCAAATAAATAATAACACAAATAATATCAAAATTGAAAGAGGACACTGAAATTATGTAAACGTACTTTTCCTAAAAGTAAATATTTTGGTGGAAATATAAGTGGAAGAGTTATTTAAAAAGAAAAATATGCAAACAAGATATTGGGACTTCTTCTTCATTCAACTTAGAAAAATAAAGTCCTATGGATAGCTAAACTCCTTTTTAGAGAGCAGTTTAATTATCATATATTCTAATTGGGAAATAATTGGGAAAATAGGATTTTTCCTATTATAGAGTCCATTTTCCTATATAGATGGAAAGCATTCTACCGCAAGAACAGATCTGGCCATTCCTTGACATATTCATTCACTAATTATTCATTTGTTCATTTTGATGCAGCAACTTAGTAGAAATGCTGTGATATTTAGCAGGAATAGCTCTAGTATATTAACACATTATCAGAAGAGAAATTTGAACAGCAAGACAGGACACAGGAAAAGACACACAAAAAAGTTGAGGCTTATATTTGACTTCTCCATGTCTTGTACAGCTCATGTCCTTTTTAAAAAAATTTTATTTTAGGTTCAGTGGTACAGGTACAGGTTTTTTATATAGGTGAACTGTGTGTTATAGGGGTTTAATGTACAGATTATTTCACCACCCAGGTAGTAAGTGTAGTATCCAATAGGTGTTTTCCTGATCCTTTTGCTCCTCCTACCCTCCACCCTCAAGTAGGCCCTGGAGTCTGTTCCCTTCTAGATTGTGTCCATGTGTTCTCATTGTTTAGCTCCCACTTATAAGTGAGAATATGTGGCATTTGGTTTTCTATTCCCATGCTAGTCTGCTTAGGATAATGGCCTCCAGCTCCATCCATGTTGCTGCAAAGGATGTAATCTCATTCTTGTTATGGCTGCATATTATTCCATTGTGTATGTACCAAATATTCTTTATCCAGTCTACCACTGATGGACATTTAGTTAATTCTATGTCTTTATTATTGTGAACAGTGCTGCAATGAACATACACGTGCATGCGTCTTTATGATAGAACAATTTATATTCCTTTGGGTATATACTTAACAATGTGATTGCTAAATTGAATGGTAATTCTGTTTCAAGTTCTTTGAGAAATCACTGCACTGCTTTCCACAATGGCTGAACTAACTTACATTCCCACCAGCAGTGTATAAGTGTTCCTTTTTCTCTGCAATCTTGCCAGCATCTGTTATTTTTTGAAATTTTTTTTTTTTTTTTTTTTTTTTTTTTTTTTTAGATGGAGTCTCACTCTGTCACCCAGGCTGGAGTGTAGCGGCACAATCTCGGCTCACTGCAACCTCTGCCTCCCAGATTCGAGTCATTCTCCTGCCTCAGCTTCCCAAGTACCTGGGACTACTGGCATGCACCACCATGTGAAGCTAACTTTTTGGATTTTTAGTAGAGATGGGGTTTCACCATGTTGGCCAGGCTGGTCTCAAACTCCTGACCTCAAGTGATCGGCCCACCTTGGCCTCCCAAGTGCTGGGATTACAGGCCTGAGCCACCATGCCTGGCCTATCTTTGAATTTTTAATAATAGCCATTCTGATTGGTAGGAGATGGTAATTCATTGTTGTTCTGATGTGCATTTCTCTAATGATTAGTGATGTTGAGCATTTCTTCTTATGCCTATTGGCCACATGTATGTCTTTATTTGAAAAGTGTCTGTTTTCAAATAAACCCCAGTTTTTAATGAGGTTGTTTTTTGCTGGTAAATTTAAGTTCCTTTGAATATTAGACCTTTGTTGGATGCATAGTTTGTAAATATTCTCTTCCATTCTGTAGGTTGTCTGTCTACAGTGCAGCTCATATACTGCCAGCAATTTTATTAGTTTCTTCACATTGTAACCAGAATTTGACCTCTTCTCTCTGTCTTAACTCTACCACTCTTATCCTAGTCTCTCTCTCACCTGGATTATTGAATTAGCCTCTTGCCTTCCTGCTTTTCTACCCTTGCCCCACTATAGTTACTCTTCATATAAGTCTACAAAGTGATCATGTCACTCTTCTGGTCAAAATCGTAACTTTTTTTTTAAATTTATTTTGAGTAAAAGCAAAGTTTTTACAATGCCTTGCATGTCCCTGTGCAACCTAGTTTACTGCTGCAATTCTGACCTCATCTATTGCACTTCTCTGACCTATCCCGCCACCATGCTGTTCCTGCCATACTAGTGTTTTTCTTGTCCACCAAACATACCCTCCACCAGGCTCATACTCGTTTTAGGGCCTTTGCACTGGTTGTTTGATAATGCTACCTAGAAAGCTCTTCTCCCAACTGTCTCCACCATTAGTTTTTTCACTTCTCTCAAATATTTGTTCGGACTTCATCTTATTTTGAATTACAACATATTCGCTTCACATACTTCGCATTTTTCTTGCCCCATTCTATTTTCTTCCAAAACATTTATAACCTTCTTAACTACACACACACACACAGACACACACACACAAACACACACACGCAATTTATTCATTGCTTGCCTCCGTTAACTAGACTCTAAGTTTTATGAGGTCATGATTTTGTTTTTCTACAATGATGTATCCCAAGTGCCAAAAATAGTACCTCACACAAAGCTGGTACTAATAATAAATTGCTGAATGATTGAGGAGAGAATGGATCTCCTAGGGAAAAGGCACCATAGATATGAGGCTATATAGAAGAAAATAAGTGCAACAACTTAATTAAAACCTTTCCATTTACAATGTTTTTCTTAAACTTTACCTTTTATGAAAATTTCTGAGCTCCCCACACATGAAGAGATAGTACAAAATCTGAAGGGTATTTATTCAAAAGTAAGGGATATTTGCTCCATTGTTCAAAATTAGCCCTGGATCAACTTACAGCATTTCAGCGGTCTCTAAGTAAAGGATTCTAAGTATATTTTGCAAACAGGGAGAGCAGTAAGGAAAAAAAAATCCATCCCAAATATTTTTTTGGCGAATATGAGGATAGACCATAAATTATTGTGTCAGAAATAATGCAGAAGTTATGCAAATGTTCTGTTAGCATAATAATTATGCACCTAGCCTACAAAGTGCAATGTAGAATAAAACTTAGAGATGATGACTTCCTGAGAACAGGAAGATAAATAAGGAATTAACTAGGTGAATTCTGTGAGAAGCAATAAAGAAAAGTTTCAACAATATAGCAAATATAGGTTTAACAAGAAAGTTAAGTCGGGAATATGAAGAAGACAATTAAGAAATTCATTTATAATGTAAAGTAAATTGAACAATTGATGAAAGTGGAGCTACCGTGATATTAGAAAGGTATTAAAACAACTATGGAGGTAACAGACTGACACACAGAGATCAAACAACAAAATGATTTGGATGTCAAGAGAAAAAAGTGAAACAAATAATAAAGATATATCATTTTGTATTTTTTAAAAAGTAATAATAAACATATTTTAGAATAAAATATGTTTATTATTATTAAAATAACCCTAACAAATTTGAAATGAAGGAAAACTGAACATGTAATAAACTTAAATAAAACTTTAGCAAACAACAATATAGAGCCTAGCAACATTATGGAATCCCTGGAATAAACACAAAATTTTATGTTGAACTAACCAGCAAAAACAGTCCATTTATAGACAATCCCAACTCAAAAATCATACTGGCCTTAAACTTCTTTTTTACATTAGTAGATATCATGTATTAATATTATTATCCATGTTTGAAGTTAAAAGTAAGGAATTCCAAAGTTCACAATCTCAAAAAATATATCAGATCCTTCTGAAGACGTTATTCAACTAAAATTATTTTGGTTAAGAAAAATGAAGATTTTGTCAATAAGAAAGGAAGTCTTGCTATAAAATTTCTTGCAAAGAGCATTGATTGAAGTGAAATATAGTTAAATAGAAATAGTTGTCCCTCTCTCTAAGCTCTTTAATACATATATTGACTTAGCTTTTCCGTCTCCCTTCCCTTTCTTCATCATGGCCTATCATCTAGACCGCATGGAGCAGACCCTGTGATAGGTCCCCCTTTTTAGTAGAAGTTGAGTTGTGTACATACATGGTATAAGAAGAGTAGATTTTTGAATGTCAATGTTATAATTTTATCCCTATTAGCCTTATGACTATTTCTTTAACATGTTACAGGATGGCGTTTTCATTTTAACAGGAGATTGATTACTTACCATGACTATTTCAGCTGTAGAATTACCCAAATAATGAAATACTGAGGAACACCATTGTAATTGACCCACCTGTGGAAATAATCCTCTTTGTAGATGTAGACACAAAAGTGATCCTAGGAAAATATAGATTTCCTTTAAAAAATGCTTTCCAAATTTTAAGTTGTCAGCTGCTGTCTGTCATTGTGGTGTACATGTCTATATATGTGTATTTTCTGAAAAACACACTACCAACTCTTGGATGCTTTCCCTTCCTCAACACAGTAATTATATTTGTACTTAATTTTTAGCTTGTTATATATAATATTTTGCCAAATATGATCATTTAGAGTCATTTTGACACAAGCTTAGCATCATAAATATTGACTGTGTAAGAACATTGACCATATTTGCCTAAAATATGAGGATTTTGATCCAAGTACATGAGAATTTAAAATTGAAAATATGCAAAAGTCTCTTTCAGTCCAGGATCTTCAGAGGCAGTTGATGGGTATGATTTGTCATCATTGCCAATGCACTCAGTTTAGGCTTTGATTTCAATAATTACTCTTTACCTTGTATCAAAGACCAGTCACTGCTGTAGGCAATCAAATTAAAATAACCAATCTATAACCAAAACCAAAATGATGATAATCCTGCACCATCAAATCCTCTTTCTGCCTCTCTGGTATTTGTTTTCTGGAAACAAACAAACAAAAAACAAAAACAAAACAACCACCTAGCCAAACTCTGACAATACAAATTCTCTGAAATCTTCTTCACACTCCTGTTGGTATTTATCTACTTATCTTCCAAGAATCCTGTATTTATAAAGATGAAAATGGCCTAGGAGATATTTGAGCAGGTGGAAAGCCTTTTGCTTCACATACTTTGTACTTTATTATAAAACCGCTACCTTTTTGGCATGATTATGGTTTTCAGCAACCATCAGCTAAATTTTGCTGTTGGAGAGCTGATATAATGAACACCCCCAATTGTATGTGGGAAAGTGTCCTCACTCACACCTGTAAGACAAAAACTGGTATTCTCTGATCTTTTAAATAATGGTATAGCTCCCTTACTCTTTGCTTTCTCTCTTCCTTCCTGTATTTCTTTTATCCCCCTTCTTTCCTCCCTCCCACTCTTCCTTCCTTCTTTCCTAGTACTCAGCCTAAACACTATTACATGGCTTGAGTAAATTAAGAGTCTATGGGGGAATGAGACTGCAGCACATTTCTGATTGTTGAAACCCAAATGGAGTGAAGGGCATCTGGAAGGAAGTGCATCAGAAACTTTATATGTGTTATCAGAACCCCAGTGTGTGAGGAGAGCATAGGTAATAGCCCAGTGTGGGGTCTTAAAGCTTGGGAAGAACGAGCAAGTTTATAAGGGGGAGGAGGGAAGTGGTGGAAGGACATTCTGGTGGGTTATTGGAGCCCAAGTAGGGTAAAGAAGTAGCTGAGCAGACAGAATTGTAGCAATGAAAATGGGAGATAGTATAAACAAAGAGGGCATCAATCCAATAGCAAATAGATTGTGGGTAAATGGGGCTATATGTTACTTTTTACTTGAGGAAGGAGTTCCAAGTAGAATAAAAGAAGATTAAAATGCACCTTGTGGCATTGGATTGGAAGAGAAATTTGATGTACTGGTGTGAACAGGAGGCACTAGTGTAAATTTGTGATTTGTGAAATATAGAGAAAGCTACTATAGCAGAAATTTTGATAAGTAAAGAGAACTATTATTATTCACGTGAAATAACAGTTTTCAATATATCAGGATATAGAAATCAACATGGACATAAAAGGGTATGTGAGTGTGAGTGTGTGTGTGTGTGCACGTGTGTGCATTTCCTGGCTTTATCAACTGACTGGTATGGCCTGAGAAGAGCAAAACCTCAATGGAAATGACCATACCAAGATCACAGATCTGGTTCCTAAATAGCATTCTCCAGGAAAAGAAATTAGAACACTTTGCACAAACGGCTGACTCTAAGACTGGAGCGAGAAAAGAACAAGAACATCTCACTCTGCCAGAAACTAAGGCAGTGCTCAAAGAATGATGGGGATGTATCAAAAAAATAAGTAAATAAAAATAAATAAATAAATACAAAACAAAGTTAACTCAGAAGCCAGCATAAGAGGTTCAAATTGACCAAACAGGATATTTGAGCAACGAAATAAAGAAATTATAACTCATTGGAGAAAATAAAAACCTCATTAGTCCATACTAGTATAAATGAATAATTAAAGAAAAAAGCTATTAATTACAGAAAAATGTGAACTAACATAGAAAAAAACAGATTTAGAAATTCACCATTTGACAATTATCATACCTAAAATAATTTCACTAAAAACATCAATATATACTAAAACTAGTTAGTGAAATGGAGAGAGGAAATAGAATATTTACATCCTCTCAAAATACCTTCAAACAAAATACATACTAAAAAAGGGAAGCGAAAGAATTTACAGTAGAAAAATCTTACAATTACCACTTTAAACAAGTCATCAAGGTTATCATCATCAGTAATGAAAAACAAAATCACTTGCCACCTGATAGGACTAAATAAGCAGAACACTGCATCACGTCTGTGACACTTCCGCCAAAGATGCAGAACCTGAATCTAACTATGAGAAAGTATCAGACAAATTCACACTGAGGGACATTCTTCAAAATAATTAACCTCTAGTCTTCAAAAGTTCCAAAGTCATGAAAATCAAGAGAAGATCAGAAAAGCATTCCGGATTGCAGGAGGCTAAAAGGTATCACAGCAAAATGCAATTCACGATCCTCAACTGGATTATTTGGCTATGAAGGGCATTTTTGGGACAATTGGCAAAAGCTGACTGGGTCTGTGGTTGATATGGTAGAAATATATCAGTATAAATTTTCTGATTTTGATGGTTAGATTGTGATAATTGGAAAATTTCCGTCTTTTTGTAGAAAATACTAACCCAAGTACTGAAAGGTATGAAGCATTATGTTGGCAATTTACTGCAAAATGGTTAAGAAGAAAAAATTCTTTGTAATAGTCTTTCAACTTTTTCTGTGAGTTTGAATTTTTTTCAAACTAAAAAGACAAAAATGATGTAACTCACACACTCCTCCCTATATTTTTCTCTTTCCCTTTGCAGGCCACAGCATAGGTGGCCCTAATCCTGGATATCAAAGTACAGAGGTTATATGTAGTTATTTTGCCAGTAGAATGTCAAGGCAGATATACATGCCTTGGTGGAGGTTTTTTCCATATCACTTTTAAAAACAGTTGATTAATGTAGATTAATAATCAGTTACCAATCCTGAGGTATTTGGACTAGTTTTCTTGTTGCCCATTTGTGAAATTGTGATAAGTACAAAGAATTCCTCATTTCCAGCCAGTGGTCCCTCATAATCATATGGCATATGCACATTTTGCAAAAGGTTGAGAGGCCACTTTTTTTCTTAAACCAATAAGGAATAATAAAGAGAGAATATCACAGTAACTCAGAATAGATCCACTGTTTCCACAGTTCTAAGCATAATTTATTGAAAGGTTTTTAATTTAATTGACTGTATATATGCATAATTCAGAGAAGATGATAACCATATGATAACAGAATTAGAGATGAAAAATCTCAACATGTTGCCAACCAGAGAGAACATCATTTATCTCATTGCATTTGGGTGTTCCTTACTAAGTTGGATGTGAAAATCCCCTACAAAAATAATTCAGAAGCAAAAGATATACGTTTTAAAATTGTTCAAGCAGAAATAGATTTTCAGGGAAGGCTGTCATGAAGATTTTATGCTGATAACCTCTAAATTCTAAAAGAGGTTGTAACAAGTCTCATTAAATATTTAACTTTTTAGCTTCCACTTTGCATAACTTTTTGTCTAAATTACATACTAGAACATTTTAGAATCTTCCATTTCTCCATTCAGTGCCCTCCTGAGTTATGTCTGTATATCCTACAATCTCGGAAGTCAGGTCAAGTCCCAAGTCCCTTTTATCATTAAAGTAGGTTTCTAATTAACCCTTTAATACAAAGAAATTGGAGTTTAAAATGCATTAACCTTTCAGTAATATTTGTATTTTGGCAGTCAGATGTGTGAGGATTTCCTTGGTAGGGTAGAAATCCTCAAAAGCACAATTTAAGTATCTGGAGTGGTCATTTTCAATCCCCATCAACTATTTCACGTGGATAAAATACTAAAATTTAACATAAATATGAAGATAATTTCTAACACAATACCATGTACAGAAGAACATGGTAAATATTTACGATCAATATGGCAAATTGTCTATGTTTATTTACAACCTGGACAAATTATTAATTTTGTTTTAATTATCTTGGTCTTAATTGCATAGCTGTTTCAATAACTTTGGTCAATATCTTTGTGCCTCAATCTTATCAGTAGAAGCCAAAAAAATGATAAATCAGACATTTTAGTATTTTTAAAAACATTCCAATTAGAATATCAACAATCTGTTAAATAGCTTGGTTAATATTTTGTCATCAATTTACTATTTTTCATCAATTTAACTATAATAATGACATTGATTTAAACTGAATACTGTTAATATCTCCCCGAAAAAAGCATGAATTAATTTGAAGAAACTTGTGGCAGACATTCTTGATGTGCTGGCCTTCTGTTTCCCTTAGCAACCTTCCCCAAACTAGATCTGGTCAGACAACCCAGCTCTGCCAATAAGACATAAACAGAAATGAAGGTGTAGAGCTTCTAAATATAGCGTTTCTATTCTTTCTTCAAGTTTATTTTAAAGTTTTTATAATGTTCTTTATGCTATGAATATATATATTCTAATTTTTTTTATTATACTTTAGGTTCTGGGATACCTGTGCAGAACATGCAGGTTTGTTACACAGGTATACACGTGCCATGGTGGTTTGCTGCACACATCAACCCGTCATCTACATTAGGTGTTTCTCCTAATGCTATCCCTCCCTTAGCCCCCCACCCCCGACAGGCCCCGGTGTGTGATGTTCCCCTTGCTGTGTCCATGTGTTCTCATTGTTCAACTCCCACTTACGAGTGAGAACATGCAGTGTTTGGTTTTCTGTCCCTGCGTTAGTTTGCTGAGAATGATGGTTTCCAGCTTCATCCATGTCCCTGCAAAGGACATGAACTCACCCTTTTTTATGGCTGCATGGTATTCCATGGTGTATATGCGCCACGTTTTCTTTATCCAGTCCATCATTGATGGGCATTTGAGTTGGTTCCAAGTCTTTGCTATTGTGAACAGTGCCACAATGAACATATGTGTGCATGTGTCTTTACAGTAGAATAATATATAATCATTTGGGTATATAGCCAGTAATGGGATTGCTGGGCCAAATGGTATTTCTGGTTCTAGATCCTTGAGGAATTGCCACACTGTCTTCCACAATGGTTGAACTAATTTACACTCCCACCAACAGTGTAAGCATTCCTATTTCTCTGCATCCTCTCCAGCATCTGTTGTTTCCTGACTTTTTAATGATCACCAATCTAACTGGCGTGTGGTTTTGATATGCCTTTCTCTAATGACCAGTGATGATGAGTTTTTTTTCATATATTTGTTGGCCACATTATGTCTACTTTTGAGAGTGTCTGTTCATATTCTTTGCCCAGTTTTTGATGGGGTTGTTTGTTTTTTCTTGTAAATTTGTTTAAGTTCCTTGTAGATTCTGGATATTAGCCCTTTGTCAGATGGATAGATTGCAAAAATTTTCTCCCATTCTGTAGATTGCCCGTTCACTCTGATGATAGTTTTTTTGTTTGTTTATTTTTTGTTTGTTTGTTGTTGTTTTTTGTTTTTTTTTTTTTTTTTTTTTTTTTTGCTGTGCAGAGGCTCTTTAGTTTAATTAGATCCCATTTATCAATTTTGGCTTTTGTTGCCATTGCTTTTGCTGTTTTAGTCATGAAGTCTTTGCCCATGCCTATGTCCTGAATGGAATTGCCTAGGTTCTCTTTTAGGGTTTTTATGGTTTCAGGTCTAACATGTATGTCTTTAATCCATCTTGAATTAATTTTTGTATAAGGTGTAAGGAAGGGATCCAGTTTCAGCTTTCTACATATGGCTAGCCAGTTTTCCCAGCATCATTTATTAAATAGGGAATCGTTTCCCCATTTCTTGTTTTTGTCAGGTTTGTCAAAGATCAGATGGTTGTAGTTATGGGGCCTTATTTCTGAGGGCTCTGTTCTGTTCTACTGGTCTATATGTCTGTTTTGGTAACAGTACCCTGCTGTTTTTGTTACTGTATCCTTGTAATGTAGTTTGAAGTCAGGTAGCATGATGCCTCCAGCTTTGTTCTTTTTACTTAGGACTGTCTTGGCAATACGGGCTCTTTTTTGGTTCCATATGAAATTTAAAGTTGTTTTTTCTAATTCTGTGAAGAAAGTCAAAGGTAGCTTGATGGGGACAGCATTGAATCTATAAATTATTTTGGGCAGTGTGGCCATTCTCACGATATTGATTCTTTCTATCCATGAGCATGGAATGCTTTTCCATTTGTTTGTGTCCTCTCTTATTTCGTTGAGCAGTGGTTTGCAGTTCTCTTTGTACAGGTCCTTCACATCCCTTGTAAGTTGTATTCCTAGGTATTTTATTCTGTTTGTTGCAATTGTGAATTGGAGTTCACTCATGATTTGGCTCTCTGTTTGTCTATTATTGGTGTATAGGAATGCTTGTGATTTTTGCACATTGATTTTGTATCCTGAGACTTTGATGAAGTTGCTTATCAGCTTAAGGAAATTTTGGGCTGAGACAATGGGGTTTTCTAAATATACAATCATGCCATCTGCAAACAGAGACAATTTGATTTCCTCTCTTCCTATTTGAATACGCTTTATCTTTTCTCTTGCTTGACTGGCCTGGCCAGAACTTCCAATAGGAGTTTAATAGGAGTGGTGAGAGAGGGCATCCTTGTCTTGTGCTGGTTTTCAAAGGGAATGCTTCCCGTTTTTGCTCATTATGATATTGGCTGTGGGTTTGTCATAAATGGGTCTTATTATTTTAAGATATGTTCCATCAATACCTAGTTTATTCAGAGTTTTTAGCATGAAGGCTGTTGAATTTTATCAAAGGCCTTTTCTGCATCTATTGAGATAATCATGTGGTTTTTGTCTTTGGTTCTGTTTATGTGATGCATTACCTTTATTGATTTGTGTATGTTGAACCAGCCTTGCGTCACAGGGATGAAGCCAACTTGATCGTGGTCGATAAGCTTTTTGATGTGCTGGGGATTCGGTTTGCCAGTATTTTATTGAGGATTTTTGCATCGATGTTCATCAGGGACATTGGCGTGAAATTTCTTTTTTTGTTGTGTCTCTGCCAGGTTTTGGTATCAGGATGATGCTGGCCTCATAAAATGAGTTAGGGAGGATTCGTTCTTTTTTCTGTTGTTTGGAATAATTTCAGAAGGAATGGTCCCAGCTCTTCTTTGTATCCCTGGTAGAATTCGGCTGTGAATCCATCTGGTAGAGACCTACAAAGAGACTTAGACTCCCACACAATAAAAGTGGGAGACTTCAACACCCCACTGTCAATATTAGACAGATCAAAGAGACAGAAACTTAACAAGGATATTCAGGACTTGAACACAGCTCTGGACTAAGTGGACCTAATAGACATGTATAGAACTTTCCACCCCAAATCAACAGAATATACATTATTCTCAGCATCACATCACACTTATTCTAAAAATAACCACATAATTGGAAGTAAAATACTTCCCAGCAAATGCAAAAGAACATAATTAGAAACAGTCTCTCAGACCACAGTGCAATCAAATTAGAACTCAGAATTAAGAAACTCACTCGAAACTGCACAACTGCATGGAAACTAAACAACCTGCTCCTGAATGACTACTGGGTAAATAATGAAATTAAGGCAGAAATAAATCAGTTCTTTGAAACCAGTGAGAAAAAAGACACAGCATACCAGAACCTCTGGGACACAGAGCAGTGCTGAGAAGGAAATTTATAGACTAAATGCCCACATCAGAAAGCAGGAAAGATCTGAAATCGACACTCTAACATCATCATTAAAAGAACTAGAGAAGCAAGGGCAAACAAATTCAAAAGCTAGGAGAAAAAAAAAGAAATAACTAAGATCAGAGCAGAACTGAAGGAGATACAGACATGAAAAACTTTAAAAAATTAATGGATCTAGGAGCTGGTTTTTTTGAAAAGATTAACAAAATAGACTGCTAGCCAGACTAATAAAGAAGAAAAGAGAGAAGAATCAAATAGACACAATAAAAAATGATAAACCAGATCTGAGCACTGATCCCACAGAAATACAAACTACCATCAGAGAATACTATAAACACCTCTACACAAATAAACTAGAAAATCTAGAAGAAATGTATAAAATCCTGGACACATACACCCTCCCAAGACTAAACCAGGAAGAAGTCGAATCACTGAATAGACTGATAACAAGTTCTGAAATCATGGCAGTAATAGCCTACCAACTAAATATAGCTTTTTAGAAGGTGATAACCTTGGCTGCTGACAAGTCTTTTTCCCCCTCCCCACCTACACCCCCGACCAACATGTGGGCCTGATGCTTACAGGATTGGCAGCCATTTTGCCGCAGTGCTAACAAACATTAGGGTAAGGACTACATGCCAAAGCTGGGATAGTGGCTTCGTGATTTTTGCACATTGATTTTGTGCATTGGGATGTGTCTGTGTTCCCTGATGTTTTTTGAGAGAGAGTCTGCTTCTCAAACTTCATATTATTCTCTATATTGTTATATGGCTATAAGATAAATAATTTTCTTATTGAAAATATAGTTCCTTGGGTTTTATGTTATTTATATCTAATCAATGTAATCAATCTTAACTGTTGCAATAAAAAATAAGCTATTTTTTATTACACAATCTAATATAAAATACTTAATCCTCAGCAGCAGGAAAATAGTAGTAAAGATAATGAAGGTTCAACTCAGGATAACCAAAATCGCCACAGGGACCTCCATACCTCTCAGACATTGAAGAAAACTTAGAATTGCTCTATTGCCTCATAATTTTTGGTTCTTTAGATTTTATTTTTAATTAAAAATATGTAGGTATTCTGATGAAAATTTATATTCCATAGTATAAAATATTCTGACATTTCTTCTTTACCCTTCTCTTCTGCTTACTCGCTACCCTTTGGGTTCTCCTCTGGAGCTTCAGATTCTCTTTCAATTAATCAGAGTGGCTTTCTTCTTCCTTTATAAAATTATTTCAAGCCAATAAACAGGCCCTGAGAACTCAGTTTCTGTAACAAGGAGTAAGCCTATTTTTCCAACACGAATGGCTCTTTACCTCAGAGAATTTCTGTGTAAATGAAATGCATCCCTTCTAAATGTTTATGCATCAGCAATGAGCTATTGGAATGTTCTTATCCTGCTACTATCCCTTCACATAGAAGGGGTTAGAATAAATAGTTATTTATTTTGGGAGACTTTGCTGCCATACGCTCTTTAAAAATTCCCTGCATGTCATCATCCTTTTTGTGAAAGCACAAAAGCAAAGAAAAAAATGTGTACATCACTGTCAAACTGCAATGTCTTCTGAGGGGAGCAAAATGGCCATGCACTCTTAGGAAATATATGTATGCATCTCCTTTACTCATGAAAGCTCTAAATGGTAATTATAATTCCAGTTTAATTAGATACAAGTAGATAAATAATTAATAGAAAAAGTTATTCTTTCCCAACTTGAATAGTCTGCTATAGTCATATGGCATAATCACTCAGTCCCCACCTTCTTTGTGTGATTCAAATTGTGAAAGTGTATTTGACCATGGGTTTCACAGATATTTCAATAGACTGAATGATGGTTTCTCTTTTCCATGTCCATCTATGCATTAAACCAATTAATCAATGAGAGTATATGTAATGTTTTTATCAGAGGGAAGTACTTATATCTACAGCTACATAGATATATATAAAATAGATATATATGTAAAATAGATATATATAAAATAGATATATATGTAAAATAGATATATATATAATAGATATATATAGAATATGACTAAAATAAACTATGAACTACATTATCAGATTCCTTTGCCTATACTCTGCACTAGCTTTACAGTGTATTAATTTCTGAATTGCACAGGCAAGTAAACATTTCAAAGGTTTTGGGGAGGAACATAATTTTAAAAGCTTTATTTTTGAAATCTAAGAATAAAAATCTGTTCTTTAAATTGAGTGTTATTTCAGGAAAAATATGTAAAATCCTTATTTTTCTCAATTTGCAGCAAATTGATTAAAAAAAAATCTTTGCAAACAAGCACTGGCCTTAGCTTAGCATTGAGGCTTGGTATGCTAGATTCATAAACATATATATTCATCATGCATCCAGAATGTATATTTTGATTAATAATATTAATAGGGTTGCTTTCTCATAAAGTTTAATTTGTGGTTCTGAAGTTTACCAGTCGCCCATAATTTGTTTCTACCACTTACTCACTGCTTGGATTTGCCCCTTCTGGTACTTATTGGTAATTTCAGATTTCTCTTTATCATTCCACACAAAGTTATGTTTTTCCAAGGAGGAAGTGGTATTAATTGATATTATTTACTCACCAAAGATATAGATAATATTTTCAACTTTATTTTCAGATAGTGCTTACAGTCAAGATTTCCAAATTATATATTAAAATGTAAGAAAGGCAAAAGAAACAATAAAACCTCAAATCCCTAAAATACATTTATAGTGTTATAAAATGCCTTTGCAAAGAGAATCTTGCTAGCACACTTTGGAATGAGACATATCTGCTTTACTTTCTGGTTCTGTTATTTTATGTACAATTTCGAGTTTTCTAGTGATCACATTTTAAGGAGAAAAAAAAGAGAGAAACACTCCATAATAGTGCTTGATAAAGTTGCTTTGCCTTGCCATGTTTTGAATATCCCCACCATTCTTTCTGGAGGATGCCTGGCTTGCCCAGCTATCTATAAAAGCTGTTTAGGAAAACTAATCAAGCTTTCCATGTGTTGAAAAACAGCACCTAAATCCCATAAGATAAAATTGCAATGGTTATCAATCTTCATGGATAAACTAATGTGGAGCTAGGAGCAAGGAAGGGTATTTGGCAGCATTTGGCAATTTTTGTGGAAATAAAAAAAAAAAGTTTTCATCTAAATTCTAAACATGCAGCTCCTGTGGTCACAAAAGGAATGTGAAACTCTTCTAAAACTCCCTGAGCCATTTAGAAATAAAAGATGGTAGACAGAATAATGAACCTCCACTCTGAAGACGTTCATGTCTTAATCTGAAGAACAGTGAATGTTACCATACATGGCAAAAAAGACTTTGCAGATGTGATTGAAATAAGACTCTTGAAATATGAAGATTGTCCTGGACTATTTGGGCAGGCTCAATGTAATCACAAGGTCCTCATAAGCAGGAGCCAGAAGTGTCAGAGCCAGAGAGATGTGACATGGGAAGCAGAGGTTGGAGTGATGTGCTGTGAAGATAGAGGAGGAGCAAAAAGCCAAAGAATAAAGGCTGCCTCTGCAAGCTGGAAAAACAAAAAAGAAATGGATTCTCCTCTCGAGCCTCCAAAAGAAACACAGTTTTACTGGCACGTTGGTTTAGCCTGTAAGATCATTTTGGACTTCTGACCTCCAGAACCGAAAGATAATATGTGTATGTTGTTTTAAGCCACTAAGTTTGTGGTAATTTGTTACAGCAACAATAGGAAACTAATGTTAGTGATAAAATAAATCATTGCATGAAAGGACTACTATTTTCCAAAGAAATAAAAATCATTTCATTTTAAAATCATTAGCATCTATAATAGGATTTATTTCTCGGTTGAACAAATGAGTATGACCAACTCTTCTTTTATCCAAATCATTTTAACTGTCTTCAAAACATTTATTCATATTTACTGTGCTATATATCATAATTTCAATGACTGAGTACATACAAGAATCCATCTAGGAATTCATCTAGGTAATACGAAAACCCCTTAACATAATACAGGAATACACAATAAGTACTTAGTAAATGCTTGCAAATGTTGTCATTTTTATTATAACATTGTTAGCTTAAATTATGTCAGGTTTTATTTTCTCACAAGACCACATTTCTTATCAAGAACTCCTACTTAATTTTAAAAAGAAATAATTAGATATATCATAGGCTAAAAAACATATGCTTGCCTGCTAATTTTTGAAGTTTATATCTTGCTAAAGCAGAAAAACACAAAACCTAGATCACATCCAACTTAACATAATGTTATAACTATTTAATAATTATTTTCTTTTGACATATTAGTTTTATCAAAAGATAGTCTGGAGTACATTTTCACAAGCATCTTTTGGTCATCCGTAGGTATGCATATGATAAACTGAATTCTTTTTACCTATCTCCAGTGCCCCTCCCTGAAGGAGGCACTGCTTGTCACCTCTTTGAAGTAGTTGCTCTGGCTAATGAAGTGTGAAACCAGTGAGGTGACTTCCCAGCAGAACCTTTTAGAACTAGCCCATTTATCACTGTGATCCTTTTGCTCTTCTCCAGTGAGGGGCAAGACCCAGACAGTGGCTGCTCAGGCAGCCTGTGTCGCCGAGTGAGGGCACCATGGAGTAAAAACCCCAGCTGATCCACATGAAACGCAGTGAGAGCAAGATGCAAACAAACCTTTGTTGTAATAAGTCTCTGAGACTTAGCTGGCATTTTTGTAAACTATTGAGATTTGAGGACTCTAGGATAGTCTTGCTCAGAAGTTCTCAAAGAGTGGTCTGAGAACCTCTTAGGTGTCTCCAAAACTTTTTTGGAAGCTTCATAAAATTTTCCCTTTACAACTATAAATCTGTGTGAATTTGGATTTTCTTCTTGTTCATCGGCCAAAACAAAATGTCGCAGAAGATTGAAAGCAAAAGTAAAGGTGAGAGTCTAGTTGCCATCTGTTAAGCCAGACATTAAAGATATTGCCCAAAATTTTTTTAATGCCATTCTTTTAAATATTTTTTGTTTTAGAAAATATAGTAATTATTACTTAAACAGCTTATTTATGTTAACACAATGGATTTATAACTGTTAATTTTAAGTAAACAAATACTTTAAAAACGTGTTTCAATTTTTAACATGATAAATGTCAATGATGAAACACACAAAAGCAAAAGCTTTTTGAGGTCATTAATAACTTTCCAGAGTATAAAAGTATTCTGAAACCAAAAAGTTTGAGTTTCTGACGAAGGCTATCCTAAGGGATACAGTAGAAGCCTGCTGCGCTGCCTTCTTCTCTTATTGCAGCTTTCCCTGAAGTATCAGAATACACATTAAAAACCAAACTTGCTTGTTCTGTTATATATGAAGCAGAAAGTTTTCCTTTCTTGAGCTTGGGCTATGAAAGGCATATTTGGTCTTGGGTATCAACGAAGGAGCTTTACTTACACTGTCAAAAAGCCTTAAGGCATTGGTTTCTTTTATTTTTTTTTTCCTTTTTTGGTCTTTATTCTTCGTGATTTTCTTTTTTCTTATTTTCCTATTTTCATTTTACCTTAACACTACACTTTCTAACTTCAAAATGAATTGGGGTAGATGGAATTCAAGGCTGAAATAAACCTTCTGTAATACTTCTGCTAAACATGATGAGATTGCATTTAACTAGAAAGCCTTGCCTAACAAATAAATACTAATAGATTACCTGTATTTGAGCCTTACTGAGTTTGAGCTAGAGAGTGGAAAATATAAAGTTGATCTAGAGTAAGTGTTATGAACTCTGTCAATCAGATCCCCTTTCAAGGCTGAGGGAGTTATTCCTCCATGAGCTGGGTTGGTTTTTGGAGGGCTGATAGCTGATCAGCTGATAGCTAACAGGTGTGTAGAAGCCTGACACCCTCACCTCAACTCAGCACAACTCTCAAGGGCTCACTGACCTTGTTGTGACGGCACCATAGTCCCTCTCTTCTTCCCAATCTGGCATCCTTCCTTTCTCCTATAGCTGTTGATCCTAACAGCCTGACTGAATAAACTTTCTGAGAAGAGAATTATGGTGATACATATTAAGTGAAGTAACTACGGAGATACATAAGGGAACATCAGCCAAGTCTTAGAGCCACAGGAAGGCTTCCTAATGGAAATGAGTTCTAAAGCTGAAAGCTAAAGCATGCATCAGGGTTAGCCGGCCAAATTGTGGGTGGGATGAGGAGAATTTCAAGAAAAAAAACATAAAGAAAGGCCCAGAGGAGAAACAACATGATTCATTTGTGCTACCATTTCTTAAAACATTTTTGTAACTACCTCAGAAAAAAATCACTAGACTCACAAAATAACCAATATCATTATTTCATATTCAAAACTTGATCCAAACCTTTCTTGCCCCTTGTGCTTATGACATGATTTTTCTCCCTTGTCATTGCTTAGCTCTGTTCTCTCTCTCTCTCTGCCCCTTTCTCCTCCTCCCAAATCTGCTATGTGTGCTAACAGAGAACTCAAATCATAAGACGAGAGTCTCTTGTGGGCAAAAGCAGGGTCTTGCTAGCCATTCTTCAGCTGGGAAACAGAGAGTGCTTCTGCTTCTTGACTCTTGCCTGGCTTTAAAAATGGATTCCTTCGCTATTACTTTTATCTTTTATTTGACAGGTTAGACATCTCCCCACTTTGTCTGTATCTTTCTATTGTTGTAATTCAAATCTAGATTGGGAAACTACCAGTAGTTGGTAAAGATAAATCAGGGGACACTATCTCTTAACTAGTTCTTTGTATCCTCCTACATTCACCTGTGACCACCATTTCTATATTAGGTAATGGATATTTTTAAACCAACTGCAAATATGTCATAAATAATTATTAGTTTTATAACAGTACTTTTATCCATTTATTATTGGTGTCTTGGAATAAAGATGTACAACAACTTTTTTGTAATACATATAGTAATAATACCTTGGTATGAGTAGACTGCTTTGATTCTCTCAGAATGTAATTTTCCATGAAGGGGCATAAAAGCAAAATCCCAGCACACATGGAATATTTGTAGCTCCAAACTGCACTTTGAATAACACATTTTCCACATCAAGGTATTTATATAAGTTTTAAACCTGCTATAATTCTAACTGAGCCATTTTTGATCTAAATGTACCATTTATCATAATAACCCATGTGTATATGGATACCCTAATTTCAGAATATATCCTCTTTTTTTAACTGTAATTTCGCTTCCCTCTTAAAATGTCCTCACTGGCTAATCAGTAGTAGGCTTTAAGCCAACCTCATTAGTTTCCAAATCATGACCTAGTAATTGATTACTATTTTAATTTTATTTTTGAATACTTCCTCCGATGTAGACCGATTATTCTTAAATTGTCATGATGTGTGTAACATGTTGCATTCTTGTTCTCTAAAGTTTTGCATGTATTTTAATGCGTTCATTGTAGAATGTAACAGTATATAATGCTGAGGCGAAAATAAAGAGGAAAAGTGATACTTCATATCACTATTCTAATGATATAAGAAACAACACCAAGTATTGCCATATATGGTGTGCTAACTATGCCTTAGGTATTAAAAGAAAAGTTGCACTGGGACCGATGAGCAAATAGAAGTTGATATTCCTCTAACACTATTGTCAGCAATAGGAGGGAGAGCACAGAGGAAGCCAGGAAAATCAGCTCTGCTGAAGTAAAGGGAAGGAGAGTTTTTAAGAGGAGAAGTGGGGGATCGTAGACCATCTGTGTTTGCTAGTTCCCTTTACCAAAAAAGAAAGTAAACTTTATCTTATCTTCATCATGGGGAAGTAGTTTTACAACTACAAGATACACACCGAAGTTAGGTAGGTGGGTATCTACTACTTCCTACAGAAACTGGGAGATCTGAAGCCTATATTCCTTGATAACTACATTTCAGAGGGGATGGGCCTGGGTGGGGGTCTCTGAGAAACATAAGGATTATATAACTGACAAGAGACATTTTTAAAAAATTACATCACAAAGGGGCAAATAAAGACATTAAAATGACAAGTTTTCTAAAATAAATGCTCTAAGAAATGGTGAGTAAGGGGCCTAGAGTCAGGAAGAAGCCTGTCTATAGTTTACTCAAGCTGAGGGCAATGTTAAAGTTGTTTCAGTCATAGTCAGTGGATTAAATAATTTTAAAATTATAATAATAGCAATAGCTAACATTGAGATATAATTGAATGCCAGGAATTACATTATAGATGTTATATGTGTTTTTTCATCTAATTGTATCAATACTATGCAATAAAGATCTCCAATGTAGAAATAATGAAACTATGGTTCAGGAGGACTAATGGAATTTTCCAAGATCACTTGTCTTTTAAATGGCAGAGCTGAGAGTTTGTCACTGTTTGCTCTGATTCCAAAGATTGTGCCATATGCTTCTTGGTTATCAGTGACATTTCATCTGAGTCTATGTTGCTGTTAAAAAATTACATCATTTGCATAAAGACTTTTGATTTAGGAGAGTTGATGAGAAAAAAATGTGGCTAATTAGAAAATAAATTTTCTTTGAGAAAAGCATTAATGGGCCTTTATTACTAGAAAAGTGTACCTGGATGCTAAAAGCAAATGTTATCAATACTATCTTCCCTTGGGAATGTTTGAGAAACAGTTCTCATCAAACATTATTGCTGGTAGCAGAAAATATAAATAGGGATAAAATACATAACATGAATTAGCATGTAAGAATAGGAAATTCATTTATTTCTGGTAAGGAAAGGTAAAAATTCAATTTATGCATATTACATTTTAAATATATTTTCTGGTGTTTTCTACTGGTACTGTCTGAGACTTCTTATCCAATCCTAGGTATTGGCATGTTTTCCTCTTACAAAGGTAAAATCACAAATTTAATCCACAAATGTCAATACACATATGTTTATCCACATTTAATCTACAGATGTCAATACACATATGTTATGATTATACAATTGCTTTGTCTTCCAACTGGCTAATCAGCAGTAGGCATTAATACAGTTTATGATGTTTATATTTTCAATAATCTCTTAATATATCCCCTTTTCTCTCATTTAAAAAAAAGGTAAAATGCTTTTTAAAACATTACCTTTGTTGTTGCTGTAGTTATTATTATTACTGTTAACATGTTAGTCTTTCTTGAAAAAGATACTTTATAAAATATCAACACATAGGACATTATGAATCTTCAGTACCAGGAATAAAACACAGAAAGTTATAGGCCACGCAAAAGACACAATTTTAAGAAAAGTTTCTATATGGAAAACTACATGCCTGGATTTTTTTCTTATGCTTATAATATGAATCTCTCATTTGACAAAAAAATTATAAATAAAAATTGATGAATGAGACTTGCTTAAAAGTTTATGCATACAGAATTTTACTTATTAATGCATAAAATTTTTCAGTTTTTGTGATTTAATAAACTCTTTTTAGTCATTCCCAATACTTAATTGAGCCAAGATCTGCTATTCTTTACAAGTAGTTTTTTTCTAGGTGATATGGTTTGGCTGTGCTCCCACCCAAATCTCGTCTTGAATTGTAACTCCCACAATTCCCACGTGTTGTGGGAGGAGCCTGGTGGGAGGTGATTGAATTATGGGGGCAGGTCTTTCCTGTGCTGTTCTCATGATAGTGAAAGAGTCTCACAAGATCTGATGGTTTTAACAATGAGTTTCCCTGCACAAGCTCTCTTTTTGCCTGCCATCCATGTAAAATGTGACTTGCTCCTCCTTGCCTTCTGCTATGATTGTGAGGCCTCCCCAGGCATGTGGAACTATAAGTCCCATTAAACCTCTCCCTTTTGTAAAATGGCCAGTCTTATGTATGTCTTTATCAGCAACATGAAAATGGATTAATACACTAGATTTCTGTTTTTCTATCTGTCTAAGCTTGGAGGCCATTCGCAGTCCTTAGACTCAAGTAAAATGACATTGAGCTAAGGCTAAATAAGGATTACATAACCAGGATAATATTATCAATTTTTTTCCCTAAGAAGATAAATATACTGCCCCAAATACCAAAAGGCAAGCAGCATTTTAGTGCCCTGAATCTTCTGGCTACCTGGACTCCCTTGTATAGCCAGTTGGTTGTAGAACATGTGTAATCATATGCCCCTTGTTCATCTTTCATTTCTATTTCTTTCCATTTGAAGAAAAACATGGTACATTTTTTCCTTTTGCATACTTTTCCTCTTTTAGCAGTTTTAAACCACTGAAGTCTTGATACAAGCAGTGGAAGCTTCACAAACTGAATTTAATTAATCCTTTTTTGTTGAAACAGAGTAGTGTTTAAACTTTGTTCATACCTTTTCAATTGGTCTTATCAAACCTATGGGGTTTTAAAAGCCTTGGGTAGCTGATAGCTTAATAGAAAAGAAAAAATAAAAGCTACCAACCACATCTTTAGGAAATATAACCTCAATGTAACCCCTTCCAGAATCACTTGTCACCATTTAATAAGTGAAGTCTATTTTCGCCAAAGAATGCAAGGCACCATTTGTTAATTAATATCTATAATTTTTCTTCAGTGAAATATGTATGCAATATCTGAACAACTTGTGTTTAGAAAATATTTTTTCTGCTCCTATTTTTAGAAATCTTCCAGCTACTGGTTAAAGAAAAAAGTCTGGCATGAATCCATAATAATCAGTTCTGGCTAGATTAGAATTTATATATTCATAGGGCCTCATCAAATTTTGGCTCTAAAAATGGTTGTGGTACAATTGCAAGCAGCAAGTAAAATGTCTAGTAATCATTCCCTTCCAAATAGCTGAGGCCAGCATGTTTAACTACCAGTGATTTGTAAACCTGTCACCCATTTTCTTCTTTATAATCAATAAGTACGTATCTACTCAAGAGTTTGCTTTGGATTTATCTGAATTGACCAAACACTCATCTTGTTAGTGAACAGGTGTTGAGAAGAATTTTGAGCATATTTATGATCTTCAGACTAGCACATAAACTCTGATATAGGGAATTTTAACCACATCCTTATAGCTTTTACTTTTACCAATAAATATCCACATGCATGCAATAAAGTTACAATAAGTAGCTAAAGAATTAGAAATCTAATACATTAATGTAAGTGATGTGAAATGAAATACCCCTAAGCTAATTGATCTAAAATAATATTGAAAAATGTTTTTACTCATCAATACCCGATGCAGAGAGAGACCAAAACACTCAGACCTAGAAATTATTAGAAAAAGAATAAATTCAAGATGTGGTTAAAGTTTTTAAATTTTAGCTAATATTAACAATGAGAATCAATAATCTGAGGAGCTATGTAATAACTATCACTGTTACTTTTTTTGATTTTTACTTGAAATGCTTACCCAACGAATAATGTTTTCAGTCTCCAAACAATATATGACAACGTGAATACCATTGAATTTAGCCCCTTTCTATGATAGAACAGTTATGGAAGATCTGGCTATCCATTTCTGATCAACCTCAGAAGTACCATGTATTCTAAGCAGCGGTATTCAGAAATGGCTACTTCAGAATTATCAGAATTGCCTGTGAATGCCCAGATATGCCTATATGTATACACACACACACACACACACACACACACACACACACACGCATTCCAGAAGGCCATTCTCAGTGATTCTGATCAGTACAGGTAGGGTGATGGAAAACTAAATATTTTTATAAGGTCTCCAGATATGTTAGATATATATCCAAATCTGGAAATCACTAATCTGGAGCACATCGCATTTCTCAGACAATTTTGTATCTTTTTATATTATGTTATTCAGTGTAGAATTTACAATTTCAGTTCCAAAAGTAAGAAACAGAAGACATGGTATTTAGATATGTAATCACAGATGTTAGAATTAAAGTCTAGATGTATTATGTTCAGATTAGTCTCATGTAATTAATTACCATTGATTAAGCACTTTTCATGTAGACTCCTATGTATTACTTAAATCAGTTATTCACAAAGAGAAGAAATAGGCTCCATTTACCTTAATTTCATACAGACACAGAAGAAGATGATGCTACAGAATGATATACCACTTGGTGCTGGATCTACATATAACAACCAGGATACATTCCGAAATAAATAGATATTTAAAAACAGAAAGAGAATGGGATTTACAGGATAAAGCCATTTATACTCATATTAAATAGAAACATGGAACAGCAATATATATTTTCAGTTCTGTAGTTAAATGTATATATATGTGATAGATATTCACTAAATCCATAAGGGTAGAAAAGGCATGAACATAGGGATAGGAAACAAAGTAAACTAATAATTAAAAAAAGGATGTAAAAACTATACTTATACAAATCAATATAATAGCATTTCATGAAATAGAGTAGAATAATTTAATTCTGTGAATCTGAGTTTAAAATGTTAAAAAACAGTACCCATGACATGAAAATTTGAAGGCTTTATTTCTCGTACTGTAAGACTTGTAGATACTGAGTCTACTGGTTTTATTGCTTTAGTGCAATAAGTACCATAGCATACACTGTGTGAATTTAAAAAAGAATGGAATGTAATTTTTAAGCCGTCCTCAAGAGTTCCAGTCAGAGTAGGAACCATCTTTATTTAGAAAATATCTTGATAGGCCACTTTAAGTGAGAACTGTGTATCTCAACAACCTGACATGGAAACAGGCAGTGAATCTAAAGACAGCTTATTGACTCTACCTAACAGAAGAAATGTATATTGCTCCTAAAAGAATAAGAACAAAGGTTGGAGGTCTGAGATAGGAGCAGACAAGTGAGGGAGGGAGAGAGGAACATGGCCAGATACAGGAATCTGCAGGGCTCCGGTGGTAAATGTGGTCAGGGAGAAATTGCCAGTGGTGGGGTACCCAATAGATAATAAGGAAGTTTAATATTCAATTTTAAGTTTGAGATTCTTCAATATAAACTCTACCTCAGGAAAATTCTGTCGCAAATGCAACCTAATGGTGGTATTCATAAAATAAAGAAATTGGGCTGACTTTTAGCACAGGGCAAAAAAGTTCCACAAATAGAACTAATTCCAAAAGAGAAGGGCTAGGAAAAAAGGTAGTTAGGAGAAATATTAGTGTGTTCCCTGTCCTTCACTTCCTCACACATCCCTAATCCCCCACCTCCAATAATCCCTGGAGAGATTCCAGGACTGTTTACGTGAAAATTACAGGATGAGACAGAACTTTCTAAATCCATAATAATGTAAAATTTGTACAACTTTTAAATGTATATCATCACATATGATCCTTATGCAAACAGTTACAGATTGAAATATTAAAATTCAGATGGGATAAATGGCCGTGCAATTTATGGCATAACTAGGAAGGTAGAAGTGACATCTAAACTGTGTAACTAACACAAGTTTTCTAGCTTTCAGACCAGTGTACTTTTAGCTAATTTTCTCCAAATATTATTGGTGAAGAAATATATACCAACTTCAAAATAAAAGTTGAGCATCCCATTTTAAATGCAAGCATGCAAACTAGCTCTTTAAAATATTATTTTGGAAACAAGCTAGAATTTTTTCTCCAGTTTGTGAACATGTTTTAGGTGTTTTTTGTTCCTTCTTATTTCAGTAATAATATTCTTAAGTAGAGTCCAAAATAGCCCTGCTTGTAAAATAGGCTCTGCTAAAGTCACAGCACAGAACAGACCCAATAAGGATTGACTTTCTATGACACTAATACAAAAATACTCCTAAGAAGCTAAGTTGAATAAATACATGGAACAACAAGGACTATATCTGTATTTTAAATCTATATTCAGTGGCAAAATTAGTCAACAAGCCTGCCAAGTATTTGTCAAAGCCATAAAACAGACTTATCAAATTAATTAAATCTAAGTTTGGCTAAATCACAGGTCAGTTTGATCAAAATAGTTGTTTAGTTCTCTAATAGATACAATCTTAGTGGTAGGTAGTTCTATCAAATCCTAATGTACCTAATATACCTCAATACCTTATTACCTATGTCCATCAAGAGTCTGGAATTTAAATTCTGAAAGACATCATATTCTTTAACAAAATATACTTTTTGTTAGGAGGCAGCATAAGAACTGGATGACATCTAGTGGCAGTTTTTGCAACAACAGTTGTGAGTTCCAATGATTCAATTATTGCCTTGTTTTAAATGCAATTCTCTATAGGTGGCTTTAGGCTGCTTATTTACAACTCCTTCTTTTTTAAAAAAATAGCTATTACTTCAATTATAGATTTATGATATATGAGAGTCAAATTCTGTTTTTCTACAGCTTTGGGCATATGGAAGGTCAGTCCCATATCTCAAAACGTATAGTTTGTTGTTTTCACAAACACTGTCCTTTTGATCATTGTCTTCAAATACATTCCTTCTATATACACAGCACAGAAAAATCATATTTCTTATCTAGTAAAATCAGTTTTTTTCACATTCAAATGTGTTGAAAATTATTTTAAAGTTACCATATTAAAACTGAAATCTTTTGTTTCATTTTAGTACAAGCCATTCTATTTAAACAAAAAAGAATCACACCTTTATTATTTTAGCTCTCATTAAGTCACCCAACACATTTGTGAACAAAGTCAGATGCATGAAGAAAGACTTATTAAGTGATAAACATAAAAAATAAGAAATATAAACAACAGCTGATGTTTATTGTGGTCATGTCATTTACCAGGCAAGTGTGCTAGGTGATTTACCTATATCATTTAATTTAATCCTCACAGAATCTTTTTTTTTTTTTTTTTTTTTTTGAGACGGAGTCTCGCTCAGTCACCCAGGCTGGGGTGCAACGGCGCGATCTCGACTCACTGCAAGCTCCGCCTCCCAGGTTCACACCATTGTCCTGCCTCAGCCTCCCAAGTAGCTGGGACTACAGGCGCCCGCCACCACTCCCGGCTAATTTTTTTTGTATTTTTAGGGGAGACGGGGTTTCACCGTGTTAGCCAGGATGGTCTTGATCTCCTGACCTCGTGATCCGCCCATCTGGGCCTCCCAAAGTGCTGGAATTACAGGCATGAGCCACTGCACCCGGCCAACCCTCACAGAATCTCTTTACTGTCCATATCTGCATCTCCCGATGAGAAGACTGAGGCTTAGAAAGTTAGGCAACTTGTCTAGGGTCAGACAGCTCAGAAAAGGTAAAGAATTGTCTGACTCTAAAGCCTAATTTGTGACTACTATGTTACAGTGAACATGTAGTTTCAAATCCAATTTAACTCACTGAGTATTTCCTTAATGTAGTCAACAACATTTATCAAATGCTTAGTATGTGACAATAACCCTTCTATATGCACAGATATCCTTTCTTATGCTTATGTGATTTAAGTACCTTACGACCAGTGACAAAATGACATATATTTTTTCAGAGTGACCTTGGCACTATTTATTAGAAATCCTAATAAGTATTCCAAAAGTACTCCTACAATTCTAAAAATACTCCCTTTCACTTATCTGGTTCTTCTATGCAATATGTTCACAAGAGTCCATCATGCATTTGGTGTTTTGGCACTGCATATTTTTTTTCCATGGAGTTCTGTTCAAAGTAAATTTTCTACAAGGAAAAGTGGTAATGATAATTCAAGTCAATGCATATGTATGTCTTTGAGCTGATGAAGATAAAAAGACAATCAGCAATCATAGAAGACAGATCTTTTAAACAAACTGATGACATCTTTATCATTCTTTGACAGTATATCTCATTACTTATTAGAAAAGGGGGTTTACAAGATTAATACATGAAAGAAAAAGACATATTGAAACTACTTTTTATGGACACTTATTTCAACAACTAATTAGATCTTGGATGAAAGTTATTTCTTTCAACTTGCTAAATATGTTTCCCTACTGGGGTTAAGAATTCCAGTTAACAACTCTATTTATAGCTGATAGAAAGTGTTCAAGGGGCTGTATCAGCTTGCCCCACAGTCTGTGTGATTCTGTGGGATAAATCACCATGAGTAAAGTCGTGCAATCTTAAAATGATCTATCACAACTGAAAATCAATATATCAAGCACATAAAATAGTCTAGGATAATTCACTTGCCAAGTAATAAATTACACATGCATATCAATGCCACATGTAATGCAATGCCTCATAAAAAATAAGCTTAAAATTCTTAAACTGTATGATTAATGAAACTAGCACAGTCTGAAAAATATATATTATACTGCTTACACTAACCAATATATTATACTCAGAGTTTTATGCTTCTGAGAAATGGCATTTACATACACAGTATCAACAGTGAAGATAAATCAGGATTTCTTGCACTGAAGTCCAATTATTTGGGTGGTGATTCATGTTTCACTTTTTTAAATGGTGATTTATACTAATGTATTTCTCATAAAATATTTAATACTGCCTACAATTGTTGCCAAAACTATGTTCTAACCACTTCTATCAGGATACCCACAGTAATGCTTCCCAAAGCAATAGTAAATTTGTGAACGTGCATATTTTACAATAAGGTGACAAAATTTCAAATATAGAAAATATTTGTGCTACAAACATTAACTTCCTCCTCAGCCTACCCATCTGCTGCAGATATCCACAATTCATTATGTATGGGGTGCAGAAATTTCACTGGTTTAATGTGATCTGAGCTATGTTCCACTTGACAGTCTGCACTGACCATTGTATTCATGAATGTAACCAAAAACATCTTTTGGAAGAATTCTTTTCATTAGAGAGTACAGACAACATTGACCTTCACATGAGGCCCAATCCTCCTAGAAAACAGATACAGTTAATAAATCTCCCAACTTGTTTGTGTTCCAGAGATCAGTTTTCTGCAAAGAATCAACCTTCCCCAGATGAGTTAGATAAAACTCAAGCATGCCCCCTTGTTTACCTACACCAAGGCCAGATACAGACTCTCCAAGTTCTCATTATCTGTCTCATAAACAAACTGCTTGTCCCCACTGACCACTATGGACAAATGCTTGCTAATTTGAATTGACCAAACTTTAGTCAGGCTTCTCTGCTTCCCTGAAATCCCTAAAATTTGGCCTGTCCTTAGTTTAAGTAAGCACTGGAGTGCTGAACAACCCCCTTTTAATGGCCCCTTTGGGGAATTAGCTACTGCCAAAGAAGACATTTATTTCTTTTGCTCCACTGTCCTATCATGCCACTTACTCATCCTACTTCCAACACCTGGTTATTTCCAGCCTTGTTTATTCTTCCCTGTAAAAGAAGAGCCCTTTCTACCTGAACTTTGAAACACTTACAGATTTTTTGGATAGAAGTGTTCTCCTCATAGCAATAGTCTCTTCCTGCTATTGCAATAATCTTTTAGAAGAAAGTCTCTCCTTGCCTAAGTCTGGATTTTTTTTATTTGGTGCATCAAAAATATTGAGAATAAACTATTGCAAGTTAGTGATGAATATCTTTCTCTTTAAGCTCTGTTCCATGAGAACATTGCATTTTTAATAACAGTGCTATTGAGATATATTTCACATACTATGAAGTTCACCCTTTTAAAGTATACAATTCAAAGGTTTTTAGTATGTTCAGAGCTTTATGCAACTATCACCACTAGGATATTGCATTTTCAACAATGAACCAGTACGGTAGTAAGTTAGTATTCTATTTGTCCTTTAAAATATTGCATGAAAAAATGTGTGTAAATACAATCTCTACATTTATTTTCACTTTTCTTGAGATTGAAATACATACCACAAACATATTTATGAATATATCAATGCCTCCTTTTTTATTATTTTCAAACTTGCATTTAAAAATAGTTTAATTTTATTAATTCACTGATATGGTTTGGCTGTGTCCCCACCCAAATCTCATCTTGAATTGTAGTTCCCATAATCCCCATATGTCACAGGAGGGACCAGGTGGGAGGTAATTGAATCATGGAGGAAATTACCCCCATGCTGCTGTTCTCATGATAGTGAGTTCTCACAAGATCTGATTATTTTATAAGGTGTTTTGCACCTTTTGCTTGGCACTTCTCCTTCCTGCCCTTATATGAAGAAGGATGTGTTTGCTTCCCCTCCAGCCATGATTCTAAGTTTCCTGAGGCACCCATAGCCATGCAGAACTGTGAGTCAATTACACCTCTTTCCTTCATAAATTACTCAGTCTTGGGCAGTCCTTTATAGCTGCATAAGAATGGACTAATACATTCATTATTCTACAAATATTAATTAACATATCTTATACTTTAGGTACTTTGCAAAACTATTCTATCTTATTTAAAGGAAAATATACGATGCTATGACATTCTATAAGCAGGTCAACCTGATCTAGTGGAGATGAGGGTAGGGGTGGGAAATTGGTCAGATAAGGATCTCCTAAAAAATAATTTAATACAACCCAAGTTAACTTAGTAAGTCCCAGGGTAAATTGGTGAGTGATGTGGTAATATAAGTAATGGTCTGTTTTCCTGTATAGGAAACAGCAAATGCCCATGGGCTAGAACTTCATGGATGATAGGTCTGAGTCAGAGACAGCTACTCCATACTCTGACTAAAGATAGGTGGGGTCCTATCAGGCAGGCCTGCAGCATGTCATGTATTTGGGGTTGTATCTCAAGAACAAAGGGAAACCATGGATCAGTGTCATTCAGGGCTGAGAAAAGATGAGATTTGCATTTTAAACAAATCACTCTGGCTTTCGTGCTGAGAAGAGATTGGAGGAGGGCAAAAATGGCCACAAGGAGTACATACATGGCTAAAATTTCAGTCTGGTGATCTGGATCACAAATAGTTTTTATCCTAACTGTATAGTGTTCTGGTTATTTATGATTCTCATCAGTGGTAAGCAACATCACAATATGACATTCCCAGATTTTGGTTTTGGCAATCCAAATTTGAAAGGCACTATATTCGCCTGTTGGAAGAAAAGCCTTTCCCAGAGCTCCTGTGTGTTGGCTGAATTTGGCAAGTTCTGTGGCAGACCATCTGTGCAAAAATTCTCCGATTTCTCTAGCACATTTTGCTCTGTAGCTCTGTTCAGAATAGCCTCAAAATGTCTTCATTATTTCATTCAGTTTCAAGCAAAGGAAAAAGATTTAAGAGCTTCTATAAATGGCTTATGCTCTGTTAATTTTTATTTTTGCTCTTTTATCCTTATCAGTTTGATATCTGAAATTGGTGGTACTAATTACTAACTGATATCTGTTAAGCATATAATTTTAAAACTTCAACTTCTTCCAAGGTTTCTCTCATAAATAATTAAATACATAATTATATGTTAGGCCTTCTGTATTTCTTTCTTGCCCTTTCTTTAGGCCTCTTTCTGTTTGAAATACAGCAAGTCAGGTATATTTTATATTTACTTAGCATAAATATTTATCTGAATTTTTATAATGCATCATCATAAACAGATATTCAACATAATTTCCTAAAAATAATGTAGTGAAGATACTGTGAATAAGAAGGTAGAGCTACAAAGCTATGTTTCTCAGCATAAAGAAATAACAGATAAGAATTTATAAAAGGATGCCAAGTTCAAGATTTTTTTTTAACAAAAGAAGTATTAGTTATTCAGCTCAAGATTTTCCAAAGTAAAAGTAAAAACTATGTTTTGTATGTTCTTTTCAAATTTGGAATTCATAATTTAGGACTTAAATTCTAAATACAATTCAGTTTTCAAATTTAGGGTATAACTGTATTTCTAGTTATTTCAAGAATAAAGTATTATATTTATAAACATCTAAAAATGTTCATAAAGTAAGTTTAATTGCTACCATGTAAATAGTGTCTCAAATTTCAATGAAAGAAAACAAAGATTATGGCTTTTGCCTCATGGCAGATTGGATCTTAAAGAAAATCAGTTTTATGGTTAGGCCTTTTGGTTGATAAATTGCAAACGGAAGAGTAGAAAATAAGGAGAGGATAGAACCTTCCAGAAAGTTGTGGTTGTGTGAGGAAAAGACATACACTGTCATAGCTATAACTAGGAAGGGGAGGAGAGAGCAAATTTAGAAACAAGGGTTTAGAAGGAAAAGATAAGGTGAGAACAACAACAAAAATGGCTGCAGCAGCTATGGTATAAAGAAATTTTGGTGGAAGTTTGTCATTTAAAGAAATGTTTTTACAAAGTCCTGCACTGTATTCTTGTTTGAATTTAATCATGTCTGTTCTTTTGAGAGAAAGAGAGAGAGTGTGTGTTGGAGACAAGGGGAAGGTATTACATAAAGTCTCTTAAGACTGACTCCCAGGAAGCCAAGTTGTTCTTGGGCTACATTTCTATTACAGAAGCTAAATTTAAGAAATGTGAAAATTAGCAGAGGTAAGTTTTTAAAAAATCAACCCTTAAAGTTTGAATTGCAAAGAAATAAATAAATCATTATCAAGATAAACCTAGGGAGTGGTTTGAGTCAAAGCCTGCGCACTCAAGCAGACCAGTTAGAAACCTTGCTCTCCCATTTAGGGTGCAGTGATCTTGATCAACTGATCAAATGATCAATTTTGGCATCTACAAAATGGGAATGATAAAATAATAAAACCAGATTCATAAGGAATAAACTGAATAATGGGTATAAAATTCCCACTACAGTAGTTAGAAGATAGTAATTTCTCAATAAATGGTGGTTCTTATTATTTTCATTAACTTTCCAAAAGAGAATCAAAATGTTAATGAAGCGTATGCTGTTTTGGGGACATTATCTTATCTGGTAACATAATTTTGTCAAAAGCAATAAAGTTTATGTATTCAAGTATTTATGCCAAGAAATAGATATCAGTCAATGCATCCCTACAGTTTTAAGAGCCAAGACACTTCATGTTATAAAAACAGATATATTTCTATAGGACTATGTAAAATATATTTTTTTAGATGTAAGTTTATTAAGGTCAAAGTCGATACACAAAGACATACGCACAGACACACATACATACACAGAGTTTAATAAATAGGCATATGCTATTTAATAGCAGCCATGATACATAGATCACCACTCAATCCCCCTAAGCCACACCACGCATTTATTCTTTCACTTTGAATAATATTGTCTACTTCTTTACAATGAGATATAACTGTCTTTAAATCTTTCCATGTTCTTCACACTCATTTCTGATCAGAATCCTTCCTTCCTTTCAGTTTAGGGGTAAACTTTGCAAAGTCAGTCCTTTATTTTATAGTAGTTCTCTCCTTACTCTTAATTCCCCATTCTGCCACTTTCAATGAAATTTGCTCAATTTACTTTCTCACTCTTCACATATTTCATCTCATGAGAAGTGGGAAGACAATTAGTTTTGCATCTCTTTCCTGAAGTAATTTAAATTAAAAACATTCTCTAATTTGAAAAATGTGCTCTTGATTCTCCTGTTCACATGAAAACATCCTGTCGAAAAAGTGCTACTTAATCTATGAAGATTCTGTGATTCCATTTGAAGAAGTTAGAAGCTATGTCCTCTGTGCTTCCAAAATATTGTGTGCATACTTTCACTATCTTCTGATCTTTCTCTGCACACCAAATGCAGGCATTTTATTAACAGACTGTGTCCTGAAGCATTCATATAATCAACCTTCCTCCATCTATCTTATCTCTACCCTGGCCTCATGCTCCATCCCAACTGTATGGGGCCTCAAACTCCCCTTCATTTGAGATTAGATGGTATTTCCACAGAAATGATCTATTCTTCCTTGTGCAATTGTTCTTGGATGTCTGTGTGTGTTTTCTTCCATTCCACTGACCAGAATTCCTTGGCAACTCGAGCCCTGTATTTTATCCTGGACCATGTAGAAGAAAAGACAATTATGGCCATTAACAAAGTGTATTTTAATGCTAAGTATTTGTGTGGGTGCATCTTTTTTCTTTCCAGGATATGAGCTCTTTGAGGCCATTATAATTTTTAGCAAATGTAGACTCAGTTCCAAATCCTATTGCTTTTCTTCTCTTTCTATTCTCTCTTTTGAGATAATATCATCTATGTTTATGGCTTCAATTATCTTCTATATGCAGATGACTCACAAATTTATATTTCTAACTCAGTCTTCATTGTAAACACTATACACACATATCTAACCAAGAAGTAAACTTCTTCTCTGGGATGTTTCTAGATATCTCCTCTGAGATACATCTTAAAACCTAACTTCACCAAAACTGAACTTATGAATACTCTCCATGTATATCTAAATCCTTTCTTATACCTAATCCTCTCCTAGTATCTACTGTTTTAATTCATGGCATTGTGATTCTGCTAGTTAGGTAAACCAGACCCTTCAAGGTCATACTTTACCCCCATATGCATCCATCACCAAGGTCTATTGACTTCACTTCCTAAAGGTATCTCAATTATGTTCACTTGTCTACCTGCTATACAAGTATCCTAAAAGAAATGACAGTTTTCTTTCCTTGGGACTTCTTTCTAACTTTTGTGACCACATCTACTCTAGCCTCCTATTAATACGTTCTCCAGAATTATCTTGCTGCCAAAATTATCTTTTCAAAGCACAAATCTAATTCATCTCTTTGCTTAAAACATTTCAATGGTTGTTATTTTTTCTTGAAAAAAATTAAATCATGGGTTGTACATCCATGTTTATTCCTGTGCAATTCACAATTGCCAAGATATGGAATCAACCTAAGTGCTCATCTACAGATGAATAAAGAAAATGCAACACACACACACACACACGCACACACACACACACACACACACACACACACACACACAGTGGAATACTATTTATCCATAAAACAGAATGAATCCTGTCATTTGCATAACATGCATAAGCTTGCAGAACTTTTGTTAAGTGAAATTATTCAGGCACAGAAAGACAAACACTGCACTATCTCATTCATATGTGATACCTAAAAGAGTTGATTTCGTAGAAATAGAGAGTAGAATAGTGGTTACCAGATACTGGCGAGGGGTGAGTGGTGGAGAAGGGGGTTGCTGGGAGAGCTTGGTCAATGAATGGAAAGTTATAGTCAGACAGGAAGCATAAGTTTTGGTGTTCCATTACACAGTAGGGTGGCTATGGCTAATAACAATGCAGTGTGTATTTCAAGCTAGCTAGAATAGAAGATTTTGAATGTTGTCACCACAAATAAGTGATCAATATTTAAGGTGATAAATATGATAATTAACCCCATTTGACCGTTATACTATGTATAATGCATTGAAATGGCACACTGTACCTCATAAATATAATTATTATGCATCAATTACAAAAATTGAGTCAAAACTTCATTTTTGTCCTATAATTTTAGAACGGTCTACCTCATTCCTTTCCAGGCACACTGGCCTTCTTTCTCTCATCTTAGTTGCTCTGTGCCTAAAAGTCTTCACCTTTACACATGATGTTCCCCTTGCCTGGAGTACTCCACCTTGTTCCTAACACATCTGGCTTTACCTAGTCTATTATTAGTTATCCTTTGTAGTTTTGCTTTTGTATCATATGCTCTGAAAACATTGTGACATCTTTGATGAGGTCAGATCCACCTTTTATATTCTCTTATTGTCCTATATATCTCTTCTCTATAGCACTTATTACAATTGCCTAGTTACATTTTCTGTAATTTTTTCCCATCATTATTTTTCCAAGGACAATTTCATACACACAGTAGGTGCTTAATATATGTTTTTCAATGGACAAATGAAGAGGGAATCAACATATCTAATTTGTACTTGTAGTCCCAATGTTTTCTAGAGTGCTGTGGATATGGTAGGTTCAAACACTACTTAGGGAGAGGGATAAAAATAAAAAGAAGCACTTCTCTCACAAAAATACTCACTCTTAAAAAGCTTAATTATGACATATTTGACTTGCTGAACTGAAAATTAATAAAACAGACATATTAAAACAATTTTAACCTGTCCTAAAATAGTTAGCAGAATTTAAAATCTTAGAACAATAAGATTTTGTGTTTCCCACACAGTATTTTTTTTAAATCTGAAAGTTAAAATCTACGTCAACTATCAACTCATTTCTGAAGCCTCCTGATTCCTTTAGAGAGAGCTGGATGCTATTTCCTCGGTGCTTCTGCTTATGTCATTAAATCACCTACATTCAACATCATAAAGCTATATTTAATAGTTGCAGAAAGACAGGGTGACCTAAGAAGTACACTGATTAATCTTTATTAACCAATAAAACCAAAGAACAAAAGTAAGATGCCATCAGAAATCAAAGATTCTAAACACAGTTTCAGCTATTCCGCTGTGGATTCATTTATTCAATTGCTGCACAAAAGATTTTATCCTCATCTGTTACATAAGCTAATATTTCTGAGCTACCAATATTAAGCATTCTTCATTGTTTTATAAAAAACGAGGATATAGGATCAGAAAAAAATAGAGCAGTGTCTATTAATTCACTATTACATGGAGGTTTGCCACATGGGCAATTTTATGTATTATTGTTTTATGATATTCTATATCATGAAGACATTTATTCAAAATTCTCAGCTGAGTAACTGATAAACTTTAACCATCCTGTAGAAAATACACACCTACATTCTAATATACTCTGTTGTTAAAGAGATGGTACTAAATTAAGCTTTATTAATTAACTGCTAGGCATGACTTCAAGATCTTTTTTCAGGTTTGTTGAAAAGTAATTTAATTCATTAAAAACTCATATAACTTAAAGTCATGAATTGTGTTGATTTGGGTTGGTTAACTTAGTCTATTTTTGAAAATACATAGTAAGACATCAGGGGCATTTACTTTGCCTCACCTGGAAATTGACTTAAGGCACAGCCTACTGGTTTTCAGTGAATCAGAAGTAATTGCTTGCTAAATGAGCTTTAGAGCAATGCTATGTCTTGATTAACCATTCTCTTTTTCATCTTTTGTAAAATTGCTCATTAATCAATATGCTCCCAAAGAAATTTGCATTCGATACAATGCAATCATACTTGTTTTAATACAATCTGAAATTTAATTCAGTGATTTACTTGAAGTAGTCTTAAATTATTTACAGTAAAGAACTGTAAGCATATGTTTTCTAGAAAGTTCCTAAAGTTCTCTAGAAGAAAATGTGATATTATCAGCGCATTTCCTAATACCAGTATTACTTTGCAAACAGAACGTAGGTTTCAAAAATGCAGTGTGAAGAAAATACTCTTTGAGAGTAAACTCCTAAGCATATCTTGTAGCTGTGATTTTGTTCAGGTCTATATAAATAATTTATCAGATGGTTTTCATCTTTAAAAAATTTACCTATCTCTTGAGGATAATTAAAACCCAGAGTTATGTTCTACTTTCTCAGAAAGAACAATATAACTATTGATTGACTAAAATGGATTTAAAGCAGAGGTATAAAAATAATCACAGAGACTATTAGCAAAATTCATAGCAAAAAATTCTTAATCAACATTATGAGTTGACTGGCAAATTTTATATGTAGTTTTATCAGGAATATTTGAAATTTTAATTCTTCTAACATGTGATAACATTCTATTCTGGAGTGGAATTATATTTACATACAGGTAAAACTTCCTAAAATTTCCGAAAATATGATTTTTAAATAATTTTTAAGCATCTTTTTTTTTTGCATTTACATTTATGTAAAATCAGGCATGTGCTCAGAAAAAGAGCTCCCTAAGCACAGGATCAAAACATTTGGGGGAAGAAATGTAACATGTAGCCAGTTTTCTACATGCTGGTCATTATGCCAACAGTGCTATGGCTACTGGTTGCTTTCACTCTCCTTTTCTGGTGTACTTTCTTTTAGGATTTTGCAAATTTTTCTTTACTCAGTTTTAGTCACTCTTCTGTTCATGCCAGAAAATCAGAAATTTTTACCTTGTTTTCAAATCCCCAGACTATACTCTTAATATTTTTAAAATTATTTTTGTTATAACCTCTTTTTCTCAAGGATTGTAGTGTCAAATACAGTTCTAACATTACTGTTGAAATAGGAACACTTTTACACTGTTGGTGGGACTGTAAACTAGTTCAACCATTGTGGAAGTCAGTGTGGCGATTCCTCAGGGATCTAGAACTAGAAATACCATTTGACCCAGCCATCACATTACTGGGTATATACCCAAAGGACTATAAATCATGCTGCTATAAAGACACATGCACACGTATGTTTACTGTGGCATTATTCACAATAGCAAAGACTTGGAACCAACCCAAATGTCCAACAATGATAGACTGGATTAAGAAAATGTGGCACATATACACCATGGAATACTATGCAGCCATAAAAAATGATGAGTTCATGTCCTTTGTAGGGACATGGATGAAACCGGAAATCATCATTCTCAGTAAACTACCGCAAGAACAAAAAACCAAACACCGCATATTCTCACTCATAGGTGGGAATTGAACAATGAGAACACATGGACACAGGAAGGGGAACATCACACTCTGGGGCCTGTTGTGGGGTGGGGGGAGGGGGGAGGGATAGCATTGGGAGATATACCTAATGCTAGATGACGAGTTAGTGGGTGCAGCGCACCAGCATGGCACATGTATACATATGTAACTAACCTGCACATTGTGCACATGTACCCTAAAACTTAAAGTATAATAATAAAAAAAAATAAAATAAAATTCAATTCTGAATTACCGGGCATTGATACAGAAGAAATAAAAACATACATCTATGTTGTACACTTGTACACAAATGTTTTTAGGGATTTTATTCTTAAAAGTCAAATATCATAAATAAGCTCAATATCTGTCAAACTGATGAATGAATGATTAAAAACAAAAAGTCCCATATCACAAACATTCATACCAAATATCCTAAAATAGGGAAAAGACTCACATTTTAATTTAATAATTATTCCCTTATGTAAGTTAAAAGGACTTAGTTTAGTCCAATCATCCAATAGTAAATTGCATCTTTTTATTTTTACAACAACTATTTTGTCTAATGAAATAAACATCTATATTTTAAGCATATATAATACAGTATACTAATATTATAAAGTAATAGTTTGATTTAAATTATATGGTCTGACTTTTAAACCATAATCAGTCAGGGGACCTGCAAAAACACTCATTTGGAAATATATAAAATATACTATTAATTTGCAAAGCAGTACTAAAGATATTTAAAAATCTATCCCTCGGAAACAATCTCATGTACATAAACACACCCTAGTACCATAAATCACAGTGTTATCAAATTAGAATAGTAAAAGCAAGTTTCTTTTCCAGACGTTTTCTTTTTTGATTTAAGAGATTTGTATTTTACCCTCTCTTTGGGAGTGTCTAGCTATAGCTTTTAGGTAAAAATAGAGTCCTGGTGACCATGGGTTTTTGGCATACAGCAATTACTAAATGAATGTTTTTTAACTGAATAACTGAACAGACTAATGGATGAATAATCTTGCTTAAATGATTTTTACATAGTCTCCTTGCTTTTAGGCTTTTCCTCACCTCCAAGCCATTATGTGAATACTGCTAAATCAATCACCTTCGTATGATTTCATATGAAGTTTTCTCAGAAAAACTTTCTTAGTTCTATAAACCCATAATTTATGGATTCTAGTATGAGTTTCCGTGTTCTCCATAAAATGAACTCAGGTTTTCATTCCATATGTATCTTTCCCCTTTCCCCTACAATAACTGTAGCTCCAGACAAACTTATCTACTCATGACCTCTCAAACTTTTTCAGATTGTTTTCTTCTCTATTGTCATGCTTTTACACATAACCTTCCAAACCCTAATCCATCATTTAAAGAACTGTTGAGATTCTTAATCCTCAGTAAAAGTTCTCCTGACAACCACAGCCAAGGCTGTATTCAGGAACATTGATTAGAAATTGTTGCCTGTGTCTTGTGATTTGGAAGTCATCAGGGATGCAGTAGAAGGACTCACATCTACACAAACCAACCAACCACCAAGCCCTCATCATAAAGGGTAGAGCTGGCCTGTTACATATTCAGCTATCCCCTTCCAATAACAACATTGATACCCAATTTATCAGGAAGTCTTGCCTGCTCTGACTCCAAAATATATTCCTTCCATCCATGTCTCCACCTTTGCTGCTGCTGCTGCTTATGATTATTTACCGCCATTTCTTGCATGGACAACTGCAAGAAGTCTCCTCACTTCCACTCTGGTGCTCATATATTCCCCATTCCTCACTCCTACGCCCCCAACTCCGCAAATCCATTCTCCACATGTCAGCCATATTATTTAAATAAATATAAATCTCTTAGGTTTAAATATAAACTTCCCAACCTCTAGAGCCATTAAGACTCCAAAGATTTCCCAATATATTTAGAATAAAAAATGAGACCCCATGGATATAAATGTCTACATGAACCGTACCCTGACTATCCTCTAATCTCATTTTCCATCTTTCTCTTCTTGTTTCCTATGTTGTTAGATGAGCTGCTTACTGTTCATAGAATATGACAACTCAGATCCACCTTGAGGAATTTGTACTTCCGTTTTGTTTGCCCTGTAAATTTAAATTTACATCCTCAGATCATCATGTGGCTGGTTCACTTCTGTCTTTCAGATACCAGTTCTGATGTTAGTTTCTCGAAGAATCCCTCCTTATGCAATAAGCGTTAACACAGACACCACAGTCATTCTCTTACAGTCTTTATTTTGGAGCATTTATTACTAATGAAATAATACTACATTGTTTATTCATGTACTACTTTTTTTTTTTCCTATTTACCTTGACTAGAATGCAAGCTCAAAGAGAACCAAAACACTGTTGATGTCTCCAGTATCCAGGATCTTGTTCATTTCTACGTCTCCAATATCTAGAACAGTGCCTGTCAGAAAACCGTGGGCAATCAAAAAATGCCTTTTTTTGAGAAAATAAAGGAAAATAAAATAATAAATAAAAGAATTAAACAAAACTACTCATGTGCAACCACTTTGGACACTCTCAAAGTGATGTTAATATTACAGACATCTATTTGAAACTCAGCTAAATACTTCCTTGTACTAGTTACAATATTATTTTATTTTAAATTCCTTCATTTATTCATCTGGAATTATTAAGTAGGCACTATGTGCCCTAAAGGACACAATAGAAGACTCCACAAATTCATGACAAACATCCTGGAAATGAGATGGAGGAGACTGCAGCTTAGGTTGAGGTGGGGAGAACACCTAGGAAAGGATTACCTGAGGATGTAACATTCAAATGGAGACCTTAAAGGATGATCAAGAAGCAATAAATCAGGAATAAGAGTGAGGGAGGTAGAAGACTATGTTCATTAAATTCTTTATATTCCTAATTACCCAGCAGTGTTCTTCAAACCAGAACTAGAATTTAAACAAAGTAGAAACATCACACAGGCAGTGAACAGTAGCTATTATATTTAGTCTTCTACTTCTTACAGGGCCAGAGTGCCGAGGGGTAATGCAGAGGGAGAGAATAGGAAAATAATATTTATTAATGCCTATTAAGTGCCAATTTAAGCCAAGAGTTTTTACATGAATAATATTATTTTGCTGTCTCAACAGCCCTGTTGCAGAGGCTCCTAAATAATTGAACATCCTAAATCGTACTTATGGCTGAGGTTCTAAGTAGGCCTATTTTGACTCCCCAAAATCCATGTTCTTTTCTAATATGTTCTCTGACTAGGTCAGTGGTTCTCAATCCTGGCTGCATATTAGAATCAGAAAGCTGAGGCCCTCCAGACTAATAACGTCAAAATGTCTGGGCTTGGAACCCGGGATTCAGTGGTAGTTAAAGTTCCTCAGGTGATTTTGACATGCAGCCAAGTTTGGGAATCACTGGTCAAAACAAGGACAGAGCACCAGCCAGTTTAATTGATTTACTTTGGTTATCTCATCCATATTTCTGCTTTTAAGCAGGATAACACTTAAACCACAATAGGCAAAAAAGATGATTCTACTTTTTGGCATGGCCTCTTTAATGCATTAGTCCTGAAAAGTCAACTGTGAAGGTTGAAACAGCATAACTAAATAATTAAGCTACTTTTTTCTCTCAACACACCAGGTTCAGTGTCTGTTTTAATAATTCCTAGCTCCACCAGCATATGCTATCAGATTTAATTCTCTGTGGTCTGGCACTACATATTTTTAGTAACCTTAGCTTTAGAAAGAACAGAAGGAAGTTAACACCATTTACATAACTACAGGAACATGATTTATTTAAGTTTGCAAAAAAAATCACAGGAGAATTCATGAAACTTAAAAATTCATTTTCTTTTAACTGCTACAACAAACATCAGGTGGCACTTAACAAAAATGCTGTTGTATGTATTATTATTAGATAAGTCATCTGCAGCTTAATATAAAAGGAATTAACAATGCTTGTAGCCATTATTTCCAAATGAGACAATATATTCCCCTTACCCTAGGCTATAAAATATTTTTCTATCTCAGAGATAACTTTGTGATCTTTATCTTACACTTGTCATGACGTTTATCACTGCCAGCATTAGACTTTGTAAATAAATGCCTAATTTGAATGTCCTTTTAGATCCTTGAGGTAAAGCAATGAGTCATATCTTAGAAAAGTATTTTGTACAAATCAATAGATATCTTGATCTTTGGTTCATCATATAAGTTCATATGACTAATAACTACTTAGCAAAAGATCACTGAAAATTAAAACCATATGATGTCATTATGTGACCCTCTAACCCAATGATTCCTCTTTCCGCTGTATTATACACATATTCATTAATCACAAACTTGATTCATTATTGGGAATAATAGAATACAGATAGACTAGAGTTTACTTTTTTCTTCAAAAAAATTGTTTTCTTTGGAAGTCACCTTTGCATATCAGATTGTGAAGTGAGCAGTATAGAGAGAGAAACAAGAGAACAAATTTAATTGTAATTTCATTATGCTTATGACATGGTTATTTTATTTTAGGAATAAAATAACACAGTGATGACAAAGAGTTGATTTAATCTCTTCATTAGGGAAGTCCTGATATTTACTGGAAATATCTTATTAGCTACTAGCTTAATTTATATATAGCAAAATGTAACAAAAGTATATTTGTTTTAAAAATCATTACGCTAATGTAGACTTTTTTCCAAATTTTAACTATATTTTATCCTTCATAACTTAATCCGAATCTTTTTTTTTCACTTGGAAATATTTTTATTTATATTTCAATGTAAATAGAGTCCCCTGCTTCAAAATTTCTTTTTTTAATTATTATTATTATACTTTAAGTTTTAAGGTACATGTGCACAATGTGCAGGTTAGTTACATATGTATACATGTGCCATGCTGGTGTGCTGCACCCATTAACTCGTCATGTAGCATTAGGTATATCTCCTAGTGCTATCCCTCCCCACTCTCCCCAACCCCACAACAGTCCCCAGAGTGTGATGTTCCTCTTCCTGTGTCCATGTGTTGTCATTGTTCAATTCCCACCTATGAGTGAGAACATGCGGTGCTTGGTTTTTTGTCCTTGTGATAGTTTCCTGAGAATGATGATTTCCAATTTCATCCATGTCCCTACAAAGGACATGAACTTATCGTTTTTTATGGCTGCATAGTATTCCATGGTGTATATGTGCCACATTTTCTTCATCCAGTCTACCATTATTGGACATTTGGGTTGCTTCCAAGTCTTTGCTATGGTGAATAGTGCCGCAATAAACATACGTGTGCATGTGTCTTTATAGCAGCATGATTTATACTCCTTTGGGTATATGCCCAGTAATGGGATGGCTGGGTCAAATGGTATTTCTAGTTCTAGATCCTTGAGGAATCGCCACACTGACTTCCACAACGGTTGAACTAGTTTACAGTCCCACCAACAATGTAAAAGTGTTCCTATTTCTCCACATCCTCTCCAGCACCTGTTGTTTCCTGACCTTTTTAATGATTGCCATTCTAACTGCTGTGAGATGATATCTCATTGTGGTTTTGATTTGCATTTCTCTGATGGCCAGTGATGGTGAGCATTTTTTCATGTGTTTTTTGGCTGCATGAATGTCTTCTTTTGAGAAGTGTTTGTTCATGTTCTTTGCCCACATTTTGATGGGGTTGTTTGTTTTATTCTTGTAAATTTGTTTGACTTCATTGTAGATTCTGGATATTAGCCCTTTGTCAGATGAGTAGGTTGCAAAAATTTTCTCCCATTTTGTAGGTTGCCTGTTCACTCTGATGGTAGTTTCTTTTGCTGTGCAGAAGCTCTTTAGTTTAATTAGATCCCATTTGTCAATTTTGGCTTTTGTTGCCATTGCTTTTGGTGTTTCAGACATGAAGTCCTTGCCCATGCCTATGTCCTGAATGGTAATGCCTAGGTTTTCGTCTAGGGTTTTTATGGTTTTAGGTCTAACGTTTAAGTCTTTAATCCACCTTGAATTCATTTTTGTATAAGGTGTAAGGAAGGGATCCAGTTTCAGCTTTCTACATATGGCTAGCCAGTTTTCCCAGCACCATTTATTAAATAGGGAATCCTTTCCCCATTGCTTGTTTTTTTTCAGGTTTGTCAAAGATCAGATAGTTGTGGATATGCAGCATTATTTCTGAGGGCTCTGTTCTGTTCCATTGGTCTATATCTCTGTTTTGGTACCAGTGCCATGCTGTTTTGGTTACTGTAGCCTTGTAGTATAGTTTGAAGTCAGGTAGTGTGATGCCTCCAGCTTTGTTCTTTTGGCTTAGGATTGACTTGGCGATGCAGGCTCTTTTTTGGTTCCATATGAACTTTAAAGTAGTTTTTTTCCAATTCTGTGAAGAAAGTCATTGGTAGCTTGATGGGGATGGCTTTGAATCTATAAATTACCTTGGGCATTATGGCCATTTTCACGATATTGATTCTTCCTACCCATGAGCATGGAATGTTCTTCCATTTCTTTGTATCCTCTTATTTCATTGAGCAGTGGTTTGTAGTTCTCCTTGAAGAGGTCCTTCACGTCCCCTGTAAGTTGGATTCCTAGTTATTTCATTCTCTTTGAAGCAATTGTGAATGGGAGTTCACTCATGATTTGGCTCTCTGTTTGTCTGTTATTGGTGTATAAGAATGCTTGTGATTTTTGTACATTGATTTTGTATCCTGAGACTTTGCTGACGTTGCTTACCAGCTTAAGGAGATTTTGGTCTGAGACAATGGGGTTTTCTAGATACAATCATGTCGTCTGCAAACAGGGACAATTTGACTTCCTCTTTTCCTAATTGAATACCATTTATTTTCTTCTCCTGCCTAATTGCCCTGGCCAGAACTTCCAACACTATGTTGAATAGGAGTGGTGAGAGAGGGCATCCCTGTCTTGTGCCAGTTTTCAAAGGGAATGCTTCCAGTTTTGCCCATTCAGTATGATATTGGCTGTGGGTTTGTCATAGATAGCTCTTATTGTTTTGAGATATGTCCCATCAATACCTAATTTATTGACAGTTTTTAGCATGAAGGGTTGTTGAATTTTGTCAAAGGCCTTTTCTGCATCTATTGAGATAATCAAGACAAATCTGAATCTGTTTTTAAAAATATTTATTTTGTAAATTTAGCAGTATAAAACAAATATAATAATATCTTCAAGGTTAATCTCAAATCATATTTTTGACATCATCAAAATTACATTGACTTTAGCCATTTTATATCACACTGTCAGATATTGGCAAAAGAGAATTCTTCTGACTTGTCACTTAATATTTTAAGTTATCTGCGGTTAACCAAGATTTGTCGAAAAAGTGACAGGTCAAATTTTCTCATGATATGTTGAAAATGTGGAGCTGGTACATTTGATCTGTACACTGTGACAATGACTCAAACATGAAGTAGGGAAAAATTGATGCCATCTGTCTCACCCTACAAAGAGAGTCAGCATGTGGTCTAGTTTATTTTATGCTGATGACAAACAGTCTACATTTACTTTCTGTAGTCAATTTCATAATATAATAGGATTAACTGTGCACATTCCCCTGTTATTCAGCAATATTTGCTCATTCACTTCTATAATACCATTGTTCTGTTGGTATTTTCAAGCTTTTTTTTTGTATCTTTTCTTATTACATTCATTGGCATATAGCCAGTAATATTTGTTATATTTGTGTGTGTGCTCCTTACATGACAGTTTTCTCTGAATTATATTACCTACTTTAATATGGGCTTCCTTTTAAAGTAGTTTACTACTTCCAATTTCTTCTGAATTTAGAATATATTCTCAAATAATATGACATAGAATATATTTGAAACAAGAATTTCTTCTTGATTATACTATTCTTTATGTCTGCATTTGTGACATAATAAGAAATATATATTTGGTCTGCCTCTCACCCCATTTCCTGGCACACAGCGTCTAAAATTCTTGAAATGGCCAAATGTAATAAGTGTATTTTTGTATGCTAATGAGATGCCCAGTGGCTCTGAGCTACTGGATAACTTTCAGATGAGAGCTGGTTGCCAGGGGAACCAACCTTGTGATTAGAGGGTAAGAACTTTCATTTTTATTTATTTATTTTTTTTTTGAGACAGAGTTTCACTCTGCTGCTCAGGCTGGAGTGCCACGGCGTGGTCTTGGCTCACTGCAACCTCCACCTCCTAGGTTCAAGTGATTCTCCTGCCTCACCCTCCTGAGTAACTGGGATTATGGATGCCTGCCACCATACCCGGCTAATTTTTGTATTTGTAATAGAAACAGGGTTTCACTATGTTGGCCAGACTGGTCTCGAACTCCTGACCTCAGGTGATCCACTGGCCTTGGCCTCCCAAAGTGCTGGGATTACAGGAGTGAGCCACCTGCCCGGCCAAGGGTAAGAACTTTCAACCCTAATCTCAGACCTTCTCTAGGAGGGGTCTGAAGGTTGAATAGGTTACCAGCAGTCAATGATTTTATCAATCATGCCTACATAAGGAAGCCTCTTTAGAAACTCAAAAGGATAGCGTTTGGAGACCTTCCAGGTTACTGAACACCTGGAGGTGCTGAGACGGTAGTAGGCCTGGAGAGGACAGGGAAGCTCCCTGCCCATTTCCACATACCTTGCCCTATGTACATCTTTATCTAGTTATTGATCTCTACCCTTTTTTTTTTTATAAGAAGCCAGTAATTGTTTTTACCTGATTTCTGTGAGCCATTCTAGCAAATAATCAAACCCAAGAAGATGGTTTGATTTATAGCCAGTTGGTCAGAAGCACAGGTTGCAACTTAGACTTGCGATTGGCATCTGAAGTAGAGAGCATCTTTTGAGACTGAGCTATTAACCTGTAGGATCTGACACTGTCTCTAGGATATTATTATGATTGAGTTAAATTGCTGAACACCCAGTTGGTATCCATTGAGAACTGGAGAATTGCTTAGTATGGGAAAAAACCCACGTATTTGGTGACCAGAAGTGAAGTGGTGGTGTGAGTGTTGAATGAGACTATAGAGAAAAACAGTTTTTCCTCATGCAGACAAAGATGTTTCACCTTCTGCTGTAGAGAATCACAAAACATTGATGCATCTGAGCAGAGAAATAATACAACCAGCTATTTCTGGCAGAAATGCAGAAGGAAAATTGGATTAGAGTAGGGTTCTAATGAAATGATACAGATGAAAGAACTGAACATAAAGCTATGAGATGAAGAGAAGAAGATGGAAATTACAGATATCCAGGAAATAGAATTCGCAAGATTTAATTATCAAGGAAGATGGGGATAGGATTCTTGAGGAAATGAGAGGTCTATCATGTCACGTAAGTTTTTAGCTTGAGCGATTGACTGATATTTGCAAAACTTGAGATAGGAAATGAGGAAGGTGGATTAGGTTAGAGGGAAAGACGATGAGTTTTTCAACAAAGTGAACAAAAGATATTATTTGTATGTCCAGGTGAGCTGCTTCCATGGTTTGGCAACTTAGGAAGCTAATTTAATGAAGGACATGGTTGATGGTGTCAAATGTTTCAAGAAAACCCAGTAAGATGAGACCTCAAAAGACATATACAGATTTCGCAGTTAAGTGGTCATCAGTAACTTTGTTGGAGTCTTTTTGGTGAGGCCAGAAGCCTTACCATGCTAGTTTAAGAAGGAATCAAAGTTGCTAAAATTAATATAGAGGACACTTATATTTTGAGATTGTGCTTTTAAAGGGAAGGAATCTAAAGCATATTTAAAAGCAGGTAGAAAGCTGATAGAGAGTATTTTATTTTTATTTTTAATAGGAGAAACTTGAACATATTTCACTCTAGAAGAAGTAAATCAGGATGGTGGAAATATTAAAGATAAAGTAAAAATGATAAAAATTGGTTTGCTAAGACTCAGCAGATTTTGGAGGAATCAGATTAAACAAAGAAATTGTGGGTAACGTCTTTATCTAAGACTGCAGGAAAGGATGTGAGGATAAATGCAGATAATAGTACTTGGAGGAGTATAAGGAGTTTGTACTAGCCAGTCTTAAAATTCTTAAAGACTTTAGTCAATTATTTTGTCTTGGTTTTATTTTATGAAGCATTTTGTTTATACAATATGGTATCTAATTACATACATTTAAAAAATTAATGTAACTAAAAATATTTGTTTGTACGAATGTGCTGTAATGTGTATTAGTTTTCCACAGTTAGCATTTGAGACAGTTAAATTTCAAGTATATTCTTCAAACTATCTAATTTACATATGACTTTTTTTATACTTTAAGTTCTAGGGTACATGTGCACAATGTGCAGGTTTGTTACATATGTATACATGTGCCATGTTGGTGTGCTGCAACCATTAACTCGTCATGTAGCATTAGGTATAGCTCCTAATGCTATCCCTCCTCCCTCCCCCAACCCCACAACAGGCCCCGGTGTGTGATGTTCCCCTTCCTGTGTCCAAGTGTTCTCATTGTTCAATTCCCACCTATGAGTGAGAACATGCGGTGTTTGGTTTTTTGTCCTTCTGATAGTTTGCTGAGAATGATGGGTTCCAGCTTCATCCACGTCCCTACAAAGGACATGAACTCATCCTTTTTTATGGCTGCATAGTATTCCATGGTGTATATGTGCCACATTTTCTTCATCCAGTCTATCATTGATGGACATTTGGGTTGGTTCCAAGTCTTTGCTATTGTGAATAGTGCTGCTATAAACATACATGTGCATGTGTCTTTATAGCAGCATGATTTATAATCCTTTGGGTATATACTCAGTAATGGGATGGCTGGGTCAAATGGTATTTCCAGTTCTAGATCCCTGAGGAATCGCCACACGGTCTTCCACAATGGTTGAACTAGTTTACAGTCCCATCAACAGTGTAAAAGTGTTCCTATTTCTGCACATCCTCTCCAGCACCTGTTGTTTCCTGACTTTTTAGTGATCGCCATTCTAACTGGCGTGAGATGGTATCTCATTGTGGTTTTGATTTGCATTTCTCTGATGGCCAGTGATGATGAGCATTTCTTCATGTGTCTTTTGGCTGCATAAATGTTGTCTTTTGAGGAGTGTCTGTTCATATCCCTTGCCCACTTTTTGATGGGGTTGTTTGTTTTTTTCTTCTAAATTTGTTTGAGTTCATTGTAGATTCTGGATATTAGCCCTTTGTCAGATGAGTAGATTGCAAAAATTTTCTCACATTCTGTAGGCTGCCTGTTCACTCTTACAGTAGTTTCTTTTGCTATGCAGAAGCTCTTTAGTTTAATTAGATCCCATTTGTCAATTTTGGCTTTTGTTGCCATTGCTTTTGGTGTTTTAGACATGAAGTCCTTGCAAATGCCTATGTCCTGAATGGTATTGCCTAGGTTTTCTTCTAGGGTTTTTATGGCTTTAGGTCTAACATTTAAGTCTTTAATCCATCTTGAATTCATTTTTGTATAAGGTGAAAGGAAGGGATCCAGTTTCAGCTTTCTACATATGGCTAGCCAGTTTTCCCAGCACCATTTATTAAATAGGGAATCCTTTCCCTATTTCTTGTTTTTGTCAGGTTTGTCAAAGATCAGATGGTTGTAGATGTGTGGTATTATTTCTCTGGGCTCTGTTCTGTTCCATTGATCTATATCTCTGTTTTGGTACCAGTATCATGCTGTTTTGGTTACTGTAGCCTTGTAGTATAGTTTGAAGTCAGGTAGTGTGATGCCTCCAGCTTTGTTCTTTTGGCTTAGGATTGTCTTGGCAATGTGGGCTCTTTTTTTGGTTCCATATGAACTTTAAAGTAGTTTTTTCCAATTCTGTGAAGAAAGTCATTGGTAGCTTGATGGGGATGCCATTGAATCTATAAATTACCTTGGGCATTATGGCCATTTTCACGATATTGATTCTTCTTATCCATGAGCATGGAATGTTCTTCCATTTGTTGGTGTCCTCTTTTACTTCATTGAGTAGTGGTTTGTAGTTCTCCTTGAAGAGGTCCTTCACATCCCTTGTTAGTTGGATTTCTGGGTATTTTATTCTCTTTGAAGCAATTGTGAATGGGAGTTCACTCATGATTTGGCTCTCTGTTTGTCTGTTATTGGTGTATAAGAATGTTTGTGATTTTTGCATATTGATTTTGTATCCTGAGACTTTGCTGAAGTTGCTTATAAGCTTAAGGAGATTTTGTGCTGAGATGATAGGGTTTTCTAAATATACAGTCATGTACATGTGACATTTAATAACCTTAACATGGTCACTGGCTCAAGAAAAGATGCAAATCTTATTGGGTTAAAGGTCAATTATACATTTATTTATTTGTTTTTTAACATTAGTCTTTTTTGGAGTGACAAATTGTAAAATAAATGTTGGTGTATACATGAAGATAGTTCCTTTGCAGACTCATGACTCTGTGTGTGTGTGTGTGTGTGTATGTATATATATACAGTCATGAGTCACTTAGTGACAGGGATTCGATCTGCAAAATGCATTGTTAGCTGGTTTCACCATTTTATGAATATCATAGATTGTACTTACACAAACCTAGATGGTATAGGCTACCAAAAACCCAGGATATGTGGTATAGCATATTGTTTGTAGGCTACAAACCTATATAGCATATTACTGTACTAAATACTATAGGCAATTATAGGAATAGGTGTATCTAAGCATATCTAAACATAGAAAAGGTACAGTAAAAATATGTTATAAAATATTAAAAATGGTATACTTTTATAGGGCGTTTACCATGAATGGAGCTTGCAAGACTAGACGTTGCTCTGGCTGAGTCAGTGAGTGAGAGAGATAAGTGAATGTAAAGGTGTGGGACATTACTGTACACCACACCGACTTTATAAACGCTATACACTTCGGCAATACTAAATTTATACAAATGTTTTTTGCTGTAAAATATTAGCCTTAGCTTACTGTAACTTTTTTACTTTATAAACTTTTAAAATTTTTCTCAGCTTTTTGACTCCTTTGTAATAACATTTTAAAACCCAAACACATGTACAGCAGTATAAAATATTTTTTCTTTATATTTTCATTCTATAAGCTTTTATCCATTTATTTACTTACTTATTTATTTACATTTTCAATGACTGGCAGTGGAGTAGGTTTGTTTCCACCTGCATTGCCACAAACAGGTGAGTAATGTTTTGTACTATGATGTTATGACAGCTACAATGTCATAACATCATGATTTTCTAACTCCATTATAGTCTTTTGGGATCACCTTCCTGTATGCAGTCCATTGTTGACTAAAACGTGGTTATGCAGTGCATGACTGTGTGTGTATGTGTATATATACATATTATATAATATGCATTATTACAATGTATTATTATATAATAAATTATATACTACATAATATTACTAATGATAACTATTAATATTATTACTAATAATATATTATCAATAATATATTACATAATATATAACATATTATATACTATATAATAATATAGTACATATATTATTATATGATATAATAAAATTATATATATATAATTTTGGGAAGAATTAAATGACAGAACTCAAAACAGAACCATCATAAAACTCTCCACAGATTTAGCATATAAAAGAGATTAGGAATGTGAGAGAATTCTTTGGACATTTTGTCCTTCTAAGAAAAAGCAAACTACTATCATCTTGCCTCCTCCCACCCCTCTCTATGTTTGAGTCAGCCAGGGCCAACTTATCCAGCAGGCACAAAAGGCACAATATGTAGAACCCACAATATTTTTAGAGGCCTATAAAAATGTTTTAATATCTTTAAAAATCAAGAGAAGAAACTAAACTTTCAGATAAAAGAAAATGTTTTAATACATAATATCAATTAATTTGTCTTTATACCAATGCAATTGTAAAATAAAATATAATTTCTAACATTTCCTTTTTTTTTTTGAGACGGAGTCTGGCTCTGTCCACCAGGCTGGAGTGCAGTGGCGCGATCTTGGCTCACTGCAAGCTCCGTCTCCCAGGTTCACGCCATTCTCCTGCCTCAGCCTCCCGAGTAGCTGGGACTACAGGCGCCCGCCACCACGCCCGGCTAATTTTTTTTGTATTTTCAGTAGAGACGGGGTTTCACCATGTTGGCCAGGATGGTCTCGATCTCCTGACCTCGTGATCCGCCTGCCTCGGCCTCCCAAAGTGCTGGGATTACAGGCTTGAGCCACTGCACCCGGCCTAATTTCTAACATTTCCTTATGGAAGGAGGTGCCCATGAAGCCAAAGTGGTTATACTTCATGAAAGTCATAATGTGGCCCTTAAGTCATGGGAGAGCAGTGTTTTAGTTTAGGTTCTTCTGAAAAAGAAGTTATATGGTAATCTTATGAGGTCATATAGACTATACCTCTCAGAAGGCACTTGAAGAACAGGTGACTACATGAAGATTATAATTTCCACCTGAGCAGATTTCTTTGGTTGGCTGTGTCATTTCTTCTTGGCCCACCTATGAATTTAGCTGTAACAATGATGGATAGTTTTGTGCCACATCATACAGATACTAACAAATATTTCATCTCAGGCACGTACTGTATTTCACACTTTTTCTCTTTCTGACGCAGCATTCTCAAGCACAGTACCTGCTTAGCACAAGTATACTCATTGTTTAAAGGTACAGAAAGTTAGTTATAGTTGTTGAATAAATGTGCATTTTGCTGTCGTCGTTTAGAGTGCTCTATAAATATCAATTAGATAAGGTTAGTAATAGTACCATTCAAATCTATGTATGTACTGGCATGCAATTTACTTGATTTGTCAATTATTAGAATAGGAGTGTTAAAATCTTCAACCAGCCAAAAATTCTTTGCAAAGAATAATGTCAAGAAGAGTATTTCCTAGGTTGTCCCCCAGGATTTTTATAGTTTGAGATCTCACATTTAAATCTTTAATCCATTTTGAGTTAGTCTTTATGTATAGTGAAATGTAGGGGTCAGTCCAGCTTGTCTTCTGCTTTTGGCTAGCCAGTTATCCCAGCACAACTTACTGAGTAGGAAGTCCTTTCCCCATTTCTCTTTTTTCGTCAGCCCTGTTGAATATTACATGCTTGTAGGTGTGCAGCTTTATTTCCGAGTTTTCTATCCTGTTCTATTGGTCTATGTATCTGTTTTGTACTAGTACCAAGCTGTTGTGGTAGCTGTGGCTTTATAGTATAGTTTGCATTTAGGTAGTGTGATGCTTCTGACTTTGCTCCTTTTGTTTAGGATTGTTTTGGCTGTTCCTGCTCTTTTGGGGTTCCATATAAATTTTAGAATAGGCCTTTTTCTAATACTGTGAAGAATGATGTCAGTAGTTTGATGGGAATAGCACTGAATTTGTAAATTGCTTTGAATAGTATGGCCATTTTTATGATACTGGTTCTTTCATTCCATGAGCATGGAATGTTTTTCCATTTATTTGTGTCATATCTGATTCTTTCAGCAGTGTTTGTAGTTCTCCTTGTAGAGGTCTTTCACCTCCTTGGTTAGCTGTATTCCTAGATATTTAAAATTTTTTTGTGGTTATTGTAAGTGGGATTGTGTTCTTGATTTCACGCTCAATCTGGATGTTGTTGTTGTATAGAAATGCTACTGATTTTTGCACATTGACTTCTGTATCCTGATACTTTACTGAAGTTATCAATTCTAGCAGCCTTTTGACAGTCTTTAGGATTTTCTAAGCATAGAATCATATTAGGAGTGAAGAGACACAGTTTGACCTCTTTTCTTATTTAGCTCCCTTTTCTTTCTATTTCTTACCTGACTGCTCTGGCTAGGATTTCCAGTACTATGTTGAATAGGAGTGGTTACAGTGAGCATCCTTGTTCCAGTTCTCAAGGGGAATGAATCGTTCAAACTTTTGGTTATTCGGTATGATGTCAGATGTGGGTTTGTCATTGACGGCTGTTATTATTTTGAGGTATATTCCTTCAATGCCTAATTTGTGGGGGGTTTTATCACGAAGATCGTGTTGGATCTTATTGAAAGCTTTCTCTGTATCTGTTGAAGTGATCATATGGTTTTTGCTTTTGATTCTGTTTATGTGGTGAATCATATTTATTGATTTCTGCATGTTGAACCAACCTTGCATCCCAGGATTAAAGCCTACTTGATCGTGGTGTATATATGTTTTTTATGTACTGCTGGATTCAATTTGCTAGTATTTTGCTGAAGATTTGTGCATCTATATTCATGAGGGGTATTTATCTGGTTTTCTTTTCTCATTGTGTCTCTGCCAGATTTGGTATCAGGGTGATGCTGGCTTCATAGAATGAGTTATAGAGGAACCCTTCCTCCCCTGTTTTTTGCAATACTTTTAGTAGAATTGGTAACAGTTATTTGTATGTCTGGTAGAATTCAGCTGTGCATCCATCTGCTTTAGGGATTTTTTTGGTTGGCAGTTTCTTTATTACAGATTCAATTTCAGAAATTGATATTGATGTATTCAGGGTTTCAATCTCTTCCTCATTCAATCTTTGGATATTGCATGGTTATAGGAATTTATTCATTTCATCTACATTTGCTAATTTCTGTGCATAGAGTTGTTCATCACAGTCTCAGGATCTTTTGTATTTTTGTGGGTTCAGTTATAATATTACCTTTGTCATTTCTGATATTGCTTATTTGGACATTCTCTTTCTTTTCCTTGTTAATCTAGCTAGGAGTCTATCAATCTTATTTATTTTTTCAAATAAGAAACTCTTGGTTTCATTGATCTTTTTATGTATTTTTACATCTCCATGTATTGTAAGTCCCAAAAAACAATTGCAACAAACCCAAAAATAGACAAGTGGGACATAATTAAAGAACTTTTGCAAAGCAAAAGAAACTATCAAGAGAGCAAACAGACAATCTACAGAATGGGAGAATATATTCACAAACTGTCCATCTGACAAACACCTAATATCTAGAATCTATAGAGAACTTAAACAAATCAACAGACAAAACCAAAATAACCTCATTTAAAAATGGGCAAAGGACAATAACAGACCCTTCTCAGAAGAAAACATACAAGTGGTCAACAAACATATTAAAAATGCTCAGCATCACCAATAATCACAGAAATGCAAATCAAAACCATGATGGTACCATCTCACACCAGTCAGAATGGCTATTATTAAATTCAAAACAACAACAGAGGCTGGCAAGGCTGTAGAGAAAGGAAATGTTGGTATAAACAGTATAAACTATTGGTGGAAATGTAAATTAGTCCAGCCACTGTGAAGAGTTGTCTGGAGATTTCTGAAGGAATTTAAATCAGAGCTACCATTTGACCCAACAATCCCATTACTAGGTGTATACCCAAAGGAAAATAAAGCATTCTACCAAAAAGATATATGCACTTGTCTGTTCATTGCTGTACTATTCACAACAGCAAAGATATGGAAACAACCCAGGTGCCCATCAGCTGTAGACTAGATAACGAAAATGTGGTGCATATATACCATGAAATACCACACAGTCACAAAAAAGAATAAAATCACATCCTTTGCAGCAACATCGATGGAGCTGGAGGCCATAATATTAAACAAATTAATGCAGGAACAGAGAAGCAAATATTATACGTTCTCACTTATAAGTGGGAGCTAGTGTTGAGCATACAGGGACATAAATATGGAAACAATAGTCACTGGATACTGGGCAGGGGAAGGGTGGGTTAGAAAACTACCTATTGAGTACTATGCTGACCACCAGGGTGATGGCATTCGTACACTGTATAACACCAGCATCAGCCAAAAATTTTTTGTAACAAATCTGCTCATATATACCCTTGAGTAAAATAAAAGTTGAAATTTTAAAAATAAAATGAAATAAAACATTCAACTATAATTTTGGATATTTCATGTTCATTTTCCAGTTCTATCAGATTTTGTGCATGTATTTTACATTCTGAAGCCCTCTTTGGTATTTATATAATCACACCCACTTGTTGTAGTGTGTATTATATATCCTTTACATCCTTTTGCTTTTAACTTTTCTGTATCTTTATATTTAAAATAAGTTTCTTATAGATATCATAGAGTTGAGTGTTTTTAGCCTATCTTAGATTCTCTTTAACTGGAATTTTTACATATTTTGTATTTAATGCAGTTATTAATATAGTGGGGTTTAAATCTACCATCTTGCTTATTATTTTCTACTCGATCCATCTGTTCTTGTTTTATATTTTCTTTTTCTGTCTTCTTCCAGATTAATCAATTATTTTTTAAAGTTTAATTTAATCATTTCTATTGATTATTATATTTTGTTGTGTTTACATTCCTTGTTTTTCTAAGGCAATTGTTTTCAGTTGGTGATTTTGCTCTCAGAGGACATTTGACAATGCCTAAAGACACTTTTGCCTCTCACTACTGGAGGGGATGCTACTGGCAGCTAGTTGGTGGAGGTCAGGGATACTGCTAAACATATTGCAACATATAAGCCCTCTACAACAAAGAATTATCTAACCCAAGATATTAATAATGCCAAAGTTTAAAACACTGCTATAATTTATACAAAACACAGAATTAAGTTATCACAGTCTACTTTCATACAATATTACACTACCTTACATGCCGTTAAAGAACCTCATGCTTCCATTTCATAGTCCCACCAGTTATAATATTATTATCATATATTCTAATTATGTGATTGTTATAAACACTATAATATATTGCCATTGTTATTGTTTTTGTTTTAAACCATCCATTAACTTTTTTTTATGTGTGATAAGAACACAACATAAATTTACTCTCTTAGCAAACTTTTAAGTCTACAACACAGCATTGTTAACTATCGGCACTATAATGTATAGCAAATTTCTGGGATTTATTCATCTTGCATAACTAAAACGTTGTTCCCTTTGACTAATACCTCCCTGTTTGCACCTTCCCCAGCTCCTGGAAATCACCACTCTATTCTGCTTTTTTATGAGTTTGACTATCTCAGATTCCTCATCTAAGTGGTATCACGTAATATTTGTCTTTCTGTGACTGGCTTATTTCACTAAGCATAACGCCCACCAAGTTCATCCATGTTGTTGCAAATAGCAGAGTTTTCTTCTTTTTAAAGGCTGAACAATATTCCGTTGTATGTATATATCATATTTTTATTTACCCATTTATTGATCAATGAAGATTTATGTTGCTTCCACATTTTGACTATTGTGAATAACGTTGCAGTGGAGGTGGAAGTGCAGATATATTTTTGAGACCCTGATTTCAACTTCTTTAAGCCCAGAATTGGGATTGCTGCAACATATTATAGTGTCCATTAACTTTTTAAAAGTTATTTTGTCTTTGCCTCTAGAATACACATTGTAAGTCGTGCACGGTGGCTAAAGTACACATTATTTAAAATACATAGTCACAAAGATGAATTTTTAATAGCCCCAAAGATATATTTAAAAAATTGAAGCCTAGCCAGCACACTGACTTCTGCTGTTTTCACTGTGGTTACTATTCAGCAAACCATCATATTGGTGATCTGCACCAATCATTAATATAGCCAAATAAATGGATCAGATATGCTGTAATCCATGTATTTCATCTTTTAAATATAACCTGACTTTTCCTACAATTCTCTCTACAAATAAGAATTTTCTAGTTTATGCATCTTTTAAGCTGTGACATTTTCTTTGGAACATATAATGTCCCCTTAAGTTAAATATTGAGGCAGTTTAATATTTTTTACCTTATGTGTCTGGTTTTAAAAGATTTATATGTTGTAAGTTAAAAATTAAATTATATTTTTATTATTGAGGATGGGCATTTTTATTGCTTCAGAGTTTTTATGTAAATTCTCTTGCTAATTTTAGTTTACTACTAAACACATTTCTTTAACTGAGTTTATATTTGCAAGTATGAGGAAGGTCAACATTTAGAAGAGAAAAAACTGGCAACTCTATTGGAATAAGTGAAAATATAGTCTTTGAATTAAGCATTTTTGAAGATGTTTTCTTTTCTAAAGAGTAAATGTTCAAAATAGTAAGAGAACACTATTAGAACTTAATAGCCTAATCCATCAAAAAATAAAAAAAAGGCCATTTAATTTCCCTTTAACACAGGAACTAAATCTTTTTGAAACCTTGTGTATGTCAGGCTGTCTTTGCATTATAATTCCAGCAAGGTGATCTTGCTAAGAATTTGTTGCAAATAGCTTTGGTCCTTAATGTCACAACCTCCCTCCTGCGTGACTGAGATAGTAAGCACTTAAAAAATCAAGGCCGGGAATGATTATCCTTTGTGTATTCTTTCATTACTTCATTAAAAAAAAATAGTTTTCTCTATTTCAATTTCCTGTGCCTTTATATGGTTTTTGTCTTTCTTATAGTCTCTGACCTAAAAAGCAGGAAGTAAAAATGTTCAAACGATCTGGAATAAGTACAAGTTCAGAACAAAAATAATTTTTGCCCTTTAACTGACTATGAACCACATAGTTTGAATTTTAGAATTTGAATTTAATGCTCTTCCGACTCCATATATTTATTCACTAAAAATATTAAATTACTCATATTCAAGTGGACTTGTATTTTTTTTTGCTGTCCATTTATAGTTATTTGAACAAAATCACATTTCCATTTTTTCTTACTTCTCAATCATTTTCTCTTGGTACAATATTATAATTCCTTGTAGGTACCTGATGTTGTGTTATATCCATATTATCCACTTTTAATGTAATTTCAATGAACAAGTCACCTACATCAATACTTAGAGATATGGATAATGAAGATTCTTATAGAAACGATAGGGTTTATTTTCACACTTGCCACATTAATTAGAGCCATTATCAAAGATAAAACAATCAAGTATTAAACACTAGACAAATTCTTCTACAGTTTTGTACAAAACAAAATAAATTAATTAACTATAGGGGAATTCTATAACATCTTCCCATAGAAGTCCTACCTGCCATTAAAGTATAACCTATGCCCAGATATGACAGTTCTGGTCCAGAAAATGGCTGTTTCCAAAGTTATACTGAAGATCAAACATGGTTTCATAAGAGTTAGAATTATTTTGTTTATAAGTAACAGAAAACTAAATTAAACTGTTTTAATTAAACCAGTTAATTGGTTCAGAAAACTGAACAAGTATATCCATTTGTTAAATGCAGAATAGCTTGCCCAGAGGGTCATCAGGTTAGGAAAGGTGGGCTGCTGGAAAACTAAATTTTCCCTAATGAATGAACATTTCTGACTCCAGACTTCCCAGTTTTTCTAAGCAAGGCACAGAATACTTTATTACTGGCATTGTATTTACATATTTTCTTTTTCTTAGAAGGTGAAAATATATTGTGTTTTATGGCCTTTAAATGAGAAGATTCCAGTAATTTCCCTCTTATTGCTGCCAACATATAATTTTTAAAAGTTAAAAATATAATTATATTTTATGTGAATAGATGTAAAGCATCCATGTCTTAGATTTACTTAACTAGTTGATGACGGAGTAATCAGGGAGGTACAGCTAATTCAAAAAAATTAAGAGGCCAAGTATTCATAGCCTACAAAAGAAACAATGTAGAGAAAGATCAAAGATAGCTAAAGAGTCTAGATTTGGGGGTGCGTTACATATATAGAGAAAGCGAGTACAGGTCTATTCTAAGAGCTCACCAGGAAAATATACAAAAGAATCTTACAAGACTGAAGGTAAAGGTTTTAGCAGGAAACATTTATTTATCCATCTGAATATATTTTATCTTAATGCTCCAGTTCTACTTCATAAAGTGCTGTGTTGGAAAATGGCAGAGAATGAGAAAACCAGAGGAATCTATTTTATAAAATCTCTATAAAATCAATTTTATTTAAGGTATGCATCAATACTCACATAACATGGAAAATGCTATTTAAACAATAGAAAACTCCTAAATAAAAATTTTAAGAACCTTACATTTATTTTCATGTATACTCTGAAATCTAGGGGCTGTAATGGTTAATTTTATGTGTCAACTTGACTGGGCTATAGGATGCCTGGGTGTGTCTGTGAGGGTGTTTCTGAAAGAGACTGGCATTTGAGTTGGTAGACTGAGTGGAGATCTGCCCTCACCAATACAGGCGGGCCTCATCCAATCCAATGAAAGCCTAAATAGAAGAAAAAATGGAGGCAGGGGAAATTTGCTCTGTCTGCTTGAGCTGGGACCTCTGATTTTTACCTTCCCTCAGGCTTCAGTATTCCTGGTTCTCAGGTCTTGAAACTGGACTGGGACTTATAACACTGATTGTCCTGGGTTTCAGGCCTCTGGTTTGGACTAGAACTACATTGCTAGCTTTCCCGGATCTCTGGCTCCCAGATGGCAGCTCATGGGATTTATCAGCCTCCATAATCACATAAGCCAACCCATCAAAATAAATCTCTTTCTATATAACTACATGTTAATATATCCTGCTGGTTCTGTTTCTCTTGAGAACTATGACTAATACAGGGGCCACAATTATGACAGGATTTATTCTTATATTAAACAAATTATTTGTCTTTTTAAATTTAGATTTAATTTAAATATTGTAAAATATACAGCTCTTAAGTATACAGTGGCATGAGTTTTGACAAACGTCTACACTCATGCAACCAATACTACACTTGAGACATAGGACATTTCTACTAACCTAGAAATTTCTCATTCCCTTTTGCAGTCAAACTCTGACCTTAAAGAAAACCACTAATCTTATTTGTATCACCAGAGAGTAATTTTACCTATTTTAAAATTTTATCTAGATTGAATCACTTTTCATTTAACATGTTTTTTAAAATTCACCCATTTTGTCACGTGTCAATAGTTCATTTTATATTGCTATATATTCCATTGAATGCATATCCCAAAATGTATCTACTTCCCTATTGATAGATATTTGGGCTATTTCCATTATTGAGCTATCATTAGTAAAGTTGGTATAAATAGTCATATGTAAATTTTCTGTGTCAAATTTTTCATTATTCTTGATTAAATACCAATATACAGAATAATTGGATCATGGGGTAGTTTTATAAGAAATTACCAAATCATTTTGCAAAATAGTTTTACTATTTCACACTCCCACTAGCAATATATGAGAGTTATATTTGCTCCATGTTTATCAAAATGTTGTACTCAGTATTTTTTATTTTGGTCAACAAATACGTGTTCAGCAATATTTCATTGTGCTTTTAATTTGTATTTCCCTATTATGAACTTATTTATATGATTATTAGGTATTTTTTAAAATTTTACCTAACTATACAATGTTTTGTGTATACAACACAAAAACGTATAGTAGATAGCACAAGACATAAAAAGCAAGGAATCAAAGTGTATTACTAGGGAAAATAAATTGATCGCAAAGAAAAACATCAACAGAAAAAGAAACAAACTACAAAAAATAATTAACAAAATAGCAGTAATAAAAAATCAAAAATTACCTTGAAAGCATATGTACTAAGTTATCCAATCAATACACATACAGTAGCTGAATATATATATATATACACACACACATATATACATATACATATATGTATATACCAATATAGGCTGTTTATAACAAATTCATGTCACCTATCAGACACACACAAGATGAAAGTGATGGGATGAAAGAAGATATTTCATGCAAATGGAAACCAAAAGAGAGCAGAAGTACCTACACTTACATCAGCTAAAATAGGCTTTAAGTCAGAAACTGTAAAATGAGACAAAGAAAGACATTAAATAATGATAATTGTCAATTTATCAAAAGGATATAACAATAACATACATACACTCAATATGGGAGTATCTAAATATATAAAGTAAATACTTTTATACCCCAAGAGAGAGATAGACTAATTCAGTCATTCTAGGGAACTTCAATACTCTAGTTTCTTGAGACTTAAACTTCACTTTAGACCAAATAGGCCTAACAGACATATACAGAACACTCCATCCAACAGCAACAGAATACACATTCTTCTCAAGTGTGCATTCTTCAGGAAAGATTATATGTTAGGCTATAAAACTAGTCTTAGCAAACTTAAACAGATTTAAATCATACAAAGTAACTTTTCTGAGCACAATGGTATTAAACTAGAAATCAATAAGATGAAGAACTTGGGAAAATTAAAAAATACATGAAAATTAACATGTTTCTGAAAAAAACAGTGGGTCAAAGAAGTTAAAAGAGAAATTTTAAAATATATTGAGACAAACATAAATGGAAAAACAACATACGAAAACTTATGTGATGCAGCAAAAGCAGTTCTAAAAGAGTTTATAGAAATGAACACCTACATTAAAAAATAAGATCTCAAACAATATAATGTTATATCTCAAAGAACTAGAAAAAAATCAACTAAGCACAAAGTTAATAGAAGAAAAAAATAAAACAGATAAGAGTTGAAATAAATGAAATAGAGACTAGAAAAACAATTAAAAGATCAACAAAACCAAACTGACTTTATGAAGAGATTAAACAAAATTGACAAGTCTTTGGCTAAACTAAAAAGAGAGAAGAGAAATAAATAAAATCGAAAATGAAAGAGGAGGCATTACAACTGATGTCACAGCAAGACAATGAATTATAAAACACTACTTTGAATAATTATACACTAACAAATTGTATAACCTAGAAGAAATGGATGAATTCCTAGACACATAAAACCTACCAACACTGAGTAATGAAGAAATAGAAAAAATCTGAACAGACTAATAATGAATAAAAAGATTGAATCACTAATAAAAAGTCTATCAAAGGAAAGCCCAAGACTGATGGCTTCACTACAGAATACCACAAAACATTTAAAGAAGATCTAATATCATTCCTTCTCAAACTCTTCCAACATATTAAGGAATAAATACTTGCTAACTCATTTTATGATACCGAAATTATCCTGGGGCCAACACCAGAAAAGGACACTACAAGAAAAGAAGATTACAGGGCTAGGCATAGAGGCTCATGCCTGTAATCTTAGCACTTTGGGAGGCCAAGGCAGGAGAATTGAAGTTTGAGACCAGCCTAGGCAACATAGAAATACCCTAGCTCTATAAAAAATTTAAAAACATTAGCCAGACATAGTGGCGCATGCCTGTAGTCCCTGTTACTTGGGAGGTTGAGGTGGAGAGATCGCTTGAGCCCAGGAGTTCAAGGTTGCAGTGAGCCATGATCACTCCACTGAACTCCAGCCTGGGCAACAGAGTGAGACCATGTCAAAAGAAAGAAGGAAAGAAGGAAGAAAGAAAGAAGGAAAGAAGGAAAGCAGGAAGGAAGGAAGGAAGGGAAGGAAGGAAAGGAAGGAAGGAAGGAAAGGAAGGAAGGAAGGAGGGAAGGAAAGGAAGGAAAATTGTAGACCTATATTCCTGATGAATATAGTGAATATAGATGCAAAATGTCTTAATAAAATACCAGCAAACTGAATTCAATAATACGTTAAAAGGATCATAAAGGATCATTCACCATAATCAAGTGGATTTATTCTTTGGACACACGATGGCTCAACATTTAAAAATCTATACATTAGATACTTCACATAAATAGAATAAGGACAAAAATCATATGATCAACTAAATTGATGCAGAAAATGCATCTGGTAAAACTCAGCATTCTGTTATGATAAAAAATCTCAACAAATTATGAATAAAAGTAATGAATTGCAACACAGTAAAGGCCATATATGACAGGTCCACAACTAACATCATACTCAATGAAGAAAAGTTAAAATCTTTTTCTCTAAGATCCCTTCTATTCAACATAGTACTAAAAGTCTTAGCCAGAGCAATTAGGCAAAACAAAGAAATAAAAGTCATTCAAGCTTGAAAAAAAGAAGTTAAACTGTCTCTGTTTTTTATATAGAAAACTCTAAACACCCCACTTAAAAACTGTTAGAAGTAATAAACAAATTCAGTTATCTTGCAAGATATAAAATCAACATACAAAATCAATAGTGTTACTATAACAACAAGTTGTTCAAAGAAAAACATTCACAATAGCTACAAAAAATAAAATACTTCAGAATAAATTTAACAAAGGACAAATACCTATACTAAAACTAAAAAACACTGATGAAATAAATTGAAGACACAAATAAATGAAAAGATATTCTATGTTCATGGATTAGAATTCATATTGTTAAAATGTTCATACCACTCAAAGCAATCTACAGATCCAACACAATCTTTATCAAAATTATACTAACATCTTTCACAAAAATATTTTTAAAAATCTTAAAATTAATATGGAATCATAAAAAACCTAGGGTAAGCAAAGCAGTCTTAAGCAAAAAGAAGAAAACTAGAGGCGTCACATTCCAAGACTTCAATATATACCACAAAACCATAGCAATCAAAACAGCATGGTACTCACATAAGAAAAAAAAGGAAATAGACACATAAACCAGTGAAACAATAGAGAGCTCAGAAATAAATTTATGCATTTATAGTCAATTAATTGTGTATTAGTCCCTTCTCACACTGCTATAAAGACATACTGAGTAATTTATTAAAAAAAAAGAGGTTTAATCAACTCACACTTCTGCCGAGTATACAGGCTTCTGCTTCTGGGGAGGCCTCAGGAAACTTACAGTCACTGCAGAAGACAAAGGGGAAGCAAGCACATCTTAACATGGCTGGCAGGACAGAGAGAGAGAGAAGGCGGAGGTGCTACATACTTTCAAACAACTAGATCTCATAAGAACTCTGTTATAAGAACAGCAAGGGGGAAGTCCACCCCCATGATTTAATCACCTCCCACCAGGCCCCTCCTTCAACACAGGAATTACAATTTGACGTGAGATTTGGGTGGGGACACAGAACCAAACCATATTAAGTGGCTACTATATACTGGGTGTGTGGTGGTGAAGGTGTTGGAAAGATTTTGATCAATGGATACAAAATTTCCATTAGATAGGAGGAATAAGTTCAACAGACCTATTATAAAACATGGTGACTTACAGTTAACAGCAATGTATTTTATTCTTAAAAATTGCTAAGAAAGTAGTTTTAAGTGTTCTCATCAGAAAAAAATAAGCCTGCATATGTTAATTAGCCCAACTTAGCCATTCCACAATATATGCATATTTAAAAACACGTTGTACATGATAAATATATACTTTCTTTGTTTGATAATTAAAAATAAATAAGTGAAACAAGAAAAATTTTCTTTTAGCAGGGTCTGTTCATATATTGTATCTTTTTAAAGGATTGTTTATAATATTTTTATTGAATTGTAGGGTACCATTTTCTGAATGTTTGTATCTCTCCCAAATTTATATGTTTAAATCTTATCTGCCATGGTGATAGTATTAGGTAGTGGGGTTTTTTTAGGTCATGAGGGCAGAACCCTCAAGAATGAAATTAGTACCCTTATAAAACAGGCCCAAGGAAGACCTCTTACCTTTTTCACCATGTGAGGACATGGATAGAAGGTGTTATCTATACACTAGAAAGCCGTCCTTTACTAGACACCAAAATCTGCCAGCACTCTGATCTTTTACTTCCCAACGTCAAGACCTGTGGGAAACAAATGTGTTTTTATAAGTTTCCTAGTTCATGGTATTTGTATTATAGCAGCCCAAACAGACTAAGACATAGAGTTTTTTTTAATATTCTGGATGTAAGCCTCCTGTTAGATATGTTTACAAATATTTCCACCCTTTCTGTGATTTATTTATTGATTTTATTAATTACATATTTTGCTGAAGTGTTAGGCCATAGGATATCCTTATGATAAATTTAGAAATAGGGAATGTTAAAAGCATGAATACGTCTGCACATTCAAAACCCAATGAAGTGAAAAAAAATAGCTTAGTTATGGTAGTCTGAAAATGAAAGAATGAGGGGCAGCTTTGGAAGAAAGTATTTAAAGTATTTGAGAATGAAATGCAGGTGGATGTAAGAAAGGAAGACCACAAATGAGAGGTACCACAACTTGAGTTTCAATGTGAGGAGGGGATGGTAATATTTGGAGCAGACACAAGATAGCCAGAAGATAATCCTGTAAGTGAGGAAAATTTTACTGTGCAATAAGAAGAATAGAGGGAAAACACCTGGTGAAGAATTTTCTCCAGATGGAAAGTGAGAACCTTAAGGCCAGCAAAGATAACTCTCTCTAGCTCCCTGCTTCATTTTCTACTGCCTGTACTAAAAGGAATGGATGAAGTTCTATCTCAAAATAATTGGAAGTAGCAAGTCATTAAAAGTCTAAAGCAGTCAGATATATTTGCAGTTTAATTCAGTAGTGTCATGCAAGTAGAGACCAAAAGAGGTGGCTTTACACTCCAATGAAACATGGGTGATAAAAGTTAAAACTCAGATACAGATTAAAAATACCAATTCCATGTGTATTCTTTTAGCACCTTTAAGTATTCATCACTGTACTAAGCATCGTGGGCTTACACAAAAGAAATATAAGAGCTAAAAAATTTATACAAAAACTAACAATTTAATTACAGAGAAAAGACCTAATATATGAAATAATAAAACAGTAATGTGAGACCAGCTACAGTTAAGGGGCAAAACCACATTCAAGTACAATAACTGTTTCCAAAGAAGGGAATTACTGGCTGACTTGGGCAAGCTATCATAAGCTTTTGGAAAGACAGGTGATTGGTATGCCTGTGGTTGGCCTGACTTTGGATGGGAGGAAGGAAGGCAAAAGGAGAAAGACTTTAGGGCAAAGTATTCTCTTGGGATCTGCTCCTCATCAATAAAAGTGCTATTTTAAAACTCACTTTTCTGAGGCAACTGTTGAGTTAAACATAAACATGAGGTAATGTTTCGCCCACAAGAACATTCTCAAGCAATTTCTTCTTATCCAAGACTAATCCTTTTTCTGTATTTCAATACTGAATGCTCTCTCATAGTCTAAATATCTGTCTTGAAACCTTGACTCTTTTCTTGCTGGCTGTACAGCTTTATTGTTTTCCATTATGAGCACATAATTAAATCGTGCTGTAAAGCACTATACCATTCAATAAAATAGAGTGTCTTTATAGAAGGTGTTTTATTTCCAAAGTGACTTTGACCTTTTTACACTTGGTCAATTGAGATGGATTCTGGAAAGAATAAAAGCAAATGATTTGCCTTTCACTAAATTTAGGCTAAAGACTGTGTTTTGTATCTAGTTTTTAAACATATACTATTTATCGCTTTTTCTTAAGCTACAATTTTTTGAGCAACAACTATGTGCTTGGCACTGTGAAATGTATTTTTCATATAGTTTCTCATTTAATTCTGAAATACCTTTGCAAGTTTAAGTGCAGAGAATTTAGAAAACATCCCTAGCAGTATATAACTGCAAGTTAAAATTCAAGAATTTAAGTAATGTCTCCCTGTGCCACGTCTAGCTAGGCAGTAGATGACAATTAAATGCAATGCATTATCCTACATTGCATCAGAGATCAGAGAAATAAAATTTCTATAAAATACATGTATTAGGATGATTGGCAAAAGTTAACTTTATATGTCATATTTTTTTCTTAAGTTTCTACTGTGGTTTAGAAGAAAACATCTTTATTCTTGGAAAAGGCATTCAAAACTACTTACATGTAAGGAGGCTGGATGCCTGCAACCTACATGCATGTTGTTCAGAAAAACATAATAATATATAAGTGTGTGTATTCACTTTCAAAATATTAACAACTGGTAAATTAATGCATTTTTCTGAAAAGCATATAGAAATTATTTGTATTATTTCAGCAAATCTGTAAATTTTAAATTCTTTCAAAATTAAAACTCCAAAATCTTTCAAAAATAGTGAAAGATACCACTGGAAAATGTTGCCTTCTATTTCTTTTTTATACAGCTTTATTGAGGTATAATTGACATACAAAGAGCTGTACATATTTAATATATACAATTTGATGAATTTGGACATATGCAAACACCCCTGATACCGTCACTACAATCAGGGTAATAGATGTATCTAAAACCTCCAAAAGTTTCCTTGTGCTCTTTTGCTTTCATTTTTTGTTTTTATTTTTTGTTAAGAACACTTAAAATGACATTTTTCCTCTTTACAAATTTTATTATTTATTTATTTATTTATTTTATTTATTTTGAGATGCAGTCTCGCTCTGTCACCCAGGTTGGAGTGCACTGGCGCCACCTCGGCTCACTGCAACCTCCGCCTCCTGGGTTAAAAGGATCCTCCTGCCTCAGCCACTGCGCCCGTGCCTCCTCTTTACAAATTTTGACGTGCACAACACTGTCTCAACTATAGGCACTATGTTCTATAACAGATCTCTAGAACTCATTCATCTAGCATTACTCAAACTTTATACCCATTGAACAACTCCCTAGTTCCCCCATGCCAGCCTCTGGCAACCACTACTATACTTTTTTTTTTCATTTATTATACTTTAAGTTCTAGAGTACATGTGCACAAAGTGCAAGCTTGTTACATATGTATACATGTGCCATGTTGGTGTGCTGCACCCATTAACTCGTCATTTACATTAGCTATATCCCCTAATGCTTTTCCTCCCCCCTCCCCCCACCCCAGAACAGGCCCCGGTGTGTGATGTTCCCCTTCCTGTGTCCAAGTGTTCTCATTGTTCAATTCCCACCTATGAGTGAGAACATGCAGTGTTTGGTTTTTTGTCCTTGCGATAGTTTGCTGAGAATGATGGTTTCCAGCTTCATCCATGTCCCTGCAAAGGACATGAACTCATCCTTTTTTATGGCTGCAAAGTATTCCATGGTGTACATGTGCCACATTTTCTTAATCCAGTCTATCGTTGATGGACATTTGGGTTGGTTCCAAGTCTTTGCTATTGTGAATAGTGCCACAATAAACATATATGTGCATGTGCCTTTATAGCAGCATGATTTATAATCCTTTGGGTATATACCCAGTAATGAGATGGCTGGGTCAAATGGTATTTCTAGTTCTAGATCCTTGAGGAATTGCCACACCGTCTTCCACAATGGTTGAACTAGTTTACAGTCCCACCAACTGTGTAAAAGTGTTCCTATTTCTCCACATTCTCTCCAGCACCTGTTGTTTCCTGACTTTTTAATGATCGCCATTCTAACTGGTGTGAGATGGTATCTCATTGTGGTTTTGATTTGCATTTCTCTGATGGCCAGTGATGATGAGCATTTTTCATGTGTCTGTTGGCTGCATAAATGTCTTCTTAAATATATATGCACCCAATACAGGAGCACCCAGATTCATAAAGCAAGTCCTTAGAGATCTACAAAGAGACTTAGACTCCCACACAATAATAATGGGAGACTTTAACACCCCACTCTCAACATTAGACAGATCAACGAGACAGACAGTTGACAAGGATATCCAGGAATTGAACTCAGCTCTGCACCAAGCGGACCTAATAGACATCTACAGAACTCTCCACCCCAAATCAACAGAATATACATTCTTCTCAGCACCACATCGCACTTATTCCAAAATTGACCACATAGTTGGAAGTAAAGCATTCCTCAACAAATGTAAAAGAACAGAAATTATAACAAACTGTCTCTCAGACCACAGTACAATCAAACTAGAAATCAGGATTAAGAAACTCACTCAGAACCGCTTAACGACATGGAAACTGAACAACCTGCTCCTGAATGACTACTGCGTACATAATGAAATGAAGGCAGAAATAAAGATGTTCTTTGAAACCAATGAGAACAAAGACACAACATACCAGAATCTCTGGGACACATTCAAAGCAGTGTGTAGAGGGAAATTTATAGCACTAAATGCCCACAAGAGAAAGCAGGAAAGATCTAAAATTGACACCCTAACATCACAATTAAAAGAACTAGAAAAGCAAGAGCGAATACATTCAAAAGCTAGCAGAAGACAAGAAATAACTAAGATCACAGAAGAACTGAAGGAGATAGAGACACAAAAAACCCTTCAAAAACATCAATGAATCCAGGAGCTGGTTTTTTATATTTGTTGTTTTTATGAGTTTTACTAGCATAGATTCCTCATATATGTGGAATCATGCAGTATTTGTCCTTCTATGACTGAATTATTTTACTCAGTATAATGTCCTCCAGGTTCAGCAATGTTGTTGCAAATGGCAAGATTTCTGTTTCAAGGTTGAATAATATTCTATTTTATGTATACAACATATTTTCTTTATCCATTGATGCATGCTATTCAATGTCTTGGCTATTGTGACTAATGCTGCAATGGAAATGGGGGTGCAGGTGTCTCTTTAAGAGTCTGATTTCAATTGCTGGATCCAGATTGCTGGATCATAAGGTAGTTCTACTTATTAATTTTTTTGAAAAACCTCCACACTGTTTTCTATAGTGCCTGCACCATTTTGCATCCCCACCAACAGTGTACAAGGGTTCAAATTTCTCCACATCCTTGGCAACACCTGTATTTTTTGTTAATAGCTATCCTAACGGGTGTAAGGTGATATCACATTGTAGGTTTGATTTTTGATTTGCATTTTCCTGATAAATAATGATGCTGAGTATCTTTTTAATACCAGTTAGCCACTTTTATGTCTTCTTTGGGGAAATGTCTATTCCAATCCTTTGCTCCTTTTTTAATCAGGTTGTTTTTATGCTATTGTGTTGTAGGAATTACTCATATAATTTGGAAATATACCCCTTATCAGGTATATAGCTTGCAAATATTTCCTCACATTCTGCAAGTTGTCTTTTCATTCTGTTGATTGTTTCCTTTGCTGTGCAGAAGCTTTTCAGTTTGATATAATCATATTTGCCTAATTTGCTGTTTTGCCCGTCCTTGTAGGGTCATACCCAAGTAATCATTGCCAAAACCAATGTCAAGAAGAAATTCTTGGCTAGGCATAGTGGCTCACGCCTGTAATCTCAGCGTTCTGGGAGGCCGAGGCGGTCGGACCACCTGAGGTCAGGAGTTTGAGACCAGCATGGCCAATATGGTGAAACCCCATCTCTACTAAAAATACAAAATTAGCCGGGCGTGGTGGCACATGCCTGTAATCCCAGCTACTTGAGAGGCTGAGGCAGGAGAATTGCTTGAACCCAGGAGGCAGAGGTTGCAGTGAGCTGAGATCGCTGCCACTGTACTCAAGCCTGGGCAACAAGAGAGAAACAAAAAAAAAAAAAAAAAAAAGGAACTTCTCCTATGTTTCCTTCTAGGAGATTTACAGCTTTACAGTTTCAAGTCTTAGTTAAGACTTTCATGCAACTTTGAGCTGATAATTGTGGGTAGTGTAAGAGGTTTCAATTTCATTCTTCTGCATGTGGATATCAAGTTTTCCCAACACCATTTTTAAAGAAACTACTTTCCTCGATGAGTATTCTTGGCACTTTTCTTGAAAATAAGTTGACCACACATGTGCAACTTTATTTCTGGGTTCTCTATTCTCTTCTATTGGTCTGTATGCCTGTATTTATGCCAATACTATAATGTTTTAATTACTGCAGTTTTGTAATGTATTTTGAGATCAGCAAGTGTAATATCTCCAGCTTTGTTTTTCTTTCTCAATATACTTTGGCTATTCTGGGTCTTTTGTGGTTACATATGAATTTCAGGATTTTTTTTCTATTTCTGTAAAAAAGCTACTGGGATTTTGATGTGGATACAATTTAATCTGTAGATCATTTGGGGTTGTATAAATATGTTAACAATAAATATTCCAATTCATAACAATGGATATTTTATTTGTGTCTCCTTGTCTCTTTCATGAATATTTCATAGTTTTCCATGTACAAGTTTTTCACCTCCTTGATTAAGTTTATTTATTCATACGTATTTAGACCAATAGAGCTTGCATTACACTACACATTTTGTTTTAGCATTTAAAAAGGCTGTGTTCATTGCTGACTATTGCATAATATTTGAAAAAGATTTGTGATATTACCTTTATATTCAAATTAATGGAAATATTTTGCATTGTAAATAATATTCTCAGCCAAAATATTTAAAATTTTATTTCCTATTTTTATATTTTCTAGCTTAATATTGAAATGTTCTACAAATAATATCCATTTTATAAGCATTTTAATAGGGAAAACCTCCATTTTTTAAATGTTCATTAAGCCCTTGTATCTATATAAAATAGATGTACTTTCCATAGCTGTATTTCTTAGTCTCAGATAACAATGAAGGGCATAGTACTAATTACACATCAGAGAAATATTTATTTTATGGTGCTGAACATTTACCTTTTTTCCCTAAGTTATGTTTCCTCACTTAAAATATATATAACATTGGTGATGTTATGAAATAATATGCCCACAAATACATTTTTTCAAGTAGTGTAAGAGTTACTGTAGATATCTTAAGGAAAGAAGTATAATTTTGCCCTCAGAAGCTTAATACTCATGTAGACTATATAGAGAATGATGGTTCTCCTTTCTGAGGAATGGACTTAATTTCTTCTTCCAAATGCCAGCTGAAAGATGATAATATTTAGTTTTCTTTGGCTTTAATATCAGCAATAATTGAACACATACAAAGTTTCATAAATAATAAAAATATTTCTGAGTTTTACTATTGTTTTTCTTGTGGCAATTATAACTATTTTTATTTTAATTCACTGTCCACAGTACTGCATAGTTTAACACTTATAAATCATATATATTTATATGTAAACAAGGTATTAAATAAGCATCAATATTTAGTGTTTTGTTGTTGCTGTGACCATACATGGTTGTTTTGAATGGGAGTCAGATTGTTCACAAGTGAAGAAATTAACAGTCATTAGACACCTTTATAGGTGTCTTATACCTACTATAAAAATATGGGAAAATACGTTTATAAGGATTTTTAAACCAAAGAGTACATACAACTAACTAGTTTACATTGCTTTTATCACTCTTCTAATGGAATACCTTCCAGATATTCTCTTTTCAACTCCTTAGCTTTATTCTTACTCTATGGACAATATCCAGCTCAATCAGGTAGATGAATTACCTGGCACTGTCTAGAACAGAACCATTCTATTTTCCCTCTTATTATTGCTTACTAGTTAATCAACAATGTTTAGCATAAGAAGATTTATGTGTATTTAAGGCCCTATACAAGTTGTGTGATTAGTCAAATTACTTAACCTCTCATATCTTCTGTTTCCTAATAAATATAATACAAATGACATACATATTACATAGAATTGTTTTCAATATTGTCTTATGTAAATGAGAACTAAATGAGATAAAGAATAGGAAACACTTAACACAATGTGTGACATGTAATAAGTACTCAAATAATGGTTATTTTTCTTTGTCTTAAGTGAAGTGTGCAATTGTGGATAGGATCTGAGACTAGGGACATCAACCACAGCAATTTCTTTCCTTTTAATCCTCTTCTTCCCCATGTTTCCTTCGAAACCTGCCCAATCTCCCGAGTAAAGTATCTATCTTCATGTATTTTTCTATTTCCTCCAGTTTTGAGACTTTTATTGATGCATAATAATTGTACATATTTATGGGGTACATGTGATATTTTGATACATGCATATTGTGTGTAATGATCAAAACAGGGTAATTAGAATATCCATCACTTATTTCTATGAGGACTATTTCAAATATTCTCCTCTAGTTATTTAAATATACAATAAATTATTGTTAACTGCAGTCACCCTATTGTTCAATATAAATTATTTTTTCTATTGAAATTCATTTCAGTACCTATTAACCAACTTCTCTTCATCCCTCTTGCTCCTAAACTTCCAAGCCTATGATAATTCATCATTCTACTCTCTTCCTGTATGAGATCAACCTTTTTTATTTTTAGCTTCCACCTGTAAGTGAGAACATGCGATATTTGTCTTTCTGTGCCTGGCGTATTTTACTTAACATAATATCCTCCAGTTTCATCTATGTTGCTGCAAATGACAAGATCTCATTCTTTTCTATGGCAAACTAATACTTCGATGTGAACATACAATCTATTTTATTTATTCAGTCATGTATTAATGGACACTTTTTTTCATTCTGTAGCTTAACTATTGTGAATAGTGCTGCAATAAACATAGGAGTGCAGATATCTCTTCAAAATACTGAAATTCTTTCTTTTGGATACATACCCAGCCAGGGGATAGCTGAAGTATATTTCAGATCTATTTTTAGTTTTTTGAGGAAACTCCATGCCAGTTTTCATATTAGTTGTACTAACTTACATTCTTTCCAGTAACTTAAAGTGTACTCTCCTGGCCTGCCGGGTTTCTGCTGATGAATTCACTGAAAGCCATACTGGGGCTCTGTTACATGTGTTGTTTCTTTTCTCTTGCTGCTTTGAGTATTCGTCATTTGTCTATAAATTTTGTTAATTTCATTATTACGTGCTTTGGGTATTTTCTCTTTGAGTTGAATTTGTTGACTGGTATCCTCTAAGCTTCCTGTACCTGGATGATGTCATCTTTTCCCAGAATTGGAAAATTTTTAACCCATTATTTTCTTAAATTTGCTTTCTAGACCCTTTTCTCTTTAACCTCCTTTGGGAATTTCTATTATGCCGTGGTCAGTTTGTTTTATAGTGTCCCATAATTATCATAGGCCTTCTTTACTCTTATTAAATTATGTTTTTCTCCTCTGCTTGGGCATTCAGCTGAGATATAAGAGAGTACAATATAGATATAGAGAGTAAAATATATCTATGGGTTTGTCAGATAATGTGAGATCAAACTCTAACTCTGTCCCATAAGACCTAAGTGGCCTCAGCCAATCTCTGATATTCTTAGTTGTTTTTTTTTCTTAAATTTCTAAATAGAGATAATGATAGTAATACCCAACATTATTGTTGTCCTGATAATTAAATGAAATAAATGGTTAACCAAAAGTACTTGGAAATATCCCTTGCATATAACACGTGCTCAATAAATATTAATTATTATACTTGTTATTAATAAGTGTCTAGATGAAAGTTTCACTTTGAATAATGTAACTCATATCCATAAATATGAGAGTGGAGATTATATAATACTAAAGACCCTAAGGAAGAAGTTTAAACCCAGAATAGACTAATTTTATAACAGGAAAAAACCCACTTTATAAACATAAATAAAATTAGAAATGAAAATACCCTCACCCAATTGATGCTAACTCTAATTTTAATCAACAAAGACTACTTGCATATGAGAATAGAGCCATGACCAGCCCTGTAGGAATGGCTAACGTTTATTCAGTACTTATTATGCACCAAACACTAAGAGCTTTATATGTATTATCTCATTTAACTGATTTAATAATACATTCTATTTTCTCCATTTTATAAATGAGGACATTAAGGTATAGACTATTTTATGTTTCCCAAAGTCACAAAGTATAGGTGGCAGAGCAAGTATTTTGACAGAGATGATCTATAATAACTAGTACTCAGATGCTAGACATTAGACTATACCCTTTAAACAAAACTGCGTATGTAGAAATATGCAAAAGCATAGCTGAGTGACCCTGGACAAGTCTCTTTAATGCCTCATCAAAATTTAAAAGTATGGTGATTTGAATGAGATAATTTATGCAAACTTACTGTAAGTATGTACTAGATATCTTAATACTTTAAACTTAAACTCTTCCCAATTTGATCATAAAGGGAAGGTAGTTTAAAATTCATGAGCATTAATTAACAATTTTGAGTCATTCCATTTCCTCCTCAAGGAATCCACGGCTTAGCAAACATTTATTATGAAGAGAAAAAGTTTTGGTTGAAAGGAAAACATCAGAGACCCTATAGGCACACTGAAGTATAATTCTGTTGAAGTTTGTAAATAATAACATACAAATGAAGACTCCGGAGAGTTTTATAATATTATTTTGTCTTAGTACAATGCCTTTTCTTGAGATATCTCAGTGGACTTTATTATGAATCATAATTATAATGAAGCTGCAGAACCTCCCTCTGAGTTACTTTTTTTTTTTTTTTTTTTTTTTTACCGTTACAGATAGTAGGAAGAATATTAATTTCTCAAGGTCATTCAAGGAGTTAGAGGCTGAAGCTGGAATATAATAAAAGATTTCTAACCCAAGTCACCTGATAAATATCACCATGGGTTTCTAAAGGGTTTGGCAAAGAACATTAAGATGTCAGAAGAAATCATAACTGAAAAAGGAAGTATACTACTGGGAAGTCAAAGACAGCAACTTTGTAAGTTTTAATTTGTAAAGCTTAAAAATATTCCTATCTCCATAATCCCCACTTGCATCTCAATTGTTCCAAATTCAAAATAATAAAAAGAGAAAATACAAATCACAAATTACATTTATTCTAAATACCATATTTCTAAATAAAATACCATTGATAACAAGAAAAGTTGTTCTTTCGCAACCATGAGAGAAGTAATACAAGAGACATTTTTACTATTGAAAGTCCTGGAAGTAAATATGCAAACCAACTTTTTTTTTCAGTTTGGAATTATATAATCATTGTAGTTTAAAACAAGAATAAAACTAAACATAAAAGATAAAATTATAAATTCTAGTTGTAGAATCCAAAAAGGATTATGAATTTATGAATAGCTGATATCTATACATATGATAATTTTAATTGGATCCCATAATTTAATTAAAAGCCAAGGATTTATTGCATCCAAAAACTAGATACTGCTTATAAGTGTAGGATACCCTATTTATTCTATCCTCAATCTGAGCTACCTGGCTTTCCCTTCAATAAGTCTATTAATGAATATATAAATGGATTAATGAGGTAAAAATTTACTGATAAAAAATTAAATTGGATGAACTTCCATTTTTCTCTAACCCTATGCCATGACTTCAGTTATTATATATATATATATGTGTGTGTGTGTGTGTGTGTGTGTATGTGTGTGTGTGTATGGTGAAAAATATAGTTCTTTTACTCAAAGCTCACCAAATTAAAGAATAGAAACATAACGTTATCACATTTCTGCATCTAAAAAGAAGATAAAAATCCGGTGTAACTAAAAATCAACAAGAAAATTTAAAACAAAAGGTTTAACATTCATACAGTCCATATATTTAATTAAATTTTAAAAACTATCTTAAATACACAGCACACAGTACTACCTAGACATTAGTATATAATGGGGTTTAGAGGTCATTTTTTCTTGAATGTTGTTAAAAGGTCAGATTTGTCTAATTTGTCAGGGGTAGTTGGGGCAGAGTCAGGATGAATAGCAAGATTATAACTTTTTTCATCATAACTAATAAGCTGTTTCTTTTTCTTTCTGCATAGATGCTTGTAAAGACCATAGGTACCATCAAAACACAAGACACGTATATTCTCCCAAATGACATCCCAATTTTTTGCCTGCATCTCTTCTTAACTGATGTAATTAGTGTCATATAATGAAAGTTCACAAGAGCAGAGGAGATTCCTGAGAATAAATGTGATTGCTAAAACAGCAGAATGTCCTAAAAAACCACTAAGGAATGATTCATCAGATTTCTCTGAAAAAAATCATTTTTAGCATAAAATTTTTTCAATCCTAGTCAATTTGTAATCAGCTCGATTTCTCTTGACACTCTTCAAAGTACAAGAAGTCAAACAATTTTGCAGTTCTCTGCAAAGCTCATTTTCACCCACGCAGTATGGCTGTACTTAATCACTGCATTAACAAAATGCTAGTCATCCAACATTCAAAAACATGCAATGGTGCCAAATAGAAAACATATTTTAATCCATCAGTAAAGAGAATAATTTTAGGTAATATTTACTGAACAATTTTTATGTGAGCATGCTGTTTTCACATGGTATGGAAAAACTGGTTTATAGTGGTTAAAAATATAGACAATGGAGTTGGTCTGATTTTAATAAAATTGATCTCATCACACTTAAAAACATTTCATGTCCAAATAAATCCTTAAATTAGCTGAGAAACTTCTCTAGATCCTCAGACATAATTGTTACATTTTTAAACTTTTTCTAACTCTGTGCTTCATAATCAGTTCTTAAAAACAGCATTAAAGTTTATTAGTATATTAGGCAGAATTCTAAGAGGGCACCCACAATTATGGTGCCAGCCTCTAGTGCTCATGTATAACTCACTGCCTTTCAGTGTGAATCAGGTCTCTGAATAGGATACCACAGGTAGGATACACTCCGTGATTCAGTTATCTGCCAAGGGAGAACGGATTTTGCAGATGTAATTAAGACTTCTAATCAGTTGACTATAATTTACTAAAAAGGGAGATTATCCTGAGTGGAGCTGAGGTAATCAAATTAGCCATTTAAAAGGAGACTAGAAGCAGTGGAGGGATTCCAAAAATGAGAGATGATGCACAAAAGCAGGAGAGATGTGCTACTTCTGTCCTGGAAGAAGTGAATTTCTTCTTCAAGAGCAGACCATGTGGCAAGGATGGATGTTTGGTTTCTGCTCAACAGCCAGCAACAACACTGGAACTTTAGAGCTATGACTACAAGGAATGGAATTCTACCAAAAAGTAGCGGAATTCTACCAACATCCAGTAACACTGTAGGGATAAGAGTCGGTCCTGGCAGACAAGAGACATGATGATCAGAATCCCAGTAGGTCTCACATGTCCGGGCATATTCTCTGCCCTACCTTCTTGCCTCTCTTAAGCTGACCTAAGCCACGTAGCAGAAAGCCGCCTTCCCAACTTAGCTGACCAAGCCGAATTTCTAACTATAAAAGGAAGAACCTAACCGTTAATCTCCTTGAGTAATGTCTTCCAGGTTGCTGAATCGGGACTCTGGTTTTCCTGATAAAAACCTGACCAGATCTGGCTGGCAGGCGACGAGAACTCCAGGACTGACTTTCTTCTCATTATAATCTTATTGTAATACTGAGCCCACCTAAGGCGGGGCTTTATCCACCCTAGGCTTTATCCTTTTTCTGTGCATGGGACGCACTTTAGGGCGTGAAGCCTCACAACACAGGCACAGAGAAGAACCCACGTAAACATGCACATGTGGCTCTTTTCCCCCGCCTCAGCTTCCTTAAAATGACAAGAGCCTAGCCTTTCCGGGAGCTAGCACCGGGATCCCTTTCCTGTAATGCTGCTCTCTTGCATTGCTCCAGCCGTATGCCTATTAAGCCTTGCCTGAGAAACATTTCTTTGGCTTAGTGCTAATATCTACACGAGAGCCAAAAAACTAGAGGTCCAGGGTACTATAACAAGATGGGGTTATAGCCCTGCCTGACACCTTGATTTCAGCACAGTAAGACCCAGAGCAGAGGACCTAGCTATTCATATCCAGAGTCCTGGCCCATAGAAACTAAGATAATAAATTGGTGTTATTTTAAGCTGGTAAATTGGAGTAATTTGTTACTAAGCAATGGAAACTAATGCAACCGGTAATCTAATTTTCTACACAGCTCTAAAACAATAAGCTTGGTTTGGGACCTAGATATGACCCCATTCTCATCTATTGAGGGAAATAATTTTGTGGTTATAATGCAGGTAGCAAACACAACTACCATGAAGAGATTTTATAAAATTAGGTTATGACTCCCTATTAGAGTGTAGACTTAACAAAAACCAATAATGTAGTTATTTTTATCCTGAAAATTTAAATAGATAATTTAAAAATATTAATTCTATGCGTTTTGCTAGATATTCTTACAGAGAAAAACAAAAAGGAATAGAACCAATCCTAAATGAGTTTATAATCTGATTGAGAAGGGGTAATTAACTTAGATTTAGAAAGTGGTTTCACATACAAATATTAAAGAATAATCATTTGACTCTCATTAGCATCCCTGCTTTGTCGCACTCAACTCCACTATGTGACTAAAGAAGACAGCACTTGTCTCTTAGCTCAAGGTGACCATGTAAAAGAGTTCTGTCCATTGAGATTCAAGCAGAAGACTGCTGGTACTACTCTGTCACTCTACTTATTCCTTTCTGGAATGTAGATTTTATATTTGGAGATGTGGCAACAACCATCTTGCAGCTATGAGGGAAAGGCCAAAAAATTTCACAAAGATGTCAAATACTCAGTTATTTTAGGTGGAGAAAAAAATCTATTTGTCTAGGCTGATATTGATTGGGTTTTTCATTACTTATAACCATGTTTTCATTAACTGCCAAATCCCACGATTTCAAAGACACTGTGCATTCATATGGAGTAAAGTTCAAGAGTCTTATGATCTAGGCATATTTTAAGTTACTGCAAGTAGAAAGGCAGTACAGAATGGAAAAACCTTAGGCCCATTTTGTATTCTCTCATCTTTTTATCTATGCAAGTTAAATGGTCAGGGCTCATTTGATTTATTGTACTTTCTAAGCTTAAAAAAGAATGGAAAATATCATAGAGCAAAACTGATACCTGAAATATAACTCATTATAAGATTTAAAAAAAAAATTTAAATGAGAAAAAGTTTCAGCAGTAACTAGTGAATAAAGTTATTAAATGGTTTGTTTAGTTTATTACAGTTTTTGTTATACCCTTCATTGCTTCAAAACAGGATTGGAGATGACTTATAGAAATATGCATATTATTACAACAGATAATGAGTAGCAAATTGAAAGGTTGAAGTTAATGGAAAATATGCTAATCCTAAAAATAGAATCAGAAGAAAAATACCATAATATTCTATGCAATAACTAATGACAGTCCATAAGTTAAACTCTTAGCTTCTTAAAGAAATGAGAGTAATCAATCTGCTTCAGTATTCATATCCAGTAGATAAAAATATATCGACCATTCAGAGGCTGCACAATTTTTCTTATTTTTCAGATCTGAAAGAAATTTCTCTGTTTTGTAGAAGAAACATTGTATGGTGCTTGTACATCATCTTAATGAGTACCTATTCATTAAAAGCAACAGCCCATTGTTAATAGTTAATTATCTCAAACCAATTTGAGAGGACAGCTCAGCAAATAGCCTTTGCATATTAAGACCTCATTAAATAAGTAAGGAAAATGTTAAAACCCTAAAGGAATGGACAAATAATATGAATCTTTAATTTTTACATGGAGGACAATAGATGGTTCATGTACAGAAAAATATCAGCCACACTAGTAATCAAACATACATAAGTTCATAGAGGAAAAACATGTTGTTGCTATTAAAACACATTTTGATAATTATAATCTGTATTAACTATTATATGATTTAAAGAGATTCATTCACTACATGTTGCCAAGCAAAGTGTTCATTATTTTGAGTGAGTAATTTGCCATCTGTATTCAGTAGCCCTAGTGTTTACATCCTTTAACCCGAAAGTTCACTTGAGGAAACCTATTTACATCAGTCTTATATAAAATGGTTTTTTCTCAAAACTTCCATTCTCTTACCTCCTGCCTCACTTCAGCAAAGGTCTTGAAACCTCTTGAGATTTAGTAAAATAAAGTAACTGACAGAGTTGTGAGTTGGCACATCTAATTTCAAAATCTCAAATGATGTCAATGTGGAGGTTCATTAAATGTTGAATATAGACATTTAACCCTGTCATTTTACATGAGATTAAGGGAATGTATCATAATTAAGATACAATTAATTAATCATAATACATAATTAATAATCATAATACATAATTATAATATATAATCATTATAATTAATGTATCATAATTAAGATGACAGATTTAACAGCAGAGTCCAGTTGCAACCAATTTCTTTGAGGTCCTTGTGTTCTTTTCAGTGTGATACAGACAAGGATGGCACATATGATCCAAAACTAGAGCCGATTTTGGCTTGTCTTTTATTAAAACAAGCAAGCAAATAAACAAAGAAAACAAAAACAAAAGCAAACTCCCTTGACTCCACTTGCTCCACTGACCCAAGGGACTGTCTGTATTCAGTGATTCACTTATTTCTTCTCACTCACTCTGATTATGCTTCTGTTCCTCTGAAACTGCTCTTTGCAAGGTCACTAACAACTCTTCCATTTTGCCAAATCATGGCCATTAAAGATTGACCTTCTACTTGATTTCTCAGTAGTATTGGACACAGGTGACAACATTCTCCTTAAAACACTTTCTTGTCTTGACTTTTGTGGATAAATACGCTTCTGTTTTTTTTTTTTTTTAATTTTTTTCCTTCTGCCTAACAGAACATTTCCTGTTAGTCTGGAGAATAAATAAATAAGAGAATTTTAAGTAAATTTTAGTTTCAACCTAAACAGTTTCTCAAGTTTACTTTTTTGGAAACTCAGTCTTTTCATTAAATGCAAAGTAAATGTGTAAGCCTTTAAAAAACTTAGAAAGATATTTCAGAAAGAGAATAGTTTTGAACTTTTAGAAGCATAGACATAATTTTTATAAGCAGCTGGGAGATAGTACAGAATTCCATTTGGAGAAATTTTTTCATATTCCAGAGCAAAGAATAGAAAGATTAGCAAGGATTCAGTATCTAACTTTTGAACTACTGTTTGTTAACTAATTTGCATTTTTAAAGGAAGGTATCGAAAAAGGTCTACTTCATTTGTGAGAACAGAAAAAAGAAAATATTCTAAGGTACTACAGATAAAACTATAACCTTCTTTAATGTCAAGGAGAAATGCAAATTAAACATATTTTAGTCAAATTTTTGTTATTTCCCCCAAATGATAGTATAAATAGCTCAGAAATGCCAAATTGTGCCAAGTAGTTAAAGTAGCAATTATCATGTTATTATCTTATTAAATAAGAACCAGTAGATACCATAACTGTGTCTACAAATACTAGGAGGGAGAAATGCACAGAATGTTACCTACAAATGTGTAAATTAAAAATAAACTTATCATGCATGTCTAAGGCTTGGTTAACTCACATATCACAATAACTCAGTAAGTCTTCCATTTACTGACAAATGCAAATGGAAGTAAATATGTAATGAATCACTGTAATTATAGAGGAGAACACTTGAAACAAAAAGGTTTCATAATACCAGAAACTCATTTCTCATTTTCTGGGACAGAAACATTTTAATAATGAGAGGAAAATCCTCACCATCTTTAGAATTGTTACTTAAATGGATGAACTAATTTTGATTAGTTTGATTAGAATTCAAACTACTGTGAGTATAATTCAACTAGCATTTGTCACTGTGGAAGATACTGGTAAGTAAAAGAATAAAAATTACCCAGCCCTTTGTATTTAAAAAAGCAGCAACAAAAATACAAGGTATATATATATATATGCCTTTATATATGCATGATATATACATATATATGTATATAAAATTAAAATTTTATATATATGTATATATCAGGCATAAACTGTTCAGGTTTCTCAGGCTTATGTTCTTACATTTTTGGAAACTCTATCTTTGCATTAAATGCAAAGTAAATGTGTAAGCCTTAAAAAATTGCAAATTAAAGTATTTTTTTCCCTTTTGGCCATGTAAAATGTGGGAGCTAGTTGATATGTGTCATATCAAGTGAGACAATAAGAGATAACAGGTTTCATCACAGTAAGATGGGTCAGCCGATGGTAGCCCATGACGTCTAAGCAGAAATAAAGGAATGGAAAAATAGGTTCAATGCAAATGGAAACCAAAAAAATGCAGGAGTATCTGTGTTTTTATCAGACAAAATAGATTATATGAAAAAAAGCTATAAGAAGAGACAAAGAAGGTCACTATGTAATGATAAAGGGGTGAAGTCAGCAAGAATAGAAATAGACACATCAAACAAAGAAAATTGCAGGCCAATATTTATGATGAAAATTGGTGCAAATATCCTCAACAAAAGACTAGCAATCAGAATTTAAGAATACATTAGAAAGTTAATAATCATGACCACATAGGAGCTATCCCTGGACTGCAAGTATGGTTCAACATATGCAAATTAATCAATGTGATACATCCTATCAACAAATGGAAAAATATTCCATGTTAATGGATTCAATCAATATTGTTAATATATTTATACTACCCAAAAGAGTCTAACGATTCAGTGCAATTCCTGTTAAAATACCAATGACATTATTCACAGAAACAAAAAAAAAAATCCTGAAATGCATGTGGAACCACTAAAGGCCCAGAATACACAAAGCTGCCCTAAGCAAAAAGAACAAAAATGGAGGAACCACATTACCTGACCTCAAATTATACTACAGAGCTATAGTAATCAAAACAGCATGGGACTGGTATAAAATCAGACACATAGAACAATGGAACAGAATACAGACCACAGGAACAAATTCACACACCTACAGTAAACTCATTTTTGACAAAAGTGATGAGACCATACACTGGGGAAAAGACAGTCACTTTAATAAATGGTGCTGGATATCCATATGCAGAAGAATGAACCTAAAATACTATCTCTCACCATATACAATATTCAGATCAAAATGGATTGAAGTCTTAAATCTAAGACCTCAAACTATGAAACTACTTCAGGAATACACTGGGGAAACTCTTCAAGACATTGGTCTGGGCTACAGCTTTTTGAACAATAACCCAGCAGCACAAACAATGAAAGCAAAAACTGACAAATGGGATTACATCATGGTGAATGGGGTATCCTCAAACATTTATCCTTTATGTTATGAACAATCCAATTATACTCTTTTAGTTATTTTAAAATGTACAATTAAGTTTTTATTGACTATAGTCACCCCGTTGTGATATCAAATACTAGAACTTACTCATTCTTTCTGGATTTTTTTGTACCCATTAACAATCCCCACCTGCCCCCAGGCCTGCCAGTATCCTTCCTAGCCTCTGGAAACCATTCTTCTACATGCTATGTCCATGAGTTCATTTGTTTTGATGTTTATATCCCACAAATAAGTGAGAACACATGATGTTTATCTTTCTGTGCCTGGCATATTTCATGTAACATCATGATCGCCAGTTCTATCCATGTTGTTTTAAATGACAGGACCTCATTTTTTAATGGCTGAATAGTACTCCATTGTGTATATGTACCACATTTTCTTTAACCATTTATCTCTTGATGAACACTTAGGTTTCTTCTAATTCCTGGCTATTGTGAATAGTGTTGCAACAAATATAGGAGTGCAAATATCTCCTTAATATATTGATTTCCTTTCTTTTGGGTATATACCCAGCAGTAGGACTGCTGGATCATACGGCAGCTCAATTTTTAGTTTTTTTGAGGAACTTACAAACCCTTCTCCATAGTAATTGTACTAATTTAAATGCTGACCAACAGTGTACTAGGGTTCCCTCTTCTCCACATCCTCACTAGCATTTATTATTGCCTGTCTTTTGGATATAAGCCATTTTAACTGAGAGAGATGACATCTAATTGTAGTTTTGATTTGCATTTCTCTGATAATCAGTGATGTTGAGCACCATTTCATATGCCTGTCATTTGTATGTCTTCTTTTGAGAAATGTCTATTTAAATCTTTTGCCCATATTTTGATCGTATTATTAAATTTTTTCCTAGTGAGATGTTTCAGCTTCTTATATATTTTAGTAATTAATTCCTTATCAGATAGGTAGTTTGCAAATATTTCTTATTATTCTGTGGGTTGTCTCTTTGCTTTGTTGATTGTTTCCTTTGTTATGCAGAAGCTTTTTAACTTGATGTAATCCCATTTGTCCATTTCTGCTTTGGTTGTCTGTGTTGGTGGGGTATTGCTCAAAAATCTCTAGCCCAGGCCAGTGTCCTGGAGAGTTTCCACATTGTTTTCCTGAAGTAGTTTTATAGTTTGAGGTCTTAGATTTAAGACTTTAATCCATTCTGATTTGATTTTTGTATATGGTGAGAGATAGGGTTCTAGTTTCATTCTTCTGCATATAGATATCCAGTTTTCCCAACACCATTTATTGAAGAGACTGTCTTTTTCCCAGTGTATGTTCTTGTCATTTTTGTCAAGAATGAGTTCACTATAGGTGTGTGAATTTTGTTCTTTATATTAATTGTAATATTTAAATTTTTCTTCCTGGTAAATTTAACATTTTATTGAATTTTTAAAATCTAATTAGCGAGTTTCTTCATTAATTTTAATATTTGAAGTTTTTCTGATAATTTCATTAAATTTTTCCATGTATATCGAAAAATCAATGCAGGATTAGAAACATGTTTAAATAATGAAATGTTATTGACTTCTACTTTTGATGGTTTCACCTACTAATTCTATGCTGATGGCTTTTAAATGTACATCTAAAGATTAAAGTCTCTCTTGAGCTTAAAGGCAAACATCAAATTTCCTACTCCACATATTCACTTGGAATTTTTTGTAAAATATCATACTTAATATATTCAAAGCTAAACTTGTTAGCAATGTTGCTTGATCTCTATTCAATACTACTATTAATAATAAATAATATATAATCTTTATTGAACTTATTTTATTTTAGGCACCATGCTGAGTGCTTAATGGATATCTCCTCATTTAATCCTCAAAGCTCTGTTAAGAAGTAATAAGTAATAAATAAGAAAATTAAAATGTAACTTGGCCAAGGAAATCTGCTAGCATTTGTAGCCACTTCCCTTATCTACCAAACCCTTGATCCCAACCCCTACCTTCTTTATTGTATATACTATCATTATGTATGTTCAAAATTTCTAGATTTTTTTTTTACTCTTTCACTTCCTTATGTACAAAAGACGTGGTCACAAAAGTCAGTGGATTAGATCTTGACAATATTCTACATTTGTGGTTTTATTTTTTAAATGCTCATTGCCTTTAGCTTGTTCCAAACTTATAATTCTATTCTGAACTATTATTGTAGGACCTCCTTCCCTAGTATCCCAATAGTTGTTTTTATTCTCCATTTTCAATTCACTTTTGCTTTCATTGCCAGATTCCATTGATTGCAACACTCATCTTATAATGCAAATTCTGTGTTCAGATATTTCCAGTTTTATATTTATCCCCACAATAAAATTTAAACTCATTTTGTCTGAGTTTAACCAAATTGATCAGTATTAATATAACTAGATAAAGTTTTACAATCTTATTTTAAAATGTTCCTTTTTCATGTACATAAGCAGAAATGAATGTACCACCCGTCCCAGCCTCATGGTTTTTCCTGTAAGCCTTTCTTTACTCATTTCTTTCACTTCCATTTCCATATCTTGAAATTGTACCCATTTATTACGGCTCTGATCAAATAACAACCTTTTCTGAAAATCTCCTTAAGTTCAAAACAATTACTTGCTTCACTGTATTCCCATTGGTAGTTTTGTGTTAAAATTGCATATTATGTATATTTTCTCCTCTACTGAACTCCTGTATGTGCATTCACAAAAAAAAATCCAATAATGTGCTTCCTGTGTATTACATGAACTCTATTGTCAGGAAGCAATTTAGTTACATAATAGTTTATGTAACTAAAACACCTTATGATGAATATGACAAATTTGGCATCTTTGATTTCTCCATAATCCTGTGTAAATGCTTGAAAATTTATGTTAAATGAACATATAATTACAAAGAGAAATTGGACTTTATCTGTAGTCAGGAAATGTTATAGAAATTGTATACTACTATAAGCTAGAATTAAAGAGTGAAATTATAGCCCCTGTTAAAGTTAAATTTATAATTAGAAATGAGGAAAATTTTTCTTTCACTCTGACAGACTCAATTTGTGATAGATCTTAAGAATGTAAATATAATTATAATAATTTATAAAATTAGATGAACAGAAGAATTTTACAAAAACATTGTCAGGTTACAAATTTTCCAATTTCTTTTCTCAGCGGCACATTGATGTAAAAGCCTAAGACTGACAAAAAGAAGAAAAACATAAAAGAAAGAAAAGTTAAATGAGCAAGGCTGTGGTTTCTTGTATTAAATATAGTAAAAGAAATGTAACCATATAGTAAATGACTGATAAGAATGCCCCATGAATTTGATCTTTGGGGTTTCAAAAAGAAAAGAAGCAGTCCTAATAATTTTAGAAACAAATAGTTAACTCAGGAAGCCCTTTAGTTAAAATATAATGACTAACAATCACAATTTATTTCTATGCTATACCATGACAGCTATTAATAAGTTCACAAACTGAGTTCATAATACATATTGATGTCTTTCTGTTTACTCAGCAGTATCCGGTAATATTTTTCATTTGTATTACATGAAATGTATTCCCAAGATGGAAAATACACATACAAGTATAAAAACTCATTATCTATTGGAAAATAATAGTATTTTCATCAACTTTATAGTATTTTAAAATTATAAAACATGTTAAAAATTCTAGCATCTGTAAAAATTGTTAATATATTTTGAGATTTCAGGATTCTGCATATATCAGGAAACATCAAAATGCATGAGAAATACATTTCTAAGTAGCTTATATATCTGGAAGAATTTATTAAATTTCTCTGGAATATATCTGTAAACTGGAAGGATTTAATAATTTAGAGGAGATCAAAACTAAACATGAGTATATTTACAAAATGGGAGGCAAACTCAAACATCTACAAGCTTCCCAATGCATTTTACAAAGTGCTATTGCAAAAAAATTTGTATTTTTGGCCCTAAAAATACAAAAGTAAAACTAGAGCCTAATCACACATTTTCAATTGCTTATTTATTCAATTCTTTATCCACTATCCCTTTCAGTAATTAATTTATTTAATGCATATTTAATGCATGCCTATTTTGTACCAAACACTAGGGATAATATATACAAGGTAAAGTAGATAAATAACAAAATATCCAGACACAGCCCATACTAGATTAAACAAAGTGTCAGTCTTAAAAATGAGTTACAAACTAACAGTGTTAGATACAATGACAAAACCATGATGCGTGAAAGAAAAAAAGTGACATTAGACTTTATTAAAATTAAAAATTTCTGCTTTGTGAAAGAAACTGTTAGGAGAATAAAAAGACATGCCACAGATTGGGAGAAAATAAGTGCAAAACATACAACTGATAAAGGACTTGTATCTAAAATGTACAAAGAACTCATAAACCTCAACCATAAGAAACAAATGACCAAATTTAAAACTGGGCAAAAAAATTTTACAGCTTTCCCACCAAGAAATACAGATGGTAAGTAAGCATATTAAACAATGTCCAACACCATATATCATCAGTGAACTGCAAGTAAAAATAACAATAAGATACTACCGTACACTTATTAGAATGGCTAAAAGCCAAAAAACCTGACACTATCAAATACTGGCACTATTATTTATTGCTTATGGGAGTGCAAAATTGGATAGCCACTTTGGAAGATAGTGTGCCTTATTTGGATAGTCCCACTGCAGATGTAATTAGCTAAATTAGGTCACACTCCATCAGGGTGGTTCCCTAAATTGACTGGCATCCTTACAATAAGGAGATATTTGAACATATATATGCATACAGGGAGAACACCATGTGGAAATGAAGGCTCAGGGTGATGCCTCCACAAACCAAGGAGTGCCAAAGATGGGCAATGAACAACTTAACACTAAGGCGAAGGCATGCAATGTATTTTTTATGGAATGGACTTTTCCTGCTGTTAGAAGGAACTCCACTAACACTAAGATCTCACACTTCTAGCCTCCAGAATTGTGATACAATAAATTTCTGTTGTTTAATTTACTCAGTTTATGGTACTTTCTAGTAGCCCCAGGAAACTAATATACCATATGATCAGGAACTGTACTCTTACGTTATTTACCCAGTTGAGTTGAAAACTTACATCTATACAAAAACCTGCTCACAAATGATTATAGCATCTTAATTCATAACCACCAAGAACAGAAAACAGTCAAGATGTTCTTCAGTAAGAAAATGGATTAACAAAATGGCATATTCATAGAATTGAATATTATTAGCAATAAAAGAAATAAGTTACCAAGTTACAAAAAGTCACAGAAAACGTGGCACATATACATCGTGGAATACTATGCAGCCATAAAAAAGGATGAGTTCACGTCCTTTTCAGGGAACTAACTAACACAAGAACAGAAAACCAAGCACTGCATGTTCTCACTCATAAGTGGGAGTTGAATAATGAGAGCACATGGACACGGAGGGGGCGCAGCATTACACACCAGGGCCTGTGGCGGGGGTGAGGCTGGAGGGGGATAGCATTAGGAGAAATACCTAATGTAGATGACGGGTTGATGGGTGCAGCAAACTACCATGGCACGTGTATACTTACGTAACAAGCCTGCACGTTCTGCACATGTATCCCAGAACTTAAAGTATAATAATAATAATAATAAGATGCTTTTATCACCTAGGAAATTCCAAGAGATTTAGGAGCCCAGAGGCTCCTAACATTCAGGGAACTTCAAAGGTCTTAGGAGCTCTGTGTCAGAAACTAGGGTCAAAGACCGCATACCACAACAAAAGATTTTCCTTGTGCTCCTATCTACAAGGCTTTTAGAAACTATGTGCCATGAACAGGGGGAAAATACTAAATATATATTTCTTATATCACAATATTCAACAGCATATGTCCTGCAATTTATTTTATCCTTTTCTTCAAGATTCATCTTGGCTACCCTTGTGCTTTTATATTTCTACATACATTTTAGAGTCAGCTTGTATATATAAACACACTCATATTTCTATTGGTATTGCCTGAAATCTATAGATCAATTTGGGCAGAATTAGAATCTTTACAATTAAGAGTATTCCAAACCAAAATGATTTATTTTAATTACTTTCAATATTGTTTTGTCATATTCCTGAGTAGAAGTCTTACATATTTTTGTTAGGTTCATTTCTAGGTATTTTGTATTTCTTAAGTCTATGGTAAATACCACAATATTTAAAATAATATTTGTGATCATATATAAAAGCATATAGGTGAATTTTTTCATATGATCTATAATTTAGAAACTTGCTCAATTTTATATAAATGTATTAATTCTGTTTTATATGTATTTTGAAATATGTATATACATAGTTATGTTATCTGTAAATAATGACAGTTTTATATCCTTTTTATATGGATCTTGCTACATGATAGTAATGAAAATTATAAATTTCTACATTAGATGTTATGGAAAAAGAAGCATTTAATATACCACCTGTTTCCCTTCACTTTTACATATTACATATTCCTGCCAATGGAAAGTGGCGTGAACTTCTGAGACATGAATGCCAAAGATAATAGTTTTAAATATGGAAAACTTTTGTGTGCCTGTAATAATATAAAAACCAAATAGTTAACAATAATGTCTCCAAACAGCCACTTATTTCTCAGTCATTGCTAATAAATATTGGCTTGCATTCTGTTTCAGTTTTTTATTAACTGTTACATCAAATTACCACAAACTTAGTGGCTTAAGACAACACAAATTTAAGATCTCATAATTTTGTACATCAGCAATCCAGGCTGGGTCTGTTGATTTCCCTTCTATGGGTTTTCTAAAGGTGAGATTAAGATGTTGGTGGCTATGCTTTTTCTTGGCAGGATCTGGGTAGCATATACTTCCGAGTTCATTCAGGTTGTTGGCAGAATCCAGTTCCTTGTGATTGCAGGGCTGACATCCCCATTTCTCTGCTGCCTGTCAGCTGGTGGATGGCAGTGATTTCTAAAGGCTTCTCTTTGATTCTTGAACATGAGCCTGTACATCTTAGAGGCAGCCATGGCACGTTGAAAAATCCAGCTTGGAATTACTCTGGCTTCCCCTGATTTCTCATCGCATGTCAATATCTGTCTCCAGCCTGGGAAAGTTGTCTGTTTTGAATGGATTTGATAACCATATTGGGCCCATCTAAGTAATATTGGATAATCTCTCTATTTTAATGTCAGTAACCTTAATTACATGTTCAAAGTCCCTTTTGCCATGTAATATGACTGATTTCAAGGGTTAGGGTGTGAACACCTTTGAGGCTGGGGCTAGGGCATTATTCAGCCTACCACATTTTTTGTAGGCTCTTAAATAAACTCAAACTGGCCTTTTCTCCAAACAGGTAAAGTAGTTTAATATTTTTTTTTCTAGTGTGAATTATTATTTTTTTCTCCATGGCAATGTCATACCTAATGCATTTCTGCTAGACCAGCCACTGCGGTCATTCTGTTATTGTCTCCCCACTGTACTATGGCTGTGCTCTCTTAGTATCAACACTCCTTTCTGGTTTTACTGTGGAATGGCCCAGATTTTGATTCTCTTCACCCTTTAGTCTTTAAAGTAGATCCAATCAAAATTATGTATTTATAATTCAAGATGTTCTCTCTATAGATGTTTTCATCAAATGTCATTATAACAAACACCAAGTAAAGAAATTACCACTATCATCACATAACAAAAAGATGAGCTATTTCTCACCAAATTTTTGTTCAGAGAAACATATTTATGATTTTGCTTTCCTTTTTTTAAAGTTCAGCTCTTTATTACATTGTTTTTGTGGGTCTGCTTAACATTATTTAGTTAAGCATGACGTTATGTGAAAAATACAACCACCTAGCATTTTCTGGAATGGTTTATGTCAGATTATCATTTCTTCCAAAGATCACAAGGAGAGGGAAACTTCAGGTGTATGCAGATGCTTCTTCTACTTATTTTTGACTTTCTGACATCCAAAGGGTATCTAGCTCTTCTCTCTATACTGGCTTATTTAATGCAGGAGTCATAAATTTGCCAAACTATAAATGTGCTTTTACATTTCTGACAGTACCTCTTCTAAAAGCTATATATTTAAAAATTGTGATTTATCTCTTTCACCTTTTAAATTGAACTGGAAATGTTTTCCTATAATTAAGCCTCAGAGCTCTTCTGCACCATATAGGAAGAACTGACAAAGCATCATCAAAAGTATCTTTAGAAAAAAGCAATTATGTGGTTTAATACAGTGTCATAACAAGGAGTTGACTGGAAAAATGTTCATCAAGGATTTAGTTGGGTATCAAGAATAATTCCATTATTTAGAAGTTCTGTATTGTTAACTCTAAATTAGTCACTTACTACTTGACTATATGGGTATGTTCTATGTTATAAAGTAAAAGTTCAAAGAGGAAGTATTCTCATATTCTATCTCAAGTTATAATAGATTAAGAAATTCAATGACAAAGGTAATAGAAAAGGTTGGTGGGAAGAGACGCCTCGGGTTTATGTTTAGAGAACATAAATCAGTAAGTCATATCTGTAAGATGGATACAACAAGACCCTTCTCTGTCTAAGGAAAGAATGACTCTCAACCCCATCAAAATGTGGGTGAAGGATATGAACAGACACTTCTCAAAAGAAGACATTTATGCAGCCAACAAACATATGAAAAAAGCTCATCTCACTGGTCATTAGAGAAATGCAAATCAAAACCACAATTAGATACCATCTCATGCCAGTTAGAATGGCAATCATTAATAAGTCAGGAAACAACAGATGCTGGAGAGAATGTGGAGAAATAGGAACGTTTTTACACTGTTGGTGGGAGTGTAAATTCGTTCAAACATTGTGGAAGACAGTGTGGCGATTCCTCAAGGATCTAGAACCAAAAATACCATTTGACCCAGCAATCCCATTACTGGGTATATACCCAAAGGATTATAAATCATTCTACTATAAAGATACATGCACACATATGTTTATTGAGGCACTTTTCACAATAGCAAAGACTTGAAACCAACCCAAATGCCCATCAATGACAGACTGGATAAAGAAAATGTGGCACAATACACTACGGAATACTATGCAGCCATAAAAAAGGATGAGTTCATGTCCTTTGCAGGGACATGGATGAAGCTGGAAACCATCATTCTCAGCAAACTAACATAAGAATCGAAAACCAAACATGACATGTTCTCACTCATAAGTGGGAGTTGGACTATAAGAACACATGGTCACAGGGAGACGATCATCACACACTGGGACCTGTTGGGGGGCAGGGGCAAGGGGAAGGATAGCATTAGGAGAAATACCTAATGTAGGTGACAGATTGATGGGTGCAGCAAACCAACATGGCACGTGTACACCTATGTAACAAAACTGCACATTCTGCACATGTACCCCAGAACATAAAGTATAATTTTAAAAAAATGACTCTCTCAAAGATGTGTCCAAACAGGAAATTCATTTTATTTTATTTTTTTATTTTTTTATTATTATACTTTAAGTTTTAGGGTACATGTGCACAATGTGCAGGTTAGTTACATATGTATACATGTGACATGCTGGTGCGCTGCACCCACCAACTTGTCATCTAGCATTAGGTATATCTCCCAATGCTATCCCTCCCGCCTCCCCCCACCCCACAACAGTCCCCAGAGTGTGATGTTCCCCTTCCTGTGTCCATGTGTTCTCATTGTTCAATTCCCACCTATGAGTGAGAATATGTGGTGTTTGGTTTTTTGTTCTTGCGATAGTTTACTGAGAATGATGATTTCCAATTTCATCCATGTCCCTACAAAGAACATGAACTCATCATTTTTTATGGCTGCATAGTATTCCATGGTGTATATGTGCCACATTTTCTTAATCCAGTCTATCATTGTTGGACATTTGGGTTGCTTCCAAGTCTTTGCTATTGTGAATAGTGCTGCAATAAACATACGTGTGCATTTGTCTTTATAGCAGCATGATTTATAGTCCTTTGGGTATATACCCAGTAATGGGATGGCTGGGTCAAATGGTATTTCTAGTTCTAGATCCCTGAGGAATCACCACACTGACTTCCACAATGGTTGAACTAGTTTACAGTCCCACCAACAGTGTAAAAGTGTTCCTATTTCTCCACATCCTCTCCAGCACTTGTTGTTTCCTGACTTTTTAATGATTGCCATTCTAACTGGTGTGAGATGATATCTCATTGTGGTTTTGATTTGCATTTCTCTGATGGCCAGTGATGGTGAGCATTTTTTAATGTGTTTTTTGGCTGCATAAATGTCTTCTTTTTGAGAAGTGTCTGTTCATGTCCTTTGCCCACTTTTTGACGGGGTTGTTTGTTTTTTTCTTGTAAATTTGTTTGAGTTCACTGTAGATTCTGGATATTAGCCCTTTGTCAGATGAGTAGGTTGCGAAAATTTTCTCCCATTTTATAGGTTGCCTGTTCACTCTGATGGGAGTTTCTTTTGCTGTGCAGAAGCTCTTTAGTTTAATTAGATCCCATTTGTCAATTTTGGCTTTTGTTGCCATTGCTTTTGGTGTTTCAGACACGAAGTCCTTGCCCATGCCTATGTCCTGAATGGTAATGCCTAGGTTTTCTTCTAGGGTTTTTATGGTTTTAGGTCTAACGTTTAAGTCTTTAATCCATCTTGAATTAGTTTTTGTGTAAGGTGTAAGGAAGGGATCCAGTTTCAGCTTTCTACATATGGCTAGCCAGTTTTCCCAGCACCATTTATTAAATAGGGAATCCTTTCCCCATTGCTGGTTTTTCTCAGGTTTGTCAAAGATCAGATAGTTGTAGATATGTGGCGTTATTTCTGAGGGCTCTGTTCTGTTCCATTGATCTATATCTCTGTTTTGGTACCAGTACCATGCTGTTTTGGTTACTGTAGCCTTGTAGTATAGTTTGAAGTCAGGTAGTGTGATGCCTCCAGCTTTGTTGTTTTGGCTTAGGATTGACTTATAATGGGAGACTTTAACACCCCACTCTCAACATTAGACAGATCAATGAGACAGAAAGTCAACAAGGATACCCAGGAATTGAACTCAGCTCTGCACCAAGTGGACCTAATAGACATCTACAGAACTCTCCACCCCAAATCAACAGAATATACATTTTTTTCAGCACCACAGCACACCTATTCAAAAACTGACCACATAGTTGGAAGTAAAGCTCTCCTCAGCAAATGTAAAAGAATAGAAATTATAACAAACTATCTCTCAGACCACAGTGCAATCAAACTAGAACTCGGGATTATGAAACTCACTCAAAACTGCTCAACTACATGGAAACTGAACAACCTGCTCCTGAATGACTACTGGGTACATAACGAAATGAAGGCAGAAATAAAGATGTTCTTTGAAACCAATGAGAACAAAGACACAACATACCAGAATCTGTGGGACACATTTAAAGCAGTGTGTAGAGGGAAATTTACAGCACTAAATGCCCACAAGAGAAAGCAGGAAAGATCTAAAATTGACACCCTAACATCACAATTAAAAGAACTAGAAAAGCAAGAGCAAACACATTCAAAAGCTAGCAGAAGGCAAGAAATAACTAAAATCAGAGCAGAACTGAAGGAAATAGAGACACAAAAAACCCTTCAAAAAATTAATGAATCCAGGAGCCGGTTTTTTGAAAGGATCAACAAAATGGATAGACCGCTAGCAAGACTAATAAAAAAAAAGAGAGAGAAGAATCAAATAGGTGCAATAAAAAATGATAAAGGGGATATCACCACTGATCCCACAGAAATACAAACTACCATCAGAGAATACTACAAACACCTCTACGCAAATAAACTAGAAAATCTAGAAGAAATGGGTAAATTCCTCGACACATACACTCTCCCAAGACTAAACCAGGAAGAAGTTGAATCTCTGAATAGACCAATAACAGGAGCTGAAATTGTGGCAATAATCAATAGCTTACCAACCAAAAAGAGTCCAGGACCAGATGGATTCACAACCGAATTCTACCAGAGGTACAAGGAGGAACTGGTACCATTCCTTCTGAAACTATTCCAATCAATAGAAAAAGAGGGAATCCTCCCTAACTCATTTTATGAGGCCAGCATCATCCTGATACCAAAGCTGGGCAGAGACACAACCAAAAAAGAGAATTTTAGACCAATATCCTTGATGAACATTGATGCAAAAATCCTCAATAAAATACTGGCAAACCGAATCCAGCAGCACATCAAAAAGCTTATCCACCATGATCAAGTGGGCTTCATCCCTGGGATGCAAGGCTGGTTCAATATATGCAAATCAATAAATGTAATCCAGCATCTAAAGAGAACCAAAGACAAAAACCACATGATTATCTCAATAGATGCAGAAAAGGCCTTTGACAAAATTCAACAACGCTTCATGCTAAAAACTCTCAATCAATTAGGTATTGATGGGATGTATCTCAAAATAATAAGAGCTATCTATGACAAACCCACAGCCAATATCATACTGAATGGACAAAAACTGAAAGCATTCCCTTTGCAAACTGGCACAAGACAGGGATGACCTCTCTCACCACTCCTATTCAACATAGTGTTGGAAGTTCTGGCCAGGGCAATTAGGCAGAAGAAGGAAATAAAGGGTATTCAATTAGGAAAAGAGGAAGTCAAATTGTCCCTGTTTGCAGACAACATGATTGTATATCTAGAAAACCCCATTGTCTCAGCCCAAAATCTCCTTAAGCTGATAAGCAACTTCAGAAAAGTCTCAGGATACAAAATCAATGTACAAAAATCACAAGCATTCTTATACACCAGTAACAGACAGAGAGCCAAATCATGAGTGAACTCCCATTCACAATTGCTTCAAAGAGAATAAAATACCTAGGAATCCAACTTACAAGGGACGTGAAGGACCTCTTCAAGGAGAACTACAAACCACTGCTCAATGAAATAAAAGAGGATACAAAGAAATGGAAGAACATTCCATGCTCATGGGTAGGAAGAATCAATACCGTGAAAATGACCATACTGCCCAAGGTAATTTATAGATTCAATGCCATCCCCATCAGGCTACCAATGACTTTCTTCACAGAATTGGAAAAAACTACTTTAAAGTTCATATGGAACCAAACAGGAAATTTTGTAAGAAAATAGGAACTCAAAAAGCTACATAATTTGTCAAAGTGACACAATCTTTCTTAAAAATGTAGTATTGAATTCTACAAAGCTAGGTGAAAAAATAAGCATTCAAAACAGGCTATATAAAATGTATATATGTAATATAAAAGATTTATGTAGTACATACAGAATAAATTCTATGCAATAAAAATTTTAAATTTAATATATAATTTATATAAATATATACTATAGTCAATCTATCCAACCATCTATTGAGAAAGACACAATGAAAGAAACTTTTGCTGTATTCACTTTGTTTCACTGAGTGATAGCATTATGTGCAATTTTCATTTTTACGCTCGTCTGTATTTTCCAAATTTTCTATAGTGATCAAATATTATTTTCATGAATCTTTCTTTACTCATCTTGGTATATACTCACATCTAATATTATGTGTCATAATAATATATAGAAGATGGGTCTTTGGGAACTTATTTATCTGACATGGGTGTCTTGATGATTCTCAGTAATAAGAGAATTGTTAAACAAATTATTCTATTTAGAGGATAATTTAAAATGTATGTATTGTATCAATGAGTATTAAATAAAATTATATTGAATTAACAATATAATATCAAGTAAAATTGTTATATAGGTTATACATATAACGTTTATATGAAAAAAGTAATATAGGATGCTTTTTTTCAAGCATGTATTATTGTAATCTCATACTTATGAAGCTCAACAGAGAAAAAAGTCATTATAACATGAAAATTTTTAATTCATTTCCTTTTGATATAACAGAAATATTTATAAAAGTAAAAATAAATAGTACCAATTGCTTGGTGTTTTTACTTCTCAGAACTTTGTTTTAATAAGCAATAAAAATAATATGCCAAATTATTTGAGTTTGTATATATATTTTAGACTCTTTCAAAGAAGTTAGACGTAAGTTTATATTTATTCACAATATTTTATAGCTATTGTTCTTAAAAAAATACATGAACATACAGTCATTATTGCAATTTTCCTCTTCATATAAATAATATTACCTTGAATCAATAGCATATTCTCTATTTTAATACTCTTTAGTCTACTAGGCAAAAAAATTCCAATTGTCATGGCAAAGCAGTGTGGGTGAAGATATACATATTCATTTAGTTATGAAGATTTCATTGTCATTTGGTTTAGTGAATAAAGATTCTTATATCTATTAAAAGAAATAAATGTCACTAGCAATAGAGGTATAATGGTACACTTTCATGTATTAGAAATATATACACTGTCCATGCCAGCCATAAGGTTTTACTCAAAGAGGGACAAATAACTCTAATGAACAATAACTAACTTTGTAAAATATTAACAAAATGTAATATTTAAAAAAAAAAGTCAGAGAAATACAGGGAGAATTGTATTACCTGAAACAAGACAGGGCCTTTGTTCCTTATATGGATATATATGAAAAATCGTAACCCAGGAGGATGATGTTGTCATAAAACTACAACAAATGTAATCCTAGCACATTGGGAGTTCAAGGAGGGTGGATTGCCTGAGCTCAGGAGTTCGAGACCAGCCTGGGCAACACAGTGAAAACCTGTCTGTACTAAAATACAAAAAATTAGCCAGGCATGGTGCATGCGCCTGTAGTCCCAGCTACTCGGTAGGCTGAGGCAGGAGAATTGCTTGAACCCAGGAGGCAGAGGTTGCAGTGAGCTGAGATTGTAACACTGCACTCCAGCCTGGGCAACAGGGCAAGGCTTCGTCTAAGAAAAAAAAAAAAAATTAAAATAAAATAATATTAGATGGATTCCTGTTTTAAGTTAGATTTACTCCAGATCAAATTATTTGGCAGTTTCTATATCAGAAAAACATTTGAAATATTTAAATCAATTTACATGATATTTTACTTTAAAATAAGTGTTTATCTTATATAATATCTCTGGTCTCTCAAAATGTACTCTTGAAAAATTAGTAGAATTTATCTTATTAAACTATTCAAATTTCTAATTTATTATCTTTCCATCCATGTTCTTTTTCTTGTGGTTTCAAGATGATTAATATGTTCAAGTGAAAAACTGTAAGTTCTACATATGACAAAAATAAGTGCCTGAATAAGTGGGAAAAAATAAAAACAAAAATAAGTGCCTAAGTGGCAAAAATAAAGAATAATCTATTATCTGAAAATCACAACTGAGAGAGTGTGTGAATTAAAAGGTAACTATTATATAAGACATGGTCAGCCCAAACTGAAACATAATGTGCCCTCAGAAGAAAAGTCACAACATTTGGTGAAAAGATATTCTAGATACACTCTAATTGGAACTGATTATTCTTCCAACTACCAAAATTTCCCACTCCTTCCTTTTTATAGCTATACTATTTTACCCATATTCCAAATAGATATACCATTATTAAAAAATAAATAACAACTAAAAAGAACTTAAATAAGACCAATACATAGATACTGAAGCAAATCATGTGGGTGAGGAGTGGGAAAGACAGCGAGAAAATAAAGATTGTTATATATTAAATAATGTATATTAAATAATGTACTTGAAAGGTTTTTAAATAAAGCTAAACAATTTCTAAACCAAAAGCTCTTTAAACTCCTGGATTTACTGCATCAAACTTGATATGAATTCTTAACAGTTGTTGGGTATTCTCAGAAATTTGTATGCTTACATTGCACTATAACTACAATTAACAAGCAACTCACTGAATTACTATTTCGGAAACGGAATCACGTTGACTTAGTTTTTGCTCAAAGTAGTTCTATGTAAAAACAAACTAAATACAGAAATATTCATTTTGCAGGTTGCATTATAGTGAGGATGACTGAAGATCCACTACAAACTGACTGGAAGTTGGAGGTCCAGCTAAGGAAATGCCAAAGGTTTGCACCTTATATTATACTTCACACATTCCTAGATGTCTGCCAACCAGTTAATCAGAAATTGGCAATTGAAGTGAATTGAGAGGTGACTGAATTTCAGGAAAATCTATAAATTAGTCACTAGTTTTTTTCTCTATGCCTCTCTCAATTGCAGTTTTGAACTTTCTGTTATTTCATAAAGTATTTTAGTTTACCAAAAATTATTATGAAATGGTAAAATAGCTTATCTCTTTTTCATCATATCTGAAAAGTTTTGCATTATGTTTTAAGGAATACACAAACCATATGTAATAAGCAAGAGAGTGTGTTATTAGTATATATGTTAAGAATTTACTTTGTCTGCTTGTGCTTGGGGACTTTTTAGTTACCTAAGAATACTGGTTGAGAAGCACACAACAGTGAGTCACACACTAGCCTAGCAGTTGTTACAGCTGGGAAATCTAAAAACCCAGAACCAAAAGGCAATAGAATGTGCTGGTTTCAGTAATTCAATTCTATTGAGCATGAAAGCCTGTCCATTTCTATTTCAGAAACTTACATTGTTGTCAAGCAATCCCCTTTATCACATACAAAACTCACTAATACCCATTCAGAAAATAAAGGCAGGCAAATTTGGATAAAGTAATTCATGTTTCAGTCACTAAGTCGAAAGTCTCTAGCCTCATGTGAACTGCTGCTTTCATCAGAGCATGATCAACAGCTACCAGGTTTTGTTAGACATAATCAATAAGTGAATCAAAACCAAAAAAAGAGATATGTATTTATAAAACAATAAAACCAAATATACACGTTAGGAATTTATTCAAAACTAAACATTATTGTAATACTGGCAATAGTTGGTTATATGTAAAACCCTAAGTTACATCCAGTAATATCAAAATCGTATAGAGCATTACTTTATGAACCAGAAAACAGAAAATTTGTACATCACTCCTTTACTAAATCTACTGCTTTGCTTATTCACAGGAATATATTATAAAAATAATGAACAAATTTGAACCATCTAACCATAAAGTGCTTCTATTTAGCTTCATCAGAATAGAAACAAATGAATATTTAAATTTAAAAACTAAATGCAAAAGATATGGATCCATTTAAATAATTCAAATCAACCACGCAGTTAGGTTGCACAAGATATTCCCAGTTCTTTCAAATGACCTCATTTTTGTCTTATTTTAATTTTTGTATTTCAAAGCAAAGCAGCTCAAGGTGATGTGGCTTCATTTGCCTTTCTAACTTTTCACATATAGGTTGGCACTCAGAATATTTGTTGAATGAATTAATGCCATTGGTAGAATATCTACTACTGGCAAACATATCATCACTAAAATTTAGAAGACCTTGTCCTGTTTACACTCAAGATAAATCAAAACAGGCAGTGATATTACAAGTATTATCCAACAGTTCAATGTGTCTTAATTAGATAACACACATGCACTAATAAAATAATAGAGACTAGTGTTCCATGGTTTAAGTTTGAAGGACTGAATAAGACTCTCTGAATATTTTAATTACTTTTCTAATATAACATTTAAATCTGTTCCGCACTAACTAAAGTCTTTCAAAGGACCAAGTATCAGAAAAGTGATTTATCTTATTTTTTAAAAGTAAGCTGACTATCCTAAATATTGAGTTTATTACATATATAAATGCAACCAAGAAAAAAGTAATTACAATCGTCAATAAATACAGAAAATTTATTGAGGACAGATTGGTTTTCTTGTGACTAACAATATTAGAAACTGCATGACAAAAATCTCTAACCCATGATTCATAATGTAAGTAATGGTGATATGGACTGTGTAAAGACTAAGAAAGCTCACCGTTAAATTATTTATCTCAGAAAGCTGCATAAGTTTTATTTATATCATAATTATCTGCTTAATGTAAAAGTCTAATTGTGGTACATTTTATGATGACAGAATAAATTATAATGAGGAGAAAAATGAAAATATTTTCAATTCCCAAAATATATAGATTTACTTGTTGTAGTACATTCATAGATAGCACCTTTCCTTGTAATTAATTAACATTTGATTGAATTTCCTAATATTACAGTTTTGTTAACATACAAAACCTGCATAATTTGTGCTGACTTTTTCCCATTAGGCATGAATGTAATTATCCTTTATCTTTCAACACAGCCAAGTCCTGTAAATATAATTACAAATTTTATGTTTACTCAAGCATAGAAAACTCATAAAGTTAATACTGTATTTACCCTCTTACCTTTTTCACTTATTAAAATACACCAGGGATTTCTTGAATTCATCCTCTATGGCTATAATTTCTAGCTAGAATTAATTTTTAACCTCGATTTTCAAACTTTAATATGGGACCTACATGTATTCAGACTTAAGGCAGTTAAAAGTTTGTGCTTCTGACATTCATAAGGACTGACTTTGGATTAGAAATCTTAATAACTAGAAAATTTGAAGTGTTAAAATTAATTTGGCAAATGATGTTTAGCCAATAAACCTAAGCAGCCACTCAGGGAAATACATACTACAGTAATGCTTTCAAAAATGTCCTGTGAATTCTCAGGTTTCTTTACTTCCTAATACCTCAATATGAAACTATAAAGCATATTAAGTGATAGTAGAAGTTGTCATGAAAAGCCTTTTCACTGCAAGAGAGAGATAAAACCAATGATTTTTAACATGCTTTTTAAAAATTCAAGTGTTCAATATGAGTACCATCTTAATGCCAAGAAATCTATGTTAATGAATTCTAAAACCTGTGAAATTTTGATGAACACTAAAGAGTGGTCAATTTTTATCTGAGAAAAAAATATAACTCATCAAGCAATGTGACCTTCAGAGAACCAAGTGACAGCCCTGATATTCATTATATTGTTTGTATTTGTTGTTGTTTTACTGATGAATATTACTTAATGCTATATTTGATATTTGGCTGGCCTGATTCACAAAGTAACCTATGAAGCATAAATAATGACCAACTCCCAAAACAGAACTTGGAGGAAGTATTATTATATCTAAGATATTATAGTTACTTCCAATGCTAATTGTTAATTTATATTATGTTATATTATGTGTTAATTTATATTATATTATTATATTTATACTATTTTCATAGATTGGAAACACCATTCTGTAAAATACATTAATTGGATATTGTAATTGAAGTCTCTAGTTTTTATTTACATTTCAAAAAATTTAATAAATACCTTAAAAAGTTTATTTTGTGCCAGGTTCATTTCCAAGCACTTGACAAATAATTGTTTAGTCTTCATGACAATATTATCTCCATTTTATTTTATTTTATTTTATTTTTGTAATTTTTATTTAAGTTCAGAGGCACATGTTCAGGTTTGTTACATAGGTAAACTTGTGTGATGGGGTTTTTTGTACAGATTACTTCATCACCTAGGTATTAAGCCTAGTACCCATTAGTGGTTTTTCCTGATCCTCTCCCTCTTCCCACCCTCCGCTCTCCAATAGGCTTCAGCGTGTGTTGGAGCCTATGTGTCCATGTGTTCTCATCATTTAGCTGCCATTTATAAGTGAGAATATGCAGCATTTGCTTTTCTGTTCCTGTGTTAGTTTGCTAAATATAATGGCCTCCAGCTCCATCCATGTCCCTGGAAAGGACATGATCTTGTTACTTGTTTACGACTGCATAGTATTCCATGGTGCATATGTACCACATTTTCTTTATCCATTTTATCATTGATGGGCATAAAAACTGAGTCACATAGAGGCTATATAGATTGCTTAAAGTTACACAGCTATGAAGTAGGAAAGTCCGGTTTCAAATCAAGGTAGTTTGGTTTCTAGAGTCCATGAACTACTGTGCTATTCAGGGTTTTTGAGTCACAATATGAGAAAAAACTTTGTCTCTTATGTTGTCTCAGAGGTACTAATAATGCTGTTTCTTTCTAGCTTTTTGCTCACTAGTTTTTCAAGTCCTACTAATATTTTATACTATATTATTTTTACTGCCTCTGGAAATGGTAAATATGGTATAGAAGATGCTTCTATACCATCTTCATGTACTATAGTATGTGTCAATCCACTTATAGATTTATTTTAACAAAAGTCATTTTGGAGAAATGCCAATAGAATGGAATTACTCAAACGGTTAAATTTGCATTATTGTAGAGATAAGAGGTCTCACGATTGTCTCATTGTCTCAAAGATATTTTTGATAATCAATTTAATTTTTTAATTGACATGGGTCTCAGACGTTTTGTTTCTTCTTAGGTCAATTTTGAACCTTGTATTGTTTTTTAAAATTTGGCCATTTCATATGAGTTTCTGCATATTTTGGCATAAAGCTGCTCATAATATTTTTGTTACTTTTAATAAGCCTATAGTTCAAACTTTTTCATCCTTCATATTAGTGATTTGTATACTGTTTTTATTTTGACCAATTCTAGCTATAAGATTGCAAATATTGTTCATCTTTATAAAGAACTAATATTAATTTTTTATTAGTAATTTGATCCATGTGTTTGGGTTTTCTTAATTGTTCCTTTTATATTTATAATTTCCTTCCTTCTACTTACTTTGTTTTCACTTTGCTCTTCAGTTTTCTTACTTCTTGAGGAAGAAAATTTAGATCTTTCATTTTGTATCTTTATTCTTCTAAATTTAATTATTTAAAGCTATGAATTTCTCCCTAAGCACTGTTTTAGTTGCAAACTACATATTTTGTATGTTATATATTCACTATCATACAGTTCAGAAAGCTTCGTAATTTTCCTGTAATTTGTTCCTTGACCCATAAATTATTTAGAAGTGTTGTATTTAATGTTTTCCTAGATAATATTTTGTTAATAATTTCTAAATAAGTTCCACTGTGGTGAGAGAGCAGACTATATAATTTCAGTCTTTTTACACTTACTGAGACTTGTTTATGATTATAACAGATGATATATATTGATGAATTTACCAAGTACACTTAAAAAGAATATGTAGTTTGCATTTGTTGGGTATAGCATACTTTAAATATCAATTAGATCAAGGTGATTTATGGTGATGTCCAAATCTTCTGTGTCATTACTGATGTTTTTTTCTAGTTCCATCAGTAGATGAGAATTGTTCTATCAATTTCTGGAATTAAAGTTCACAATTAGAAAATCATGCATCACTTTTGTTAAGTATACGCATATTTATAATTGTTGTCTTCCTGTCTAGTTTGTTATCATGAAATGTCTTCTTTTACCTCCAATAATACTTTATCTTGAAGTTTATTATGTTGAGTCTACTATATATACTGCAATCTCATGCTTTCTAGTTTTGAGGCACAACTGTTTCTATTCATTTACCCCCAAACTGTTTCTATTTTAAAGCATAGCTCTTGTAGGCATCAGAACATTGAACCTGCCCTTTTCTTTTTTTAACTCTAATAAACTGTCTTTTAGTTAAAATACTTAGAGCACTAACTTTAATGTTATTGACATGGTTAGATTTAGATCTATTATTCTATTATTCAATTTCTGCTTGTTCCATATGTTCTTTTTTCCTCTGATCTGCCTTTCCTACTTTCTTTAGTGGCATTTGAATATTATTTGGAATTTCATTTTACCCCATTTATTGGCTTTTTGTATCCTGTTTTTATTATTTCGAAGAGCTTGTTCTGCAGACTACAATATATATTCCTAACCTTTCACAGTTTACTTAAAGTTAATATTGTACTACTTCATATAAAATGTAGAAAACTTCCAATAAATATGTTCCCATTTGACTCCTGTTATCTTTTATATTTGAAAAAAATCACAAAACTGTATTGTCATTTTAGCTTTAAACAGTCCTTTGTATTTTTTTTGTCCATTCTCAGATATTTAGTATTTCTAGTGTTCTTCATTCCTTCCTGGTAATCCAAGTCTCCTTGTGGTACAATTTCCCTCAGCCTGAAAAACTTCCTTAAGCATATTTTGTAGTTCAGATCTGCTAATGAGAATCCTCTCAGTTTTCTTTTCTTTTAAAATATTATTTCAACTTCATTTCTGACATATTTTTACTAAATATAGAATTCTAGGTCATTTCATTTTTTCTTTCACAATTTTAAAGACTCTTCCACAGTCTTTTGACCTTAATGATTTCAGATGACAACTCCATGGATATTCAAATAGTTGTTCCATAGTACATAATTGGCCTTTTTCTCTGGCTTCTTTCAAATTTTTTTAAAAAGGAGTATCACATGACAAGTTGGTTTTATTTTTCAATATATCCTGTTTTGCATGTGCTGTGCTGATTGTTTCTGTACATTCATGTCTTTCAGAAAATATGAAAGAGTTTTGGTCATTACTTCATTTTTCCCTTACTCTCTTGTGCCAATCCTGATAACATTTAAAATGATTGTTAATATGTTTGGATTAAAAATCTACCAAACACTTCATGTGATTTAAATTTAAGACATTAGTAAGAAATCCTACTAGTCCTCAATTTCACCTAGTCTTTGACCACTGTTTCCACGATGATCAGTCAGAGTCAACTGCATGCAAATCCAGCAGGTAAGAAATAATGAATATAAATTGCTTCCTTCTGATAGTCTCATTAGTTTAAGAGGTGTTAGAGCTGTAGTGAAAAAAAGGGTTCTGCTTATTCTAGTTTAGTATGATTTAAATGAAGGGGATATCAAGGGAGGCTGCTGCATTACTCAGTTGTGTGCATAATGCAAACTCTCAAAAAAGTCAACAAACAGTTCAACTTTCACACAGAATGTAGCTCACCTATCTGATAATTAAAAATAATACTTGAAATTCTGGTTTTCTTTTGTCTTTTTCCTTAACCAATGAAGCCATCTGAACTACTTCTCTTTTATGATTATATGTCAAGGCCAGTGGATCTGTTTCCCCTTGTTACATCTTACAAGACCATCACTACCTAAAGCTGCTTATTCTAGACAACTTCTAGGATAAAGCTTATTAAGTAAGGTGCAGACTTTCATTTCTGTATCATTATACATCATATCAACTTGATGATCGCTACTGGGGATTCCACAAAGTTTGCCTTGTCTTTGCAAGCTGATTCTCAGCAAAGATAATTATATCCTTAGAGAAAAAATGGCAGCGCCATATATATGTATCATCAATATGTAATACCAAAAAGAACATCTGAAAACATTTTTCCAAAGAAGGAGGCAGAGCAGGATGGATGAATAGTACCCTTCAGTGATTGTTGCCCAACAGGAGCACCAAATTGAACAACTATATGCTAGAAAACACCCTCATAAAAACGAAAAAATCAAGTAAGTGATCACAATACCTGGGTTTAACATAATATCAAAAAAAGAGGTATTGAAGAGGGTAGGAAAGACAGTCTTGCATTGTCTGCACCACCCTTTCTGAATTCCTCATCAGTGCCACATGGATAGAGCATCTGTGTACTTGAAGAAGGTGAGTGTGGGCCTTTGCATTGGAACCCAGTGATTCTTTTTCACAGTAGAACACATCACAGGAAAGAAAGAGGATGCACTTAGACCAACCCTGGGCTAGAAGGGAATTCACAGCCCCAGTTTAAGGAAACCGAGTCCTGGCAAGCTGTACCACCAGGTGACTAAAGTGGCCAGGATCTTTGAATAAATACGTGTGGCTGTCAGGCCACAAAAACTGCAGTCTTTTGGCCAGCCTGGGTGCTTCCCTGGTGTTAAATGCAGTGGACATGTGGTGTGTGCAACCCAGTGATGCCAGCTCTAGCAGCCAAAGGAGTACCTGTATCCCTCATACCTAAATTCCAAGCAGTACAGCTCATGGAGAACTCCTTATGCTTGGGAAAAGGAGAGGGAAGAGTACAGAGGACTTTGTCTTGCAATTTGGGTACCAGCTCAGCCGCAGTAAAATAAAGAACCAAGCAGATTCCTGAAACCCCTGATTCCAGGCCTTAGCTTCTGAATGGTGTTTCAAATCAAAATAGACTAAGATTTAAACCTAAGACTTGAACCTATAAAAATACTAGAATAAAACTTGAGGAAACATTCCAAGACATCGATTTGGACAAAGATTATTTTGAGCAAGGCCTCAAAAGCACAGGCAACCAAAGCAAAAATGGGCACATCAAGCTAAAAAGCCTTTGCACAGTGCAAAGAACAATCAATGGAGTAAAAAGACAATCCACATAATGGAAGAAATTATTTGCAAACTGCACATATGACAAGGGATTAATAACTAGAATATATAAGGAGCTCAAACGATGCAATTGCAACAAAAAAACCCCCAAATAATCCAATTTAAAAATAGGCAAAAGTTCTGAATAGGCATTTATTAAAGACATACAAATGGCCGGCAGGTATTTGAGAAAATGTTCAACGTTACTAATCATTAGAGAAATGCAAAGAAAACCATAATGAGATATTATCTCACTCTAGTTAAAATGGCTTTTATCCAAAATACAGAAAATAATGAATACTGGCAAGGAAGTGAAAGAGGAACCCTCATACATTGTTGGTGGGAGTGTAAATTAATACAGCCACTATGGACAACAATATGAAGGTTCCCCCAAAATTAAAAATAGGACTATTATATTATCCAGCAATCCCACTTCTGGGTATGTATCCAAAAGAAAGGAAATAAGTGTATGTAAGTGATAAATGCACTTCTGAGTTCATTGCAGCACTATTCACAATAACCAAGATATGGAATCAGTCTAAGTGTCCATCAACAGATGAAAAGATAAAATGTGGCATATATACACAATGGAACACTATTAAGCCATAAAAAAGAATGAAATCCTCTCATTCGCAACAACATGGGTACAAGTGGTCAACATGATGTGAAGTGAAATAAGCCAGGCGTAGAAAGACAACTACTGCATGATCTCACTCAAACGAAGAAACTAAAAACAAAATTGAACTCAAGAAGATAGAGAGGGGGTGGAGCCAAGATGGCTGAATAGGAACAGCTCCAGTCTACAGCACCCAGCGTGAGCAAAGCAGAAGATGGGTGAATTCTGCATTTCCAACTGAGGTACCAGGTTCATCTCACTGGGCAGTGCCGGAAAGTGGGTGCAGGACAGTGGATGCAGCGCACCGTGCATGAGCTGAAGTAGGGTGAGGCATCGCATCACTGGGGAAGTGCAAGGGGTCAGGGAATTCCCTTTCCTAGTCAAAGAAAGGGTGACAGATGGTACCTGGAAAATCAGGTCACTCCCACCCTAATACTGCGCTTTTCCAATGGGCTTAACAAACGGCACACCAGGAGATTATATCCCACACATGGCTCAGAGGGTCCTATGCCCATGGATCCTCACTCATTGCCAGCACAGCAGTCTGAGATCAAACTGCAAGGCGGCAGCGAGGCTGGGGGAGGGGCTTCTGCCATTGCCCAGGCTTGAGTAGGTAAACAAAGTCGCCAGGAAGCTCGAACTGGGTGGAGCCCACCACAGCTCAAGGAAGCCTGCCTGCCTCTGTAGGCTCCACCTCTGGGGGCAGGGCACAGACAAACAAAAGGCAGCAGTAACATCTGCAGACGTAAATGTCCCCGTCTGACAGCTTTGAAGAGAGTAGTGAGTCTCCCAGCATGCAGCTTCAGATCTGAGAACTGGCAGACTGCCTCCTCAAGTGGGTTCCTGACCCCCGAGTAGCCTAACTGGGGGGCACCCCCCAGTAGGGGTGGACTGACACCTCACACGGCTGGGTACTCCTCTGAGACAAAACCTCCAGAGGAACAATCAGGCAGCAGCATTTGCAGTCCACCAATATCCGCTGTTCTGCAGCCACCGCTGGTGATACCCAGGCAAACAGGGTCTGGAGTGGACCTCTAGCAAATTCCAACAGACCTGCAGCTGAGGGTCCTGTCTGTTAGAAGGAAAACTAACAAACAGAAAGGACATCCACACCAAAAACCCATCTGTACGTCACCATCATCAAAGACCAAAGGTAGATAAAACAACAAAGATGGGGAAAATCAGAGCAGAAAAACTGGAAACTCTAAAAAGCAGAGCGTGCCTGTCCTCCTCCAAAGGAATGCAGCCCCTCACCAGCAATGGAACAAACCTGGACGGAGAATGACTTTGACGAGCTGAGAGAAGAAGGCTTCAGAAGATCAAACTACTCCGAGCTAAAGGAGGAAGTTCGAACCAATGGCAAAGAAGTTAAAAAACCTTGAAAAATAATTAGATGAATGGCTAACTAGAATAACCAATGCAGAGAAGTCCTTAAAGGACCTGATGGAGCTGAAAACCACAGCACGAGAACTATGTAATGAATGCACAAGCCTCAGTAGCCGATGCAATCAACTGGAAGAAAAGGTATCAGCGATGGAAGATGAAATGAATGAAATGAAGTGAGAAGTTTAGAGAAAAAAGAATAAAAAGAAACGAACAAAGCCTCCAAGAAATATGGGACTATGTGAAAAGACCAAATCTACGTCTCATTGGTGTACCTGAAAAGTGACAGGGAGAATGGAACCAAGTTGGAAGACACTGCAGGATATTACCCATGAGAACTTCTGCAATCTAGCAAGGCAGGCCAACATTCAAATTCAGGAAATACAGAGAACGCCACAAAGATACTCCTCGAGAAGAGCAACTCCAAGACACATAATTTTCATATTCACCAAAGTTGAAATGAAGGAAAAAATGTTAAGGGCAGCCAGAGAGAAAGGTTGGGTTACCCACAAAGGGAAGCCCATCAGACTAACAGCTGATCTCTCAGTAGAAACTCTACAGGCCAGAAGAGAGTGGGGGCCAATATTCAACATTCTGAAAGAAAAGAATTTTCAACCCGGAATTTCATATCCAGCCAAACTAAGCTTCATAAGCGAAGGAGAAATAAAATACTTTACAGACAAGCAAATGCTGAGAGATTTTGTCGCCACCAGGCCTGCCCTAAAAGAGCTCCTGAAGGAAGCACTAAACATGGAAAGGAACGACCGGTACCAGCCACTGCAAAAACATGCCAAATTGTAAAGACCATCAAGCCTAGGAAGAAACTGCATCAACTAATGAGCAAAAGAACCAGCTAACATCATAATGACAGCATCAAATTCAAACAAAACAATATTAACCTTAAATGTACATGGGCTAAATGCTCCAATTAAAAGACACAGACTGGCAAATTGGATAAAGAGTCAAGACCCATCAGTGTGCTGTATTCAGGAATCCCATCTCATGTGCAGAGACACACATAAGCTCAAAATAAAGGGATGGAGGAAGATCTACCAAGCAAATGGAAAACAAAAAAGGCAGGGGTTGCAATCCTAGTCTCGGATAAAACAGACTTTAAACCAACAAAGATCAAAAGAGACAAAGAAGGCCATTACATAATGGGAAAGGGATCAATTCAACAAGAAGAGCTAACTATCCTAAATATATATGCACCCAATACAGGAGCACCCAGATTCATAAAGCAAGTTCTGAGTGACCTACAAAGAGACTTAGACTCCCACACAATAATAATAATGGGAGACTTTAACACCCCACTCTCAACATTAGACAGATCAATGAGACAGAAAGTCAACAAGGATACCCAGGAATTGAACTCAGCTCTGCACCAAGTGGACCTAATAGACATCTACAGAACTCTCCACCCCAAATCAACAGAATATACATTCTTTTCAGCACGACACCACATCTATTCCAAAATTGACCACATAGTTGGAAGTAAAGCACTACTCAGCAAATGTAAAAGAACAGAAATTATAACAAACTGTCTCTCAGACCACAGTGCAATCAAACTAGAACTCAGGATTAAGAAACTCACTCAAAACCACTCAACGACATGGAAACTGAACAACCTGCTCCTGAATGACTACTGGGTACATAACAAAATGAAGGCAGAAATAAAGATGTTCTTTGAAACCAACGAGAAGAAAGACACAACATACCAGAATCTCTGGGACACATTCAAAGCAGTGTGCACAGGGAACTTTATAGCACTAAATGCCCACAAGACACAGCAGAAAAGATCCAAAATTGACACCCTAACATCACAATTAAAAGAACTAGAGAAGCAAGAGCAAACACATTCAACAGCTAGCAGAAGGCAAGAAATAACTAAAATCAGAGCAGAACTGAAGGAGATAGAGACACAAAAAACCGTTCAAAAAAATCAATGAATCCAGGAGCTGGTTTTTTGAAAAGATCAACAAAATTGATAGACTGCTAGCAAGACTAATAAAGAAGAAAAAAGAATCAAACAGACACAATAAAAAATGACAAAGTGAATATCACCACTAATCCCACAGAAATACAAACTACTATCAGAGAATATTATAAACATCTCTAGGCAAATCAACTAGAAAATCTAGAAGAAATGGATAAATTCCTTGACACATACACCCTCCCAAGAATAAACCAGGAAGAAGTTCAATCGCTGAATAGACCAATAACAGGCTCTGAAATTGAGGCAATAATTAAAAGCCTACCAACCAAACAAAGTTCAGGATCAGGTGGATTCACCGCCGAATTCTACCCGAGGTACAAGGAGGAGCTGGTACCATTCCTTCTGAAACTATTCCAATCAATAGAAAAAGAGGGAATCCTCCCTGACTCATTTTATGAGGCCAGCATCATCCTGATACCAAAGCCTCGCAGAGACACAACAAAAAAAACAGAATTTTAGACCAATATCCTTTATGAACATTGATGCAAAAATCCTCAATAAAATACTGGCAAACCGAATGCAGCAGCACCTCAAAAAGCTTATCCACCATGATCAAGTGGGCTTCATCCCTGGGATGCAAGGCTGGTTCAACATGCAAAAATCAATAAACGTAATCCAGCATATAAACAGAACCAAAGACAAAAACCACATGATTATCTCAATAGATGCAGAAAAGGCCTTTGACAAAATTCAACAACGCTTCATGCTAAAAACCCTCAATAAATTAGGTATTAATGGGATGTATCTCAAAATAATAAGAGCTATCTATGACAAACCCACAGCCAATATCATACTGAATGGACAAAAACTGAAAGCATTCCCTTTGCAAACTGGCACAAGACAGGGATGACCTCTCTCACCACTCCTATTCAACATAGTGTTGGAAGTTCTGGCCAGGGCAATCAGGCAGGAGAAGGAAATAAAGGGCATTCAATTAGGAAAAGAGGAAGTCAAATTGTCCCTGTCTGCAGATGACATGGTTGTATATCTAGAAAACCCCATCATCTCAGCCCAAAATCTCCTTAAGCTGATAAGCAACTTCAGCCAAGTCTCAGGATACAAAATCAATGTGCAAAAATCACAAGCATTCTTATACACCAATAACACACAAACAGAGAGCCAAATCATGAGTGAACTCCCATTCACAATTGCTTAAAAGAGAATAAAATACCTAGGAATCCAACTTACAAGGGATGTGAAGCACCTCTTCAAGGAGAACTACAAACCACTGCTCAATGAAATAAAAGAGGATACAAACAAATGGAAGAATATTCCATGCTCATGGGTAGGAAGAATCAATACCGTGAAAATGGCCATACTGCCCAAGGTAATTTATAGATTCAATGTCATCCCCATCAAGCTACCAATGACTTTCTTCACAGAATTGGAAAAAACTACTTTAAAGTTCATATGGAACCAAAAAAGAGCCCACATTGCCAAGTCAATCCTAAGCCAAAATCACAAAGCTGGAGGGATCATGCTACCTAACTTCTAACTATACTACAAGCCTACAGTAACCAAAACAGCATGGTACTGGTACCAAAACAGAGATATAGATCAATGGAACAGAACAGAGCCCTCGGAAATAACGCCGCATATCTACAACTATCTGATCTGTGACAAACCTGAGAAAAACAAGCAATGGGGAAAGGATTCCCTATTTAATAAATGGTTCTGGGAAAACTGGCTAGCCATATGTAGAAAGCTGAAACTGGATCCCTTCCTTATACCTTATACAAAAATTAATTCAAGAAGGATTAAAGACTTACATGTTAGACCTAAAACCATAAAAACCCTAGAAGAAAACCTAGGGAATACCATTCAGGACATAGGCATGGGCAAGGACTTCATGTCTAAAACACCAAAAGCAACGGCAACAAAAGCCAAAATTGACAAATGGGATCTAATTAAACTAAAGAGCTTCTGCACAGCAAAATAAACTACCATCAGCATGAACAGGCAACCTACAGAATGGGAGAAAATTTTTGCAACTACTCATCTGTCAAAGGGCTAATATCCAGAATCTACAATGAACTCCAACAAATTTACAAGAAAAAAAACAAACAACCCCATCAAAAAGTAGGCAAACGATATGAACAGACACTTCTCAAAAGAAGACATTTATGCAGCCAAAAAACACATGAAAAAATGCTCATCGTCACTGGCCATCAGAGAAATGCAAATCAAACCACAGTGAGATACCATCTCACACCAGTCAGAATGGCGATCATTAAAAAGTCAGGAAACAACAGGTGCTAGAGAGGATGTGGAGAAATAGGAACACTTTTACACGGTTGGTGGGACTGTAAACTAGTTCAACCATTGTGGAAGTCAGTGTGGCAATTCTTCAGGGATCTAGAACTAGAAATACCATTTGACCCAGCCATCCCATTACTGGGTATATAGCCAAAGGATTATAAATCATGCTGCTATAAAGACACATGCACACTTATGTTTATTGCAGCACTATTCACAATAGCAAAAACTTGGAACCAACCCAAATGTCCATCAATGACAGCCTGGATTAAGAAAATGTGGCACATATACACCATGGAATACTATGCAGCCATAAAAAAGGATGAGTTCATGTCCTTTGTAGGGACATGGATGAAGCTGGAAACCATCATTCTCAGCAAACTATCGAAGGACAAAAAACCAAACACCGCACGTTCTCACTCATAGGTGGGAATTGAACAATGAGAACACATGGACACAGGAATGGGAACATCACACACTGGGGACTGCTGTGGGTTGGGGGGAGGGACAAGGGATAGCATTAGGAGATATACCTAATGTAAATGACGAGTTAATGGGTGAAGCACACCAACATGGCACATGTATACATATGTAACACATCTGTACCTTGTGCACATGTACCCTAAAACTTAAAGTATAATAATAATAAAATTTTTTTAAAAAAGAAAAGAAGATAGAGAGTAAAATGATGGTTACCAAAGGCTAAGAAAGTTAGCAGGGAGTTGGGAGATAAAGTGGGAAAGGTTAATAGGTACAAAAATAGAGTTAGATAGAATGAATAAGATCTAGTATTTGGTAGCACAATAGGGTGACTATAGTTAACAATTTACTGTGTATTTAAAATAACTAAAATAGTGGAATTGAAATGTCTCCAACACAGAGAAATGGTAAATGCTTAAGGTGATGGATATGCTAATTACACAATTACTCTGATTTGATCAATCATTACACATTTTATGGCTGTATCAAAATATCACATGTATGTTATAAACATGTACAACTATTATGTAACCATAATAATTTTTAAAAAATATTTTTCCCATAAAGCACACTCTAGAAAAATAATGTATTGATAAAGAATCTGCCTTTAGTAGATACATCTTTAATTTTAAAATAGATTTTATTTTTCGTGGTGTTCTGAATACAGAAATATTATAAGAAACTCTCAGGTAATACTTTATCCAATTCCAGATTCACGAGGCTGCCATATTGCCTCTTGGCAGCCATCACACTCCCTTAGAACTGCTGATCCAAATCTTAATTTATTGCAAGGAGAAATGGCTTTAGACAATTTTGTTCACTCACTTGTTTTTTAACATTTCTGGGGAGTGGTTTAATTTACTCTAGAACACAATCTTGTCCATTGTGCAGTAACATGAATATTTGATATTCTACATAAACAAAGAACTTTTAGCTATGTTGCCTGAATATCTCATTTAACTAATCAAATAAAAATATCATAAATTTGGCATTTTAACTACACATTAAATGAGACAATGTCATTATATTATCATTTTTCAGGAATAAGAAATTCTTCAGTTGATTTCTTTTTGCCTAATCTGTGGCTTATTAAAAAATTCCTGAAAGTTGACACCATTTATATGAATCAAGTAAATCTATATAGTAAATCAAGTAAATCATTACAGTGTTATTCATTTAATAACATTGGGAATATATAGATCAATGTTTACAATAGCCAGTTAATTTAGAACACTAGAAATATCTCAATGATTAGTGTTGGGAAAATTAAGTAAACTAGTCTGACAAAAGTTTTATTATTTAACAACCTGTTTTGCTACTGTGGATGGTGAAGTGTTGTCTGGATGAGCCCTAAAGTAAAAGAACCATGCGGGTAAGTACTATCAATATCTAAGTCATTGTATTATCATTATTGCAGTGTTTTGTAGCAGTTTGGAATAACTTTATTCTATAATTTTATTTTTAAAGCTTTATTGAATAGCCTTGTTAAAATTTACTTATTAATACTAACTTGTGCGTTTTTTTTTTAAGCAAAAATACTTTGGAACTGTTTATTTAAATAAGTATTACTGGTCTAATATAAAACTCTGCCCAAAACACTTGAGTACTTTACATTTACACTTTAACTTTTAACTATTATTATTATTTTTGAAGAGACAGAGTCTCGCTCTGTCACTCAGGCTGGAGTGCAGTGGCGCCATCTCAGCTCACTAAAACCTCCGCCTCCTGGGTTCAAGTAATCCTCCTGCCTCACCTTCTCAAGTAGCTGGGACTATAGGTGTGTGCCACCATGTCCAGCTAATTTTTGAATTATTTAGTAGAGATGGAGTTTCACCATGTTGGCAGGGCTGGTCTCAAACTCCTGACCGCGTGTGGTCTGCCTGCCTCAGCCTACCAAAGTGCTGGGATTACAGGCTTGAGCCACCACGCCTGGCCTACACTTTACTTTTTAAAGATTAGAACAATAATAAGATAGGCTGTTTCCATAATGTCTTAAGTAAATAATCCCATTAGTTGGTAAGGATTCAAGAAATCAGATAACTGTGGTGCAGAGAAAATCAACATCATCTGTCATGTTTTCTACCCAATATAATTTTTCTTCCTGCAGCATTCCTGATAGCTGTTTATTGATTTCCAGTGTTATTCAAATAGACAAGGTCATTATCATAAGCAGTAGCTTATTTCATTATTGCATATGTTTATTAGCTATTGTTGAATGAAAAAAACCCATCAGTATTTAAAAGCTTAAAACAACAAATATTTAATTAGCTCACAAGTCTTAGGGGTACCTGCAGGATGGAAAGCCTTGCTCATGCATTTTTCATTAGCTGCTGCTGCTGTGGATCAGTTTGTTAATTTGGAATGGATACTTTCAAATGTCTAGGGCTTCTTAGGCTGAATCAGCTAGATCAGCTCTACTCTGCGTGACCTTTTGTTCTCCAGCAAGCCAGCTTGTGCTTGTCCACATGGCAGGCACAGAGGTTGAGAGACAGAGAATGTATGGAAGGCTCCTTGAGGACTAGACTTGGAAGTGATACACTGTCACTTCTGCCATATTCTATTAGACAAAGCAAGTCAAAAGGCCAGTTCAGATTCAAGGGATGGAGATAGACTGTGCCTCTTGAACACAGGAGTTGAAAATTCACATTGAAAAGGATATTTTCATATGTTTCTTTTATAAGGAGACCCATCTCATGTGCAAAGACACACATAGGCTCAAAATAAAGGGATGAAAGACTATTTACCAAGCAAATGGAAAGAAAAAAAAAAACAGGGGTTGCAATCCTGATCTCTGATAAAACTGACTTTAAACCAACAAAGAAAAAAAGACAAAGAAGGGCATTATATAATGGTAAAGGGATCAATTCAACAGGAAGAGCTAACTATCCTAAATACATACACCCAATACAGGAGCACCCAGATTCATAAAGCAAGTCCTTAGAGACCTACAAAGAGACTTAGACTCCCACACAATAATAGTGGGAGACTTTAACACCCCACTGTCCACATTAGACAGATCAATGAGACAGAAAATTAACAAGGATATTCAGGACTTGAACTCAGCTCTGGACCAAGCTGACCTAACAGACATCTACAGAACTCTCCACCCCAAATCAACAGAATATACATTCCTCTTCGCACCACATAACACTTATTCTAAAATCAACCACATAATTGGAAGTAAAACACGCCACAGCAAATGCCAATTTATGGAAATCATAACAAACAGCCTCTCAGACCACAATGCAATCAAATTAGAACTTAGGATTAAGAAACTCACTCAAAACTGCACAACTACATGGCAACTGAACAACATGCTCCTGAATGACTACTGGGTAAATAACGAAATTAAGGCAGAAATAACGAAGCTCTTTGAAACCAATGAGAATAAAGAGACAACGTACCAGAATCTCTGAGACACAGCTAAAACAGTGTTTACAGGAAAATTTATAGCACTAAATGCTCACAGGAGAAAGTGGGAAAGATTTAAATTGACACCCTAACATCACGATTAAAAGAACTAGAGAAGCAAAAGCAAACAAATTCAAAAGGTAGCAGAAGACAAAGCTGGAAGATCAAAGATTTTTAAAAGGGAGGAAAATAATTGAGACATTTTGCAATAAATCCACCACAATATATTTTGTTTACAAAGTTCTTTAAAATATTGAGCTGAGCCTTTATCCTATTAAGTGCCTTGAGGAACACAGACACATAGTCTAACTTCCTTTCTCCATGAATTTTAGTATTAGATTTATATCTTTATAGGATATATTCCTCCACCATTCCTCTCATGAGTTCCTACCATCCTAGTGACTTTACTCTGTAAGCTATTCATCAAGATTCCTATTCATATTTGACTTGCAGAACTAAAATCACAGCTGCTGATATAATTTAACAATAAAGGGTAAAGAAAGGCATTTAATTTCAGTGGTATGGATAGTCTCTTTCTACTAACCCAATCAAAGAAGTTGGTTTTTGGGGAAAGCCATGTATTAATGGCTCAGTTCAGTTTCAAAGACGTTTATCAAACAGATTCCAGAAGCAAAGCATGATGCTTGCATCAGATGCACAAGATACAAACAAAGCAATAGTCCCTACCATCAAAAAGCTTACACGTAATAGAAAAAGTAATCCAACAATCACATCATTTCCAATGTGGTAATGATTAAGCTTGAGATAGGCATAGGGTTCCAGGGAGAAGAGAAGGGCATAATATTTTTAAAGTATTGTTAATAATTACCACTTAGGTTAATCTGCCCCCAAATTACTAGAAAATGAAAAAAAACAGATTTTGAAATTAGATCAACCTAACAGTATGAACCGTACTATCAAATAGTCATTTTCCAAAATTATCAATTGCCATAAAATTAATATTTTTTGATTCCAAAGCCATGAAATATACTTGAAGAGGGGATACAAGATTTAATAGTGAGCCTTTATTGCATCTTGCTGGTTTCAACCAAGTTTTCCAATCATTTCAAGTACAAACTCTGTTGCTTTTTATCTGAGCAATCTCTTTCCATTTAAAACCCACATTCTATGACAATCATATTTTTCTTTAATTTTGAAACTTTGCTCTTCCAAGGAGAAAGTAATAAAGTAATATAGAATTTCTCTAGAGATTTCTTCCCATTTTGTCCCAGAAAATCTAACATTGTCTATTCAATTCTTTAACCTACCACACATAACCCATATTACCTTCTTACACAAATACTGTAATCCTCTGTCAAATGTTTCAAAAATTACCATGTTATTGTATTCCTCTCCTCAACTGGATAACAGCATGACTACAAACACACAAAAAGAGGTTAATTTGGCACGACATTTTCTCTGGAGCTGTTATTGGCTTCTTTTCACATTCTTGTGCTTCATGTCACATTCTTTTCTAGGGCCTCACAAACCTACTGCCAGATAAGTACTCAGAAAACATATTCAGGGATCAATTTAAACAGCTGCCCTTTTAGTAAATCAGTGTAACATTTACCAATATCCCAGTTTTCTGGTTTCTTTGCCGTCTCCATGAAGTCACAAATATTACTAACTTGAGTTCCAAGGTCATTTATCTAAATTTCCTAAGGGCCCAACATTTTTTATTTATTTGATAGGTAACTGTAGGCAAATTTATTATCAGATCCTCTTGCAAAGGCATAAGAATGATACAACAAACTTTGGGGACTCGGGGAAAGGGTGGGAGGGGGGTGAGGAATAAAAGACAACAAATTGGGTACAGTATACACTGCTCGAGTGATGGGTGCACCAAAATCTCACAAATCACTGCTAAAGAACTTACTCATGTAACCAACTACCACCTGTTCTCCAAAACCTATGGAAATAAAAAATTTTAAAAACATATTATGAGATCCTCAACTAATATGGGAAAACACTTTTTCAACATTTTGTTTATGCTTTTATGTATACTTTCAAGACCATTCTCCTTACTGGATAAAATGGAAGAAATAGGATTTCAGTAATTGTCGCTTCTCCATGACATCTGCTATCATTTCTATCTGTAGATATGCTCTTTTTTTCCCCTTCTTGCTTTCCATAGAATTAAATATGAGCATTTAGTTGCCAAGCTATATTTTTCAACTCGAGCTTCAACTAGTTGTAAGCTTTGGTTTCCCTAAAATAATTTTACCATGATTCTATAATTTAGAAATTTTTACTAGTTGCTTCCTACCCTATTTATCTTTTCTTGTTACCTTCACTAGTATTTATTTTTCTATAAGTTTTTTATATTGTGCCAAATAGGTTTTCATTAGTGAAAACTAGGGCTGAATGACCAAAATGGGATGTAGAGGAATAATTCAGATTAGAGTAGTTATCTTAGTTTATTTTGTACTGCTATCACAGAAGACCTGATAGTCGGTAATTTATTTCTTAAAAAAGATTTGTTTTTTTATGATTCTGGAGGCTGGGCAGTCTAAGGTGAGGGACTTGCATCTGTCAAAAGGGTTTCTTATTGCATCATTCCATGGCAGAGGTGAAGGGCAAGAGAACATGAATGAGAGAGATCAAGAGAGGCCCAAACTCACTTTACTAATTCACTCTTGAGATAACAAACCCACACCCACATTACCTACTCACTTTTTAAGGGCTCCATTGCTTAACACTATTGCATTGAGAATTAAGTTTTCAAGACATAAAGTTGGGAGATACATTCAAACTATAGTATTGGGTGACAGCAGAAAGTCTAGATGAACAGCTGGGGCATCAGCAGAATTTGGAGGCAGAGAGTACTACTAGAAAAATAAAATTAAAAAGAAAATTCCTCCCAACTCAGAAAATCTCTCCAGAAAGATAAAAGTGAAAAAAAATATATATTGAGTAAGAATTAAACAAAAATGTGATGTGTATCACAGGCAAACTACTAAGAGACTGCAAAGAGGGAAAGAAATCTCACCCTTCACACAACAAAGCAGATACAACTCATTACATCTTCTTGAGGCAGATAATAAATTGTCCAGAAAAAAGAGGACTTGATAGCACCCATTTGTTATACAAATTCCCACCTAAAATTATCTGGTGATGGGGTGACCATCTGTGTAATTTAACAGACTTTATCCATAGGAGGTGAAATTTCTATCTTTATATTAGGAGATAGTTTTGCAACTTGGAGCCAGAAATCTGTGGAAGGTAGGCACCTATCCTTCCACAAAAAAAAAAAGAAGACAGAGAGAGAGATGTGTGTTATCTCCCTTGGTGTCTAAAGATGGCTCCCAAGTCCTTCAAAAAGACATTACTTGGCCATGTTATTTGGCTTTTGAAGATAGACATGCATCTCAAAGATGCATAGAAGGAACTTATCATTACAATTTTTTGTAAAGTAAATATTCTAAGAAAAGGAGAGGAGGGGAAATATCTTTCCTTATTTTCAACAGCGAGAATTAACTTCTTATTTTTAATGTGTATTTGTTCTTACAGTAGGCAAAGAAAGCTGACCACCGGAAGCAGAAACTGTGATTGAGGAACTAGGTCTAATTACTGAAATTGGTTTACAAGGTTTGATAAGAAAGGGTCTATTTGGGAAGTAGAAATAATATTAGTCAAGTTAATTTAGAAATTTTAAACTACTTGTCCAAGACTTGTTCCATTCCATCAAACTAGGAGAAGGCTTGGTCCCAGAACCTTTGTAGAAGTCACTAAGTTGGAAGATATAGGGTGATTTGAGGAATTTGGGGGCAGAAAGTCAAGCATGTTTATACTTCTAATATTAATATTTAGTTTCGCTGTTTTAGCTGTAATGTGTATGTCTTCTTTTCAAAATTTTAATTTAAAGCCATCTTTATTACTCTAAATCTTTTTTAAAATTATTCATTTTTATTTTATAAAAGATGCTCTTAATTTTTATTTCATTCATCATCATTTCAAAAACAGAATCATTTGCTTTTCTATCTTTATAGTTCTTCACCCATTGTTTCATCCACCTATTCTCTTGCAAACAGAATTGAAAAAAGATGCAAAATTTTCACCTATTTTTTCAATTTCCACTGCTTCCTTCTCCGAAACTTAGTAGAGGTTTATTCCTGACTCCTTTGGACTTCATAATTTTTCCCCACATGATTTGCTGAGAAATGTATGCTTCTGTAATGACTATCAAGTACCTCATGAATTGAAGACACAAATTTAGTTTGGTCAACCTGTTCTTCACCGGGAATTGGCAGGCTGTTATATTCCACTGAAGAGGGAAATTCACCAAACACACATTACCAACGTTTCATTCTTTGCTGTGTCAAATGTCCTCTTAACTTCCAGGATCTGTGAATCCATTTCTTACTGTTTCACTTGAGATGACTGTTCCTTCAAATTCTTTAGAATCATTCTCTTCCTGATATAGGATACAGATGTCAGAAAACTGCTCACTATGTCTATGTAATAAAATTGAGACCATAATAATAGGACTTATCACATAAACTGTTGTGAGGGTTGCATGAATATATTCTTATGAATACAGAGTATAGAAAACAGTGATAACTCAAAGGTTATGATCATTAAATACTTTCAGCTAGGTTGTTTCTAATATCCATTCCAGCTGTTAATTCTAATACACAAACAACTCAGAAAATATGTTGCAGTTTTCAGTGTGATATATCTTATCTGTTTTACAAATAAGGGGTAATAGTTTTACCTCTGTGCAATAGTATTACTGAAGTCTTTTCACATGTATCCCTAAAAGAAAGAGCCACATTTCATATTCAATGGTGATCTGCATCAGGAACAAAATGACATAACGGTTAAAGTAAGAACTTCATGTCTAAAACACCAAAAGCAATGGCAACAAAAGCCAAAATTGACAAATGGGATCTAATTAAACTAAAGAGCTTCTGCACAGCAAAAGAAACTACGATCAGAGTGAACAGGCAACCTACAGAATGGGAGAAAATTTTCGCAACCTACTCATCTGACAAAGGGCTAATATCCAGAATCTACAATGAACTCAAACAAATTTACAAGAAAAAAACAAACAACCCCATCAAAAAGTGGGCGAAGGATATGAACAGACACTTCTCAAAAGAAGACATTTATGCAGCCAAAAAACACATGAAAAAATGCTCATCATCACTGGCCATCAGAGAAATGCAAATCAAAACCACAATGAGATACCATCTCACACCAGTTAGAATGGCAGTCATTAAAAAGTCAGGAAACAACAGGTGCTGGAGAGGATGTGGAGAAATAGGAACACTTTTACACTGTTGGTGGGACTGTAATCTAGTTCAACCATTGTGGAAGTCAGTGTGGCCATTCCTCAGGGATCTAGAACTAGAATTACCATTTGACCCAGCCATCCCATTACTGGGTATACACCCAAAGGATTATAAGTCATGCTGCTATAAAGACACATGCACACGTATGTTTATTGCAGCACTATTCACAATAGCAAAGACTTGGAACCAACCCAAATGTCCGCAATGATAGACTGGATTAAGAAAATGTGGCACATATACACCATGGAATACTATGCAGCCATAAAAAATGATGAGTTCATGTCCTTTGTAGGGACATGGATGAAACTGGAAACCATCATTCTCAGCAAACTATCGCAAGGACAAAAAACCAAACACGGCATGTTCTCACTCATAGGTGGGAATTGAACAATGAGAACACATGGACACAGGAAGGGGAACATCACACTCCGGGGACTGTTGTGGGGTGGGGGGAGGGGGGAGGGATAGCATTAGGAGATATAGCTAATGCTAAATGATGAGTTAATGGGTGGAGCACACCAACATGGCACAAGTATACATATGTAACAAACCTGCACATTGTGCACATGTAGCCTAAAACTTGAAGTATAATAATAATAAAATTTTTAAAAAAAGAAAAAACAAATTCTGATATTTGTGAAAACAGTAAGAAAGACATAATTCAAGACTATTGTAATAAGGGTACTGTCATAACAGAGAGAAATCAGCTGTGAATTAGAGCCAATGAGCAGAGCATAGGGGTCAGCAAATAGAAAATTAGTATGGGGAGACATAAAAGATAGGGAGATTATTGCTAAATTAACAAAACAAGATTCTTGCTGTAAACCGGCCAAGGACATACTTAACATCACAACTAAAAGAATTAGAGGATCAAGAGCAAACAAACCCCAAAGCCAGCAGAAGACAAGAAATAACCATGATCAGAACTGAACTGAAGGAGATATAGACACAAAAACCCCTCAAAAAAATTAACAAATCCAGGAGCTGGGTTTCTTTTTTTTTTTTTTAAATAATAAAATAGACCTCTAGCTAGACAGCTAGACTAATAAAGAAGAAAAGAGAGAAGAATCAAATAAACATAATCAAAAATGAGAAGAGAGATATCAGCACTGACCCCACAGAAACACAAACAACCACCAGAGAATACTACAAATACGTCTGTGCATATAGACTAGAAAATCTAGAAGAAATAGATACATTCTTGGACACATACACCCTCCCAAGATTGAACCAGGAAGAAATTAAATCCCTGCATAGATCAATAACAAGTTCTGAAATTGCGGCAGTAAAAATTACACTACCAAGCAAAAACAAAACAAAACAAAACTAAAACAACAACAACAACAACAACAACAAAAACAGAACCAGACAGATTCACAGCTGAATTCTACCAGAGAGACAAAGAAGAGCTGGTACCATGCCTACTGAAACTATTGAAACAATTGAAAAGGAGGAACTCCTCCCTAACTCATTTTATGAGGCCAGCATCATTCTAATACAAAACCTGACAGAAATACAACAAAAAAGAAAACTTCAGGCCAATATCCTTGATGAACACTGGTGAAAAAATCCTCCACAAAATACTGGCAAACCAAATCCAATAGCACAACAAAAAGCCACAATCAAGCTGGCGTTATCACCAAGATGCAACATACATTTGTGTATTTTCAACATACACAAATCGATAAATGTAATTCACCATATAAACAGAACTAAAGACAAAAACCACATGATTATCTCAATAGATGCAGAAAAGAACTTTGATAAAATTCAACATCCCTTCATGTGAAAAACTCTCAGTAAACTAGGTATTGAAGGAATATACTTCAAAATAATAAGAGCCATATATGACAAACCCACAGCCAATAACATACTGAATGGGCAAAAGCTGGAAGCATTCCCCTTGAAAACTGGAACAAGACAAGGATGTCCTCTCTCACCACTCCTATTCAACATAGCATTGGAAATCCTGGCCAGGGCAATCAAGCAAGAAAAAGAAATAATGGGCATCTGAATAGGAAGAGACAAAGTTAAACTATTCCTGTTTGCAGATGACAAGATCCTACATCTAGAAAACCCCACAGTCTGTGCTCAAATCTCTTTCATCTGATAAATAATTTCAGTGAAGACTCAGGATACAAATTCAATGTGCAATAACCACTAGCATTCCTATGCACCAAAAACAGTCAAGCTGAGAGCCAAATCAGGAATGAAATCCCATTCGCAATTGTCAAAAAAAAGAATAAAATAGCTAGGAATCTAGCTAAGTAGGAAGCAAAAATCACTACGAGGAGAACTACAAACCACTGCTCAAAGAAATCAGAAATGACACAAACAAATGGAAAAACATTCCACGTTCATGGATGGGAAGAATCAATATCGTGAAAATGGCCATCCTGGCTAAAGCAATTTATAGATTCAATGCTAGTCCCATTAAACTACCATTGACATTCTTCACAGGATTAGAAAAAAACCTATTTTAAAATTCATATAGAACCAAAAAAGAGCCTGAATAGCCAAGACAATCCTAAGTAAAAAGAAAAAAGCTGCAGGCCTCACACTACAGGACTTCAAACTATACTACTAGGCTACAGTAACCAACACAGCATGGTACTGGTACAAGAACAGACACATAACCAATGGAACACAACAGAAAACTCAGAAATAAGACCGCACATTTAAAACCATCTGACCTTCAACAAACCTGACAAAAAAAATCAGTGGAGGAAAGGATTCCATATTTAATAAATGATGCTGAGAGAACCAGCTAGCCATGTACAGAAAATTGAACTGGACCCCTTCCTTATATCATATAAAAAAATCAACTCAAGTTAAATTAAAGAATTAAACATAAAACCCAAAGCTATAAAAATCTCTAGAATAAAGCCAAAGCTATATCATTGAGGATATAGCTATGAACAAAGATTTCATGATAAACATGCCAAAAGCAATTGCAACAAAAGCAAAAATTGACAAATGGGGTCTAACTAAACTAAAGAGCTTCTGCACAGCAAAAGAAACTATCATCAGAGTGAACAAACAACTTACAGAATGGGAGAAAACTTTTGCAATCTACCCATCTGACAAAGATCTACTATCCAGCATCTATAAGGAACTTAAATAAATTTGCAAGAATAAAGCAAACAACCCCATTAAACAGTGGGCAAAGAACATGACAGACACTTCTCAAAAGAAAACATACATGCAGCCAACAAATATGTGAAAAAAAAGCTCAACATCACTGATCATTAGAGAAATGCAAATCAAAACCACAATGAGATACCATCTCACACCAGTCAGAATGCCTACTATTACAAGGTTTAACAAACAAACAAACAAAACAAAACAAAACAAAACAAAACAAACAGATGCTGGTGAGGTTATGGAGGAAAAGGAACACTTTTACCCTGTTGGTGGGAGTGTAAATTAGTTCAACCATTGTGGAAGACAGTGTGGTGATTCCTCAAGGACCGAGAGGCAGAAATTTGACCCAGCAATCCCATTACTGGGTACATATCCAAAGGAATATAAATCATTCTATTACAACGTTACATGTATGCATATGTTCATTGCAGCACTGTTCGCAATAGCAAAGGCATGGAATCAACCAAAAGGCCCATCAATTACAGATAAATAAAATGTGGTATATATACACCATGGAATATTAAGCAGCCATATAAAGGAACAAGCTCATGTCCTTTGCAGGGACATGGACGGAGCTGGAAGCCATCATCCTCAGCAAACTAACACAGGAACAGAAAATCAAATACAGCATGTTCTCACTCATAAGTGGGATCTAAGTAATGAGAACACATGGAACATCTGGGGGAACAACAGACACTGGGACCTGTTAGAGGTTGGGGCATTGGAGGAGGGAGAGCATCAGAAAGAATAGTTAACAGAGCCTGGATTTAACACCTACATTATGGGATGATCTGTGCAGCTAATCACCATGACAGATATTTAACTATGTAACCATCCTGCACATGCACTCCTGAACTTAAAATACAAGTTGGAAATAAAACAAACAAAAAAGAAAATTGACTCTGTTGTTAAGAAATAATACCACAGAATACTACCAACATAAAACAAAAAGTATATAATTTGTCACTGAAAAAAAAATGTGGTCATATATTATTGATTAGCCACCTTAACTATAAAAAACAGCCTTGGCATGATACTTGGAGAACATTTTATTTCTTGTATAACAGTTACTGATTTTTACAAGAATTAGTTACTTGCAAGATATATTTGAAGTATAGGGAGCTGAACATCGGAATGGAGTTCTTAAGTAATATATTTAAATAAGTACAGATGAAAAGCTTTTCTTAGTGCAGGTTCAGTTGTTTTCTAAGTCAATGTTCCTTATTTGAGATAATTTAATTAAATCATTTACATAGATAGCATTTCTTAAAGAATGGGCACAAATCTAATTCCTTCAAAAACTAATGAATTGTTAAAATTGAATTTAGAAAAAATCTACACAAATTTGCATTTCTGTTATGAGTGGTGTGCGATTTTTTTTAATTAAAAAATTGATGTTCATTGCTTTTCACTGTTAACTTCAACATCATTCATATACTTTTCAGTAATATATTTTGCACCAAGCACAGACTACCAAACATTATTCTCATTCAGGGACCACCTCTCTTTCTAAAACTCTTCAGTACCAAGGTCAACGCTGAGGAATACCACGAGCCTTGGTCAGCCCTTTTTCCCAAGGCTGTTACCTAAAATTTTCCTCCTACCCAGTAAAATATGTATTTCTCACAAAACTACAATATCTGTGCCTTCCAAGATGACAACTAGCTATTATACTAAAAGAATACATGAAAACACCCTATTCCACAAAGGCTACAGGACTTCCTCATTAATATAGCACTAGCATTTTTCCATGAGCCTTTTGGAAATAATGATCCCATTGTGTTGACAAATTCAAAGGAATAATTGCAGTGGAGGAAATTTTATGCAGTGTGAGATAGTGCAGCACTCTCACAGGCTGCTAGGAAAAGTGTATGGGATGAATAAGGATATATATGACTTTCAGTGTCACACAGTTATCACACATCACAATTTCACAAGTAGAAATATGTTTTCTTTTCTCTTTCAAATATATTTTGGAGAAAATGGCAGAATTGACATTTATAAAACTTGGAATGTACATCAGTCTACTGTGATAATATAATTTGAAGATTAATATTACTTAGAAGTAACCAAAAAAACCACAGAGTTCATAGGCATCACTGTATTCTCCACTTCACATTTATCTTTTTGTTTCCATTGATTTTTTAAAAAATGGTAATGGCTCTAGGAAAATTACAGCTCTCTTTAATCAGCAGGCCAGTTTAGCAAGCTCATTCATTATTGGCTCACCTTCATTCTTGGGTACTTTGGTCATTTTTCACTCCTGTGAAAAGCTTATATAGACAGTAAAGTCACCCCTGTGACAACGAATGCAGAATCTGTAATGAATTTCTACCCAATTAGAAGATAATTTATCTAATTCTATTCCCACAGAAAAACAAAATCTATATGCAAAGTGCTGATAGCAAAAATGGTAGCTATATTAAGACAATGTAACATGTACACATACACATATACATTGCCAAAAAGTGCTGTTTTAGACCACTAGAAAATTAGCAAAAACAAAGAAGTTCTATTTTAGTGTTCTGTTTAACTATTTCTCTGAAGAAGTACAATCCCATTTGGTAGATGACTAATGCTATTATAAAATTTCTCTTTTATTTCACTCACTTATTTCAATGTCAGGGATATACTATATGAATTATATATTAATAATAGCTATGGTTTTTAAAAGTTTACTGAGATGTAATTTCTATACCATAAAATTCATTTGTTTTAAATGAACATGATTTTTAGTGAATTTGCAGTGTTGTGCAACTACAGTACTATAATTCAATTTTATAACATTTCCACCTCATTTTAATGATCTCTTGTACACATTCACAGTCATTCTCCATCCCCATACATAGCCCCAGGCAAAATCAAATCTACTTTCGGTCCCCTATAGATTTTCCCAGACTGAATATATCAAATAAATGAAATCATATAATATGAAAACTTTTGCATTGGCTTCTTTCACTTTGCCTATTTTTTGGCTTATTTATATTGTATTATGCATTAGTACTTCATTCTTGTTTATTGCGAAGTAAAAACTCCACCATCTAGTTTTTAAAAATTAAGCCATGAGAATAAGCAAATAAAATGACAGCTACTACAAATATCTTTAAAACTGACCTTGGCTCCTCTAGTCTGTCTCATTTTCAATGTAAATTAGGAAAAAAGGCAATTTATAAAAGAAATTGTTTAGCTTTAGAATCACCAACATAATTATAAAGGGGCACAAGGCATTATGTATATTAGATTCCTTTAATGAAAACTTGTGTTAAATTCTTAAAATTTAACAAATTATTAGGTATTTTGTCACATTTTATCTTTTGATTGATGTCTACAAAATGATACCCTTTAAGTTTTTATGAATATTAATAGCATCCCCTTCACACAGCCTTCTTTAGAAAGACCAGAAATGTTTTATTATAATATTCCAAATGTAAGACTCTTCTAACAATTATATAAACTCTCTGATTTACAAAACACTTCAATAAGTCACTGTCAAAAACAGGGCCCTAACTCAGGAAAAAAATAGTTATTATAGGATCATATCATGCATTTGAGGCTTTCCAGTTATGTATATCATGCATTATGTAATTAAACTTATAATGCGTAAGACAAATAAGTTATAGATTTTTGTGAGCCTTTATATTTAATCAAATATATTGAATTCAAATATATAATACATTGAAGAAAATGCCGTTTTTAGTGTAAGTAGTTGAAATACATTAGATAAATTAGGTGATTGTAGACAAAACCACATTACCCTCTCCTCATCTACCTTCTCTGACTTGTAAAGACATTTTCTTAATTATCTTTATCATTTTAGCATCTGATTCAGTTAGTCTCTCTACCTAGCTCCTGACATTTGTGACTATAGATGACATAAATATCCACCTAGATAACTCTTTCAGCTTACTGGCTTCAATCTTAAGCTTCTTATATCTGATGCTATTGCCACTCAACTTGAACTTCTCCCTAGCACCACAAAACCTTAGAATTTATGACTTAAAAGAACTGCATTTGTAAGATTTAATGCTGTGATCTCACCTTCACTGGCCAATTTTTATCCCCTACTACTTTCCCACTCTTGCCAAACTGTTCCCTCATTCTTATTTTGACCATTTATTCTTCAAGTCTTTCAAATTCTCCAGCATTGACTAATCTGCCTAGAATCCATAGGTAGCCATTTCAATGATATACTTATTCCCAGTGGGGTTGTCAGAAAATATATAGGACATTCAGTTAAATTTGAAAAATCAAATAAACAACAAATAGCTTTTAAGTACAGTATGTCCCATGCAATATTGGGAAATTCAAATTTAACTTGGTGTGCGGTATTTTATTTACCAAGTTTGGCAACCCTAAATTCTACCCAAGAATTGTTCACTGTTTGTCTTTCCACTTTTTATTTTGCCAGACTTTAAGACTAGGTAAACAAAACTGTATATTCAGCACTAGCTGTATATTTTCAGTGTCTAGTGCAACATAAAAATGTGAGAGTTATAAAAAAGTTATTAGGAATTACAAGATGGTGACAGCAGAACATTAAATCAAGTATGAGATCCTACCGCAAGCTGGGCCCTTTGCAACTGCACTGGTCACATATTCATAAAGCTGGCTCTGTGTGTATTTTACTTTTACTTTTCATTCCTGGGTTATTTGAAAGAGTGTCATAAACTTCCGACTCATTCACCCATTTATTCTTATATTCAAAAAATATTTACTGAATGCCTATGATGTAGCAGACACTATTAGAAATGCTGAGAATAGAGTACTGAACAAAATCATTTTTTCATGTGTAATACACATTATTTGATATATTATGTACATATATACAGTATATATCATAAAATATAATGTAATTAAGTAATCCCTTATTCTTCACTTTTTTCAAATCACTGTTTTACTTTCCACAGCAGCTGTTCTAATACTTCCCCACTCTCTTTTAGCCTTAAAACCCATGTCTATTCTTGACACTCAATAGACCAACAACACTGTCTCTTATTTACTAAATAAATACAAAGCCTTCAAAATAAAGACACTAAATGTCTTTCTCTTCACCTTCAAATATCCTTGAGTCTTCATTGCATTTTCTTGTTCAATATTGTCTGTAAAGAAATGTCCCTTGTTTTTATCAAATAGCATCCCTTGACCTCTTATCTATGATTTTACCATCTCTTTTACCAGTAGCTCTTCTTAAATCTTTCATTTATCCCTTTCATTTTTTTTCTTCTATGTATAAACAATTACATAATATACTCTCTTAGCTTAAAAATATTTCTTACGTCCTAGCATTTCTCAAGGTATGGCTTGTTTTTGCTTACTTACCTTTTAACTGTCAAGTTTTTCCATGAACTACTCAGATCACCTCTACTTTCTCCTTACCTGTTATCCCTTAACTACATACAACACGGCTTTTTTTTTTTTTTCAAAATAACTTCTTTATCCGTCCTCCTAGTGGTCCAAAATGAATGCCTATTTGCCAAATCTGAAAATATTTTCTTAGCCTTTAACTTTTTGACTGCCATAACTATTGATGAAATTATTTACTTTTTCTCCTGATATTTGACTCTTCCTTGATGGAGTCCCTGGAACTGCATATCTTGTCCTCTCTATGATCTCCCTTACAGCTTTCTTTCTCTTTCTCTCTCTCCCCCATCCAGTTCCCAAATATCATCTAAATGTACAGATTCTCCTGGGTCTCTTCAGCCTTTATAATATATGAAAGGGGACTTTCTTCTCTAATAGATTTCTGAGTAAAACCCACAAAAATGCATACATTCAAGTGCACACAAGACTTTGCTTACTTTAAAGAGGTTCAAGAACACCCAAAAAACATTTCTTAAATCAAGATTCTATGAACCCAAGATTAAGAACCTGTGCTCTGCTTTAAGAATCCCTGCTCTATCTCAGCAATTTCTTCCACTTTTTTGCCTTGATGTATTCATAAATACAACTACAAAATTAACATCACGGATTCTATCATTAATTTCAAACTCCCACATTCCCTGTTGTCTGCTGGACACATACCAAGATGTGTTGCTAGCCCCTCATGTGCCATATTTCTGAAACGAGACTTATTCTATGCCACCCCAAACAAGCCCTCTTGAATTCTCATTTTTCAAATGTTTAATACTTTTTATTGAAATGTAACACAAAAAAGTGTACAACTTATAAGTACTCACTGAATTTTTACAGATAGACTGGTTAAGTACCATTTTAATGGCTTTCTCTCCTATCAAGACATCTTTTAGAAATTATAAGTAAGATGGCCTGAACAGTTAATGGTATTGATATCTTGCAGGGAGGGTGTTGTGGATAGGATGGGTACCTGACTGGGTTCGTGTAGCATTTCTGAAGTCCAGAAAGAACCAAAAGGATTTTAGAATTGAAGTCCCAGCTGCAATAATGAAGTACTGAATGACCTTGAACACATCTTACACTCTAAGCCTCAGGTTTCTTATTTTCATTTTTCTTTTTAAATTTATATACAGTATTTTCATTTATTTTGTTGTATATTTCCATGAGTTTTAGCAAATGCTCAATTATGTAACCAACACAATCAAGATACAGAACAACTTCATTACTCCCCCAAAATTCTCATTTGTATTCCTGTGAAGTGAAATTTTGAGCCCATCCTTAATATTAGGCAACCACTGATCTAGCCCTCATCCTATAGTTTTGCTTTTCCCAGAATTTAATGTATGCGCAATAATGTATTATGTATGCTTTACTTAGCTTAATACATTTGAGACTCATGCATGTTGTTGTATGTACCAAAAGTTTATTCCTTTTTATTGCCGAGTGGTATTCCATTGTATGGATATCACAGTTTGCTTATCTATTTCCCCAGTCCAGAAATTTTGGAATGAAGGGTTGTTTCAGTTTGGGGGGACTATACATAAAATGGCTATAAACATTTACATACAGATTTTTTTGTGTGAATATTGGTTAACATTTTACTTAGACAAATATTAGAAGTAGGATTACTGAATTGTACTGTAAATATATGTTTAACCTTACAAGAAAGTGGCAAACTGCAAGCTGTTTTGCCATATAACTTTGTGTTCTTACCAGCAATGTGTGAATTCCATTCGCTCTGCATCTATGCCAGTTTAGTTATTTAGTTAGTTTAGATTTTTATTTGGATTTGTTTGCATTTGTCATTCAATAGATGTGTATCAGTATCCCATTGTGTTTTTAATTTGCATTTATCTAACAGCTAATGATGCTAAGCATTGTTTTATATCCTTATTGGATATCTTATCATCATATTTGTTATGTTATGTATGTGTAAACTCAAAATTATTTACTAATCCCTATTATCCCATTATATCCCAGCTATGATTTACAAAATGTATCAATTCCATTATATTTTGTTGTGTGTGTGTCAGGTAGGGCTTAAATGATTTAATAATGATAGCAGTTTGCAGGGCAAATGTTATATCAAGGATGGTTTCATCTTCAGGAACGCTGATCTGCTAATAGTCTGGTCAGATCTACTAATAGTTTGTGTAGGTATGGAAGGAACAAGATAGAAAGACTTTTTGAGAGGTAAATTTTAGATAGCACTCAGAATGAGATCAATATTTGAGAACATTTATGTACTAAATAAAGGCTAATTAAAAGGCCATCTCTAAAGAGGAGGTGCTTCATAATTCAATGAATGGGATAGCCTATTCTGTAGATGTCAGTCGGCCTCTTTCAGAAGTCACTTCTTTAGGGCTCAGGAACAAAAAGCCTAGACAGTTACTTTGGAAATTATGAATGGGGTCAGTAACACATACTTTTCCTTAATAAATACCACAATTGTGAAATATTCAATTATAGAAGGAGTGACAATGCATTTTTCAGTAGAATATACCTATAGCAAATATGGATTGCCTTCTGTCCTGACATTCTTGACATCATGATCATTAATGTATTCAAAGATTATTGACAGTCATACTCCCTCAAAAATGTATTTGTTTCACAGGGGGAAAATGAGGGTATAAGCTGATAAGCAGTCAGATTCACTGCTCTTGCCATATTTTCCGTTACCTCAGAATGCCTGGTCATATTGATCAGCTGAATGGCATATTGCAGATTTAATTTCAGTGACACTGGAAGACACATTGGAATATCACAATATTCTTCTATAAGATGGGGTATATGTTAAAGTGGGGAGTGGCTCTGTTACTATTCTATCTAATGAGCAACTGGCAAAATGCTGACTCCCCAGCTCTCCAACCTTAGGCTTTGCTGTTAGGAGGGCTTAGTACCCAAATAAGGAATGTATTCATCAGGAGAAAAAAAAAGAAATAAAAAAGTATTTTAATTTTGTGGAAACTGGTTAATTTTTCCTTAGAAAGACTCTTGTTTTCAAACATCAGAAGCACCTAGGGACAGGTTTGTCATTGTATTTTGCTTTTAATACTGCTTAACTGGTATTTTCCTTCAACTTGGAGATCAAGGATGTCCTGGATTCTACTAATTATGCCACAAGATTCATTACCATAGATCTATTTATTTTATGGCAAATGGCAAAGTTATTCGCATGATGACATTAACAAATATCCACTAAACACATATTTAATTCAACTTCTGAGAATAAATAGAAAATTGCCCAACCTCTCTACTTGGGAGGCAGAAAATTTACAGATAAAAACAATAAGGAACAAAACAAATTATCTACACAAGAAGTAGGAAATGAGTAGGTTGGAAGGGTAAAAGGAGGAGGGATAATTATCAGCTGCAATTTCTGTTGTTATCCTTAGGAAGGAGATGGGATTGGGGAAAGTGCCAAAATTTACAGTCTCAAAAAATAGCAGTGGGTAAAGTCATCTAGGCAATGGGAACTGAGTAAGCCGAGGCAAAGAATAGATACAATTGTACATGTTTAGAGACCAGTAAGTAGATTAGGGAAAGATAAAGTCAGAGGTATTGAGTCAGATTAGAGAAAGTAGACTACAAAGGGAATGAAATAAGAAAAATACAAACAAACAAAAAACTGGCCGAAGCTGGAGAGACAGAGAACAAAAAAAGGACAAAGAAAAGGAGAGTACTAAATAACACAAGCACGTATAACTTGATCAAGGGTAAAGAGGTGTTTGGCGATCTCTTTTATTTTGAAAGAAAGGTCATGAGTGGGATTATGTAGAGAGAATAACAATAGAGACATCAATATAAATTCCAGCTTTGTTTCTATATAGCCTTTTCATATAACCTGAAGTCTATTCTGGAAGTGCTCATGAAAAATCACCTAAAGATGAATAAAAAAGGTCTTCTGCCCAACTTTTATGTTTTAAGAAGTTTCTGTCATGGTGTTGTTTGCCTTAACATTTTCATTAGAGTAACTATTAATTATTCCATGTGCCTAGGAGAAAGGTTTTATAAATGTTTAGTATAATATCTTATCCTATAGAAAAATGTAAAATTTGGTGCTATGGATGTTAAACGGAACAGGAATGACCTTTCCCCGCGCTCTCATTCTCAAAATGGATTATCTTTTGTTCACTATGTACACGATTTAAATGATCTGATTCTGCATTCATCTGACTGTCTGGTGATAGATAGTTCTCAGAATGTCTGACAGTATTTCTTGTAAACAGCTGACGTGATAGAGAGAAGGGTACTGATGGAGCTAAATACTGAAATGTCATTTTGGATCAGTGCACAGCATGATTCAAGGCTGTACAGATGGAAGAGTCTGAAGGGCTATCAAATATGTGTGAGTGTCAATATCTTGAGGTGCAATGGAAATCTAAACTGACCACTCTCCTTTTTTAAAGTCAATTGATGTATTTACCTTGGTTTTTCCCACAAGAGATTTTTATGCTGAGAAGTAAAATTAATCAGCCGGTTTCCCATCAAATTTGATTTAATTATTTGGAACAAGAGTTCCAAATAATTTGTAGATCACTTACCTTATTTAGATTATTGATAGACATTTTGTACACTGTAATAAGGGCTAGTCAAATTAGGACCTATTCAAAGTCACATACACACAACAAATACACTGATAACGTCTTGTATCATTTTAACTTTGTGAAATCATTTAGGATTCTGTACATATATATTGAAATCTATCTTGTGCTGAAATTAGTGTATAAAATCATTTTATTATTAGTGTGCTCCTTTTCATCTATTGCAACTCCTGTAATTTCTGTTTTATAGGAATTTGATGTGTTATGTGGTGCATAGATATTCAAACTATTATATCTTCGTTGTGAATTATGATTGTTAGCATTTGAAAGTGCCCATGATATGACCTTTAATACATTTTAGGTGAAATTCTACTTCAATATTATGATTTCAGTCCCTTTCTTACGGTTTATTTTGCCTAGTACATCTTTGCCTATCTTTATGTTTACACTTTCTGAATCATTTTATTTTAGGTTATCTTGGATAGAATACACAACTGGGACTTGTTTTGGAGTCCTTTTAATAGATGACTTAACCTCATTTATACTTATTGATATAACTGATATAATTGGTTTCAACCCTGTCATCTTATTTTGTTATGATTATATTTGCTATTTCTTTTCTATATATTTTCTTTGTCTTTCATTTTAAACTTTCTTTTGATGATGAAAATTGTTTATATTTTTGTTTCTACATTCTGTCTTTATGTGTCAATTTTAATGGTATTTTTTTACCTCTCATCTATTTCCCAAATAAAAATCAAATCTTCTTTTCCTTTTTTTTCCCTCTGCATTAAGTTTTATTATTTCTACTTTGCCATAACATATATTTGCATATGGCTGTTCCAACCTCAATCTGCTTTTGCTTTAATCTTAGATCTACACTTAATACACTAAATGTGCACCATCAATGATTTGCTGATCTCTTCTCAGTTATGTCTTATTTAGACGAAGCTTATAAATTCATATCTAGTAGACTGCTAAAGAAGGGCTAGTTGGTACTGCATTTTCTGAGTACTTATATGTTTAAAACTGTATCTTCATGGCCTTAATAATCAAAGAAAATATTGGCCTGATATAAAAGACAATTGATTCTCCTTATTGGTGGTATTTTTGTTTTGTAAAGTCATCACATAAATGCTGAGTTAGGGAACACTGAATTATTGCTCCCAGGGGAAATACAGCACTAGGTTCCTGTGAGTCTCTGATTAGAACGTTTTCATCAATTGATCTAAATGTAACTTTGCTTTATGTGTGTTTCTGTTGATACCTATTAAAAATATATTGCTGATTCATTAACATTGAATTCATGATAGATAGCACTGTAACTCATGCCTGAACATAGCTTATCTAAAATACATATTTTCTCTGCAAGGCATATCACAGCCTTCTTGTGCTTATAAACATTAGACTTCAGTGTTCAGTGTTCAGCACTTCCCTATGTTTGAGGGACATTTTAAACAGCAAAATCACCAACAAAAAGCACAAAAATGTGGCAATAAATAGACCACAAACAAAATATTTTGTTTACAGTATATGAGATAAAGCCAGAAGGCAGAGTGTTGCTTTCTTTAATGTCAGATGGGAAAGTTCACATCACATGTCAGATGATTCAAATTTTTCACACTTTGTCCATGTGCATGCCAACAAATGACTTATACAGCACTGAGACTATTTGTTTTGCAGTTACAAATAAACTTTAGCAAGTGGGCAAGTTTGCAAATACAGAATCTGCTAATAATGAGGATTAGTAATAACTGGTTCAGACTTTCTTTTCTTGAGTTTCTTGAAAAAGCTGTTTTATTTTTGTTTTGCTTTGATGTTACTGTTAAGAATTCTGATACCAGCCTAATTTACTTGCTCTAGCAAATCATTTGCTCTTTTGTTTGAGACTCGGAGAATTTCTTTATCTTTAAAATCTGATAGTTTCATTAGACTATGCCTCAGATTTGATTGCTCTGGGTCATTTTTTTCTATGGCCCATTTCAATACATAGGTCCAGGGTTTTCTTTCATTTCTTGAAAGAGTTCTTGAATTATAATTTTAGGTATAAGTTCCATGTTTTTGTTTTATTAATTAGGGACTCTAATTATGAATGCATATATTCAATTTTCTTTGCCTTTCTTTCATTTCAACCATTTTTTAAATTGAATCCATTATACTTCTTTTATTTATTATAGTGATATTTTATTATCTTGCTTGTTTTCTGCCTGTCTTCAATGATTCTAACTAAATATTTATTCAAATCTCCTACTCCTTGAGTGCATTATAATTTAATTTTTTTCTGGTACAATGTTGTCTTTTTTTATTAATTTCTTTCTTGTATTCAATAAATTCCCATTTCATTTATTCCTATTTCTTGTCTATTTTTTAGTTTTTGAATTCCTAACTTAGGATGTTTTTGTCTTTACAGCTAAAAAGAATTGTAAGAATATATATAATTCAGTTTTCAGGGTCATGTTATGTGTGGGGACTTTGATGAGCTTTGTGTAGTGGGTTACATAGTTACCGAATGTTTACTTCTATGCATTTTCTCATCAAGTTTGATGGTTTGATGTGGTTGCAGTATTCCTAATTTAAAATAATTTTCCTCTGTTAGAAAAAGTGGCATTTTTAAATGGATGGTTTTTTGGGGTGGGGATGGGAAAAGAGTTACAATTTATTTGATTTTTTTTTTGCTTATTTTTGTCTTGTTGAATTTAAATTTCCATCTTTTGCATCTTTTACTAGTTATTACCCAGTCTCAAAATGAAAACTCTCCCTTCCTTTATTACCCTTTTTTCCTCTGGAAGTGCTGTCTGTCTGAGATAACCACAACATGTTCTGTGTCCCTTTGTTTCCCTGGAGTCAGTAGTCTGATTTACCAGGACTCTCTTTTAGTAAGTTCACCCTAAGGATGCCCTTTCTTTTTCAGGATGTGAGTTCATCTCATTCCCATGCACTTTGTTTCTCTTCTTTTTTCAGTACAGTTTTCCCATACCTCCCGCAGCTCCCCACTGCCCTTCTGCAAGGGCTTCCAGCAGGAGCTTGAGAAGTAACTCTGCTGGAAATTAGTGGTTATTTTTCTACTTACAAATAAGGTTTATATGTTCACCAGTTTCTATGCTGAAGCTCTGGATTTTATGCTTGTTGATCTGTTACAGTTATTTTTAAGATTTGTGGAATTCCTTGGTCAGCATTACCTCAGCTTCCTGGAAATTCTCTCTACTACCACTACTGCCATTATTATGTATATTTTAACTATTCTTGTATAAGATCATATACCCCTGATTTCTTATTCTTTGACATTATCACTTTCAATGATTTGTCCTACATGTCATCTCTATCATGTATATTGATGATTCAAATCTAAAACCATAAATACTCACACTTTGTCTCAGTCATCTTGGACTGCTATAATAGAACACCATAGACTGGGTGATTGGGTGACTTAAACAACAGGTATTTCTCTCACAGCTATGGAGGCCACGAATTCCAAGATCAAGGTGCTGACAGATTCAGTTCTTAGTGAGAGGCTTTTTCTTGTCTTGTAAACAGCTGCTTGTCATTGTGGCTTACATGGTGGAAAAAGAAAAGGCTCTGGTCTCTCTTTCTCTTCTTATAAGGACACTAATCCCATCATGAGGGCTTCATTCTCATGACTTTATCTAAACGTCATTACCTGCCAAAGACCCCACCTCCTATTACCATCATATTAGGTGTCAGTGCTTCAACATGTGAATTTTCAGGGAAACAAAAATCCAGTCCTTATCACCTTCCAAAATCTTAATTTCAAAAGTCCCTCTCTCTATACACAGGTTTTTTATTTTCTCATCTCTAATAATTTGACATACTTGCCAAAAACATAATGGCTTAAAACAACATAAATGTATTATCTCACAGTGCTGGCAGACAGAAGTCTACAACTAGTCTCATGTGTCTAAAATGAAGGTATCAATAGATCTGGCTCCTTCTGGAAGTTCCAGGGGAGAATTTGTTTCTTGCCTCTTCCAGCTTCTAGAGCCTTCTTGGCCTTCCCTGACTCACAGCTGCAACACTCTAACCCCACTTTGATCTTCACATCACCTTATCCCCATTCTGATCTTCTGAATGTTTCATAAGGAATCCTGTGATTACATCTGGCATATCTGCATAAGCGAGGATAACATGTACAGCTCAAGAACTTTAATTTAATCACACTTGCAAAAAATCTCTTCTGCCATATGAGGTAATATCCACAGTTTCTAGAGATTAGGATATGAAAATTTTGTGGGAGGGGCATTATTCAGTCTCCACATGTAGCAAAATTTGTACCTCCAACCTTGGAGAAACCAGTTCTTTATTTCTTCTATGTCTGCACCAAAGTAGCTGAATGCAACTGAAAAATGTCAGTAACCATGTGATATAGTTTGGATATATGTTTCCATCCAAATCTTATGTCAAATTGTAATCCCCAATATTGGAGGTGGGGTCTGGTAGGAGGTGATTGGATTACGGTGGTGGACTTGTCATGAATGGTTTAACACCATCCCCTCCTTGCTGTTCTTATAATAGTGAGCTCTCATGAGATGTGGTTGTTTAAAAGTGTATAGAGCCCCTCCCTGTCTTTCTCTTGCTCCTGCTCTGGTCATGTGATGTGCCTACTCCTTCTTTGCCCTCTACAATGATTGTAGGTCTCCTGCGGTCTCCCCAGAAGCTGGGCAGATGCCAGCATCATGCTTTCTGTACAGTTTGCAGAGCTGTGAGCCAATTAAATCTGTTTTCTTTATAAATTACCCAGTCTCAGATAATTCTATATAGCAATGCGAGAAAAAACTAATAAAACATGCTATTCTGTCTCACTTTAAATGTAAGCTTATAAACCTCAAGTGGGGTCCTGGAGATTAACTGGAATCCTAATAAATTATCTGTTTAATTCACTTTTCCACTCTAGAAAGTGACAATTTCAATAATACTTTTCTAAAGTTTCTAACTAATCTTTTCTACTTCTTCCCTTCAACAATGCCCTAACTACTTAATACATGAAAAAAATAGCCTTCAGAGGACAACATCCACATTCTCCCACTAACAGACCTACCTTCATGTGTCCCCATATTACTCTGCATTCCCTTTTACAGTGGATAGACAGTTGATACTCCCCTTAGGATTTTCCTGTTTGTGCAGTAGATACCATTTCATCTTACCTACCTGAAAATTCTCCCTGGCAAATAATATCTTGTTTCTCTACGTCATCAGATTTTTTCCCCTCTTTGGATCATTTTCATCAGCTTACAAACTTGCTATAATATTCCTCAACTTAAGAAAATGCTGCCCATAACTCCATAGCTACTTCAACTTTCATCAAATTACTCAACATTTTCAAGTGTTGTTTACACTCAGTGTCACCATTCTTTCTCTCCTCCATTTTCCCTACATCTGTCCCAATTACAATTTCAAACCCCTAACCCCAACGAACATGTTCATGTCAAGATTATTAATGACAGCCACATTGCTAAATCTAATGGGCAATTCTTGGTCTTTACCTTACTTTTAATTCTCAGCAACATTACAGTTAATACTTCCTTCTTCTGGAAATACTTAAACAAAAATTAACTTTAGTGACAGCAAACATTCTCCTAATGTGGTTTTTTGCCTTACTAATGATCCCTCTTAAACTTTCTTTGCTGGATGCCTCATCTTCTCAAACTTAATGTTAGAATGTCTCAAGACTTGTCTTTCCATTCAGTTTTCCCCACTTACTAGACTCACTTTCTCGCTGAGATCACCAATTCTTGCATCTTTAAGTACTATCTATATGCTGATGATTCCTCAAAATAAATTCCCTAGCCCAAAATTTTTCCCTGAACATGACTTACATATTCAATTCCTACTTAAAATCAGCCCTGGGATGTCTAAGAAGCACCTCACATTTGTCTCAAAACCTGAACTCTTTATTCTCCATGCCTCCTTCCCCACTTAGTAAAATTTGCTTATCCTTGGATATTCACTATCTTATTAAATAATAATAGCTTTCAGTGAGTTGTTACAGCCAATATCTTTGGAATCATCTTTGTTCCTCTCTTTTCTTTACACTCCACATCTAATTACCTTGTCTTTACTTTTATTTAAGAATCAAACTACTTCTCAACGTGATGCTACTATTACGTAAGTCCAAGTCCTCCCCATCCCTCACTCAAACTACTTCTTGTTCTCTTTAATCCATTATTATGCAGTAACTAGAAAAACAAGTAAGATTGTTTCAAACTTCTGTTTTAAACTCTTCTATATGTTGTATTGTACTTAAAAAATTAAACTCAAGTTTTTTAGTCTTATAGGTGTTGGCAATGTAGGGAAAAGGAGACCTTTGTACACTATTGGTGAAATTGTACAAATTAGTATACCCATTACGGAAAACTGTATGGAGTTTCTTCAAAAAACTAAAAATAGAATTACCATATGATCCAGCAATCTCATTTCTGCCATCATATGGTAACCATACTTACCACATCATACAGTTATCAGAAATGGGTGCTTACTCAAATATTTGATATGAGTTTGTTGGAGAGAAAAAAAAGAAAGAAAGAAGAGTATATTTCTGGATGTGATAAATAGAAATGAAAGAAAAAAATTATAATAAACTGTTCCACAGAATAGAAAATAAACATATAACACTTTCAACACAACATTAAAAAAGGAAAATTGTCATTTCTCTAATAATATAGATCAAAATTATAAAAAAATTAGCAAATGAAATCTACCTGACTATCTATCTATCTCTCTCTCTCTCTCTCTCTCTCTCTCTCTATCTATCTGGGATAATGTATCCTGACCAAGTAAGGTTTATTCCAGTAGTGTAAGATTAGTTTAACATTCAAAATCAATCTGCTGAAACATTGAATAAATAAAGCAGTATAAAAAGCATAATTTGAAAAATCAATACTCATTCATGACAACAAAACAAAGTATAGAAACAAACTAATAGTATGTAAGAGATAAACTTCTAGCAAACAGTGCTCTCATTGGTGAAATACTGAATATTCTACCTGAAGTAAGGAAAGAGACAAGGATGCCTGCTATTAGCTATTGATTTAAATAGGAAAGAGTAACTTTATGTTACTTTTTGAAGTAAACACAAGAAATACCTAAAAGAGTAATGTAGAAAAAAGCAATATGAGTTAATTAACTCTAAAAAATATTAAAACATACTTTTAAGCCTCAGAAATTAAGAGTGGTATCAACATTCTGTCAATGGTTGTAGTATATCTAAAACTGATCTAAATGCACAAGAGACTTTAGTATTTAATAAAGTTTTCATCATAAATCAATGGGAAGATATACTACAAAGTAAATTTTTTCAGGAAAACTGCATCGGCATTTGGAATAAAACCAGTTTGATTCATACCACATAGCACATCCCAGAAAAATTTCCAAACTGTTTTATGATTCAGTATTGAACATAAAAACATGAAAGTGTTAAGGACCAAACATAGGTAAATTACTTTGCAACCTAAATGTGACAAAGCCTTTCTAACTATAACACAAAATTCTAAAGCTATGAAGAAAGAAGACTGATTAATTTGACCATATAAGTAGAAAAAACTCTGCTTAGCAAAATAAGCTATATTTCAAAATGAGCAAATTTCATTTGTTGAATGTTATATTTCCCAAGTTGAGGCCTGCTGCCATTATGAAGGCAGGTAGCATGTACAAAAAAGCAACTTCAGAAGATGAACCTGGTCTCAGATACGCAAGGTTTCTCAGTCACTGCCTACATTATCTTTAGGAAGATAAATTAAGTTCACTTTGTGAAGACCTGTGAAAAGTCTCAAATTTTACTGTACTTGCAAGCAAACAAGTTCATCTGCCAAATTTTGTGGATTCTGGCAGATAACTACTGGGTCAGAGACAAAGAAATCTATTACTAATGGCATGAATGTTAGCACGAGTTTTATGTTATTTCAATTTTTTGCCCTCAAAATCACAAGACAGTGATATAAAGATAGGAGATGCTGAGCACACAGTGGGTTTGTGTGACATCTAAGGAAATCTAAGCTTAGGAAACTACAATAATCTGAAGTACAGCAATACAGCAAACAGAGGAAGACATTATCTTTATTTCGCTGGTCAGAGAAAAAATTCTGACATCTGCATGAATCAATGATGCTTTTTCTATCTTCTAATGCTGTTTGCTATACAGATATCCTTATGATTTTTTTTAAAATCTGAAATAAAAGCTGACAATAAACATACTTACATATTATACCATGGAGAACTGTCTCCCAATATCCTTAGCCTTAGTTATTTCACTTGTATAATGTGCATAATATATATCATGTAAGGTAATTACAAGAATTAAATAGAAAGAATTCTGAAAAGTATCTAGGATGATACTGGCACCTTGTTAAGTGTTCACAATATAGACAGTATTAAACTTTCTGTTACAATTATACAAATTGTCTTTAAAAGTAAGTCTATATATGTTTTAAAACACACATTTTAAACTTTTAAAAAATATTAATAGACTTCCTAAAATTAAAGACAAGTTTATTTTTATACTTTAATATAGTAATTAGCCTTTATTTTCTATCAATTTGTGTTTGTATCCGTTATTGAAGGACTTCCAAACTTAACATTTTTACCTTCAGTGGTTTTTAAAAATATGTATCTCTATAATATCTCTAATTCCAAAATAAATAGTTACTTTTTATGCTCTATATATAATGTAAAATAATCATAAAATTATCATTTTAAGACAGCTAGTCTTACTCTGAACTCTTTTTTATCATGCACAGTCAATAAAAAGTAGAGAAAGCCATCTAAATTATGATCCAGTTTTTATGTAGCTGACAAAATCCTAAGGGCATATTAAGAACAAATGGTATACATGGGAAATTAGACCTATCAAATATGAAACAGATCAGTTTGAGAAATACTGATTGGTTCAGAAAGAAAGTCACTTTCCCTGGAAGCTTTTCCATTTTCAGTTTGGTATGATCTCGGATTATAAAATGCTACAAGCACCAACGTTTAATTCATCTTGAAAGTACTATAGACTAAATAGAGCAGCACAGTAAAAATCCTTTTGAAAATAACTTAATATTTAGAGCCAGAATTTGGCATTGCAGCTGACAATTTTAAATGTAAACAAACTCTCCATTATGAAGTCCCTGAAACACAGCTTTACTTGTTAAAACACTACCCCCAAAGAGGTGCACTGTCTAATTAGGTCTTCATGTGATTGGTTATATATTTGCATACATAAAGGCATTAGCCCATTGGGGTAAACTGACTTAATGCTGTGCAAAAACTGCTAAAAGGCAATCGGGAAAAGTCATTTTAAAAATTAATTTAAAACAATTTCCAAACGTGCCATGGGAGAATAAAAATCATTAACTAGTATTATTAATATTCACAGCAGCTGTTACATAATCATACATCAAGTCCCTATGTTCAAACTTGCTTTCTAATATAGCGTCTTAAAATACTTTATTAGTCTGTGGTTTATTATATACCAACAGAATGCAAATAGCTTTACTTTCATTTCCGTATCTGTTTATCAAATTTTTCATAGAGAAAGATCTGCTCAATATATGTTTGAGATTGGCTGTTTTTGAGCGACCTTAGAGAAATGTACCAAAAAGCCTATGGTTATTCCCAAACACATCCTGTAAGCAAATTGAGGCTGCTTTTTTCCACCCTCCTGATCTCTTTGCTTAGTTTATCAAGAAAGCCTGCAGCCAGTGGCCCATAATCTTCTGCTTTGTCTTCAGGCCTACCTTCTTCAAACATTACCCAAAGTACTTCCATTTCTCTAAAAGAACTGAACTGTTTGTATTAAATCTAACAGTTGAAAATGTACATCTAAGCCTCTGACTGGCCAAATGGGGTTTGCCCAGATAGGAGTCTGGTCAGGATCATTCCAGGATTTAAGATTATATGCTCTTGCTTGTGCTCCAAGAAAAGATAGCCCTTACCAAGGAAAGATTTGTTTGTAAGAGTCTCTTTTAAAGTCCTCAAGACCAATTTTTCAAACTTGATATCAAAGTTTCTTCTAGTAGACTTTATCATATTGTTTGCTTCTTCTAAATCAGCAGTAACTTTTATTCTAATTGTTTTCTTCCAAAATATCTTTTCTGTACATTTGTTTTATAATAGTGCCTTAAATATTTCAATTGACTCCAACATAAGTCTTAAAAGATAAAATCTTTTAATATTTATCTATACAAAAATATAACTGTATTTTATAGCAATGGAATATATTCGTGAAAAGACTCTTGCATATGTATAAAACTGCATAGTTATTTGGTAGCCACAAATCTTGGATTTAGTAAAGTTGCAGAAAAACAGAGTATAAATAATTTTCTGAAATCCAAATTGATTTATAGAATTAATTTGTATGTGTTAAATAAGAATCAACTGGTTCTATAAGATATTGAAGGCTCATGTTTGTGAAAACTATCTGGTTTAATATGACTAGTCATAATCATAATTAGAAATGTTTCTTTGTCAACAGTTTGCTTTAGGTTATTTCCCCAACTCTCAACAAAACTCTAACCAAGTTTTTCTTAAACTAAATATATACTTCAACTGTTTCTCTTATTTTCTTAAAGCCAAAAATTACAAGACTTGCTAAAACCAAATAGATTACATTTTAAAAACTGAGTAGATAAACATTTTTCTACTCACTGAGTAAACATTTTTCTACTGGGACTGTGTACTTTTTAATGTAGGAGCTATTCATATTTCAAATGAATAGTCATACATGCATCTCATAAAAATAAACCTACACGCTGTGCACATGTATCCTAAAACTTAAAGTATAATAAAAAAAATAGCAATATACATACCTGTATATAATCTCTTCTCTGAACAGCACATAGAAGATTAAAAAAATGTATTTTTAAGAAGACTAATAAATGTTTACAGTTATACACTATGTACATAATTTTTTAATATATAAGAATATTTAAGTTTAGAGAATGAGTTATTCAGCATATAAATATATTAAAATATAATAAAGTTAGACATAGATATTTGAAACGCTAAAATTTTTAAAAATAAAATTTGAAATAAGGACAAATTATATGTATACTTATGTTATCTTTTAAATTGTAATTGCATGTAATTATATGGTATAACATACAATTAAAATATATAACTATAACATAAAATTATATATGTGATTTTCCTGTAATGCTCTATCTTCATTGCTAAATATAAAGATATATGAGATAGTCCATTTGTCATAACTTATAACAAATTTTAAAAATTGATACATATGTGTACATATTTATGCTATATATGTGATACTTTGATACATGTATAAAATGTGTAATGATCAAATCAAGGTAATTAAAATATCCATCACCTTAAATATTTATTATTTCTTTGTGTTGGTAAAATTCCAAATCTTCTCTTCCAGTAATTTTGAAATATACAATAAATTCTTGTAAACTATAGTTGCCCTATTGTGCTACTAAACAATAGAATTTGTTCCTTCTATCTAACTGTATTTTTGTATTTGTTGTCTATCTTTCTCTATCCCCCTCCTCCTTCATTCCTTTTCCAGCTGCTGGTAAGCATCATTCTACTATCTACCTTTATGAGACTGACTTTTTTAGATTCCACATGTGAGAACATGTGCTATTTCTCTTTATATAATGTCCCCCGATCCATCCATGTTGCTGCAAATGACAGAATTTTACTCTTGTTTGTGGCTGAATATTCTTCCATTGTGTATTTATACAAATGTTTTATTTATCCATTCATCCACTGAGTTAATTTAGGTTGAGTTTATATCTTGACTATAGCAAATATACTGCAATAAACAAGGGAGTGCAGATGCCACTTAGATACATTGATTTTCTTTCTTTTGGACATATACCCAGCAGTGGGATTGCTGGATCATATGGTAATTTTGCTTTTAGTTTTTTGAGGAAACTCCATACTCTTCTCCATAGTGTCTGCACTAATTTATATTTTCATCAACACTGTTGGAGCGTTCCCCTTTCTCCATATCCTCATCAACATTTGATATTTTTTGTCTTTTTTGAAATAGCCATTTTAATTTGGGTGAGATTATATCTCATCGTGGTTTTCAATTGCATTTCCCTGAGGATTAGTGATGTTGAGCATTTTTTCATAGACCTGTTGGCCATCTGTATGTCTTCTTTTGTGAAATGTCTATTTAGATCATTTGTTCATTTTTTTACTCAGATTATTTCTTGCTGTTGAGTCATCTGAGGTCCTTATATATTCTGGTTATTTATCTCTTGTCAGTTGATTAATTTGTAAATATTTTCTTTCACTCTGCAGGGTGTCTCTTCACTCTGTTTATGATTTCCTTTGCTGTGCTAAAACTTTTAAGTTTGACATGATCCAATCTGTCTATGCTTCCTTTTGTTGCCTGTGCTTTTGAGCTCTCATCCAGAAAATGTTTGCTCAGATCAATGTCCTAGAGTGTTTCCTCCAAAGTTTTCTTCTAGTGGTTTTATAGTTTCAGATCTTAGATTTAAATATTTAATCCATTTTCATTTAATTTTTATGGAGATAGGGGGTCTAGTTTCATTTATGGTATATAGTTATCCAGTTTTCCCTGTACCATTTATTGAAGAGACTATTTTTTCCCCAAATATTATTACTGCCTTTGTCAAAACTTAATTGGTTTTAAATATTTAGATCTGTTTATAGTTTATTTATTCTGTTCTAATGATCTGCTTTCATACCAGTACCATGCTGTTTTAATTATTATAGCTTTGTAGTATATTTTGAAGTCAGGTAATGTGATGCCTCCAGCTTTGTTCTTTCTGCTCAGCATTGCTTTGGCTATGTAGAGTCTCTTGTGTTTCCACGCAAAAATTAGTTTTTTTTTTTTCTATTTTTGTGAAGAATATCATTGATATTTTAATAGGTATTGCCTTGAATCTGTAGATTGCTTTGAATAGTATGGGCATTTGAACCATATTAATTCTTCTCATTTATGAATATGGGATATCTTTTCATTTTTTAGTCCTTTTCAATTTCTCTTATCTGTATTCAAAGTCTTAACTGTACAGTTATTTATTTGGTTAACTTCTTTTTTAACAAATAAAGGTGGATTCCACCTCATTTCAAGGCATAAAACTTACCAATGCACAATAATTCTCTCATATATTAAATTTAATATTTCTTTCATCTCAGAAGTTATTGTCATTCAGACATTATTCAAAAATCATATGAGTTCCTAGCTTTTATTTATACTTTTATAACATAAATACTTATTGCTTTTCAAAAATTTTTATAAATGGAATAAGGCATGCATTCTAATTTTTCTATCTTCTTTTGTTCAATATTATTTATTTAAAATTTATCCAAAGACTTCTACCTCAAGTTTTGACAGGTAAATAATTTTAAACAATCCTCCTACTGAGAACTCTCTTTAAAAGTATATGTGGTAATACAAAAACCACTACATGAAATCATGTTAGAGATAACAACAGAGATCTTTTTATTAATTAAAAGGAATTTTATTAATTAAGGTATTTTATTAATTAAAAGAGCAAAATCTTAGGGAGGGAAATTTATAGAGGGGAGCCTGAAATTTGGTTCTCTAGCAGTGTCTGCCAGTCCCAGACAAGGTAACTGAATCACTAAAAGGGTATCAGTGCTTTTGAAACACTCATTAAACAAGGTAAAACTGCTAAAAAGAAAAACTTTGAAAGCAGCCAGAGAAAATGTGCAGATTACCTTCAAAAGAGCAACAATTAAATTGACAGCAGATTTCTCCACAAAAACAATTTAATAAGAACACAGTGAAATGTTATTTTTCAAAGAAGTATAGTTGTCATACTAAAATAAACTACTTAGAGAAAACATATTCAAGGAATGATGGTGCAACAGATCTTTTTTATTTAAGAAAATAATGAAATAATTGTCACGATAGAGTCTAAATTAAGGGAATACTAAAGGGTGCTTTTCAAGTGGAAAGAAAATGAACCCAAATATAAAATAATTAAGAAAAGGGTAAATATCACTTTTAAAATATAAATATACATTAACTTTATTAACAACAGTTGTCATTATATCATGTCAGATTTAAAATAGGCATAGAATTAAACTTTTAATGCATGAATGGTTCATATGTGTGAAAGGATTAATGAGGTAAAGAGTGTTAAAGTCCTTCATTACCTGGTAAGATATCAAGACAAATAATTAATGTAGACTTTGTAAGTTAAGAATGCATATTATAATATATACAGTAATCACAAAAAGAAGATGTAATAAGCATTTACAAGTTCTAAACTAAACTTGAAAATTGAAATATTAAAAAAAATCCAAAAGGAAACAAAAAAGATAATAAAGATGGAAAACAGTGAGAAAATAGAAAACAATAATAAAATTACAAATTTAAATAAAATTACAAATTTAAAACAAAATGCAACATTAATTGCATTAAATACAAGTGGACTAAATATATTGAGATATCAATATATAAGTGGATTAAATATGTGTTTCACTAAAAAAAAAAAAAAAAAATTGAGAAGCCAGAAGAGTTAGATGAAAGCAAATGGAGAGAAATATACTTTGAAAACAATAATCCAAAAAAGTTGGTGTAGCTATTATATCATATAAACTAGATAGAAATGCAAGAAGCATTATTAGAGGTAAAGATGACATTTTACAATGACAAAAAGTCAATCTATACAGAAGATATAACAATATTAAAATTGATGCCTCTAAAAGTAAATCCTCAAATTATACATTACAAAAATGTACAGAGCCACAAGGAGAAATAGACAAATTTACAATAACAGGGGAAGAGTGTAGTGTGCCTCTTTCAGTAAACATTATAACAGGCAGATCAAAAATCAGTAAGAATGTAGAAAATGTGAATAATACCCTAAAAAATACATTTTCATTCACCTATATAGAATATTTCATCCAGTGGCAAAATATACCATTTTTTCCAAAGGCATATGAGGCATTTATAAATATTAACCAAATTGGGGTCATATAGCAAATATAAGCTAATTTCAACTGATTTAAATTTTACAGACAATGCAAACTAATCATACTGGAATTTAGCTAAAAGTAACAATCACAACATCTAGAAACCACCAATCACTTTGAAATTAGCTAAGACGCTTCTACGTAAAGTGTTTTATAGATTTAAATTTACAAAATAGAAATAAGAAAGGTTGAAATCCAATGAACTAGCATTGACCTCAAAAGAGCCCAAAATTTAAGAGCAAATTTTTTAAAAATTAGAAAGATGATAATATTAAATATTATAGCAAAATAAATTAGAAACAAGCATAAGATGGAGAAACAATAGAACAAATTATTCTTTGAAAAGACAAAAACATTGATAAGCCCTTATGAGAGTAAGAGTACATAACAAAAGTCACAAATATCCAATAGCAGGATATAAAAGGGAATTCAAAAGCTAATAAGAGGATGTTATGAATAACTTTAGGCTTACAAATTTCAAAAATTGGATGAAATAAAAAGTAACTAGTAAAAAAATGTTAACCAAATGTAGACAAGAAGAAATAGAAAATATTAAAAGCACTACAACAATGACAGAAATAGAAACCGGAAATAGAAATTGTTCCCATAAATAAAATTTATGAGTAGATGGCCTCAACAGTGAATTCTTCTAAACATGCAAGAAAGTGGTAATGCCCATCCTACATAAATTTTTTCAGAAAAGAGAAAATTGGGAACATTCCCAACTCATTTTATGATACTAACAGAATTCTGATATGAAACCCTGGCAAGAATATTATAAGATTAGACAATTAAGGAAAGGTAAGAATTATAAAGTTTGCTGAAGACAAATAATGAATAAATATCATATGAAAATAATCTTAAAGACACTGGAAATAATAAACGTAAAGTCCTCAATACAGAATTACAAGTGAATAAGCCTGTAATGCAGACCACATTAACAACAATAAAAGTTGGTATTTTCTAGTGCTACAATATGTCGAGGATCTTCTAAGTGCTTTACTCAATTAATTTCCACAACTATCCTATAGGGTAGGTACTATTTCAACCCCATTACACTGTTCTGCCTCACTCCCCCTCCCACTCACTCCCCCAATAACAAAGTCAACACTGGGACGGGGCTTATGGATGCCTAACCCAGGGGCAAAATGAAAGAAAGTAATTGAGATTCAAACTAGGAGGGCAGTTTCTAAGAGTGGCCTAAAATTCAGATCTGCAAACAATGAGAGTTTGTTAGAGAAAGAAAAAAGGAGGAAACAATAAAATAATCTCTGAAAATTCCAGCTCCAAGGATATTGCTCTGATATCCAGTCCCTGGAAATTATGAAGCCCTGACAGTGGCCTAAATTTGCCCAAATTAGAATGAGAAAGTTGAGGCAAGTATAAGCACAATGAATCTGGAGGTGGCATTATAAGATAACGCTGAATCTCTCTTTCTACTGAGAAGTGTCATGACACTGCTGTTAAATTATCACTCTGTAGAGAGTTATTTGTCCTGTTTCTTGATGTGCAAATCTAGCTGCACATTAATTGAATGTGACATGCTAATGGATTAGAATACAGCTTCCACTGTCTATGAAAATGAATATATTTGTAAAGTTTAACAAAGTTCTTCAAGAGATCCTCAGAGAAAGGCACCGTGGCACATACAAATTATTAATAATGTACTTTGGATCTTTATAAAGCATTTGCTCCAAATTGCTGACAGTCTTTTACGGTATTATACACTTGTTTAATGTTGACAGTATGTTTCTTTTGAAGAACCTGTTTCCTAATGTCTTCAGTATGAATTTAAGCTACTAGGCCCCAAATAGTCCAAAAATAACATGATGAACCTCTTCGTAAATCATTTACTTGTATAGCAACTCTATGAAATGAGGTAGGTAAACAAGTGGTAAAATCAGATACAAAGTTTCATCAGCAGCCAATAGCACCTACTCTCCTAATTCAAAACATGTTTAGTCTGTTTTTGCTTGTTTTGTTTCTTCTTGGTTTTTTGTTGCATTTTGTTGTGTGACATTTGTCCATTTTTTTAACAGAGAATTTAATGCAACCGATAGATATAACCCTAGCATTACACATTTTAAATTATAATCAATCAAAAATGTGTGCCAATTTAACTAAAATTTAACTTCAAATATTAAAGTATATACTAAGAAAAATTCAATTAAAATATAACTTAAGATTGAGAAAATATTTTCTATAGGCAACTGAACTGCCTATGACATGAATTGAAATTTTGAAAGTAATACCTGTATCAACATAATGTTTTCTGCTATGAATACTGCTTATCTTGCCCTTTTACTAAAAACAAGCATCTTATAAATGATTTAAGTTAATCCTTAAACAAAGTAAAACTGTTAATTTATTTCAAACTTTTAAAGACAAATATATGGCATTTTGTAATATATTTTATATAAAAATTAGATGATTACCTAGAAAATTATTTTTCTACCAGCACTGTGAAATGTGTTAGAACTTCACAGAGAAATTAACAGAAACATACCATTACATATCAAGGACAAGAAGATACTGGATGAATTTTGCTAGAATATTGCTGCATTTACTACCCCAACTGCCTAAACCCATCGTAAATATAGCTCTAAAGGTTTGTATACAAATATTAAAATAAATTATTATACCAAGTATTTTCAATTAAGAAACTCATAGAAGGTAAGAAGTACAGAAGGTAAGAAGTATAGTAAATACCAAGGACAAGAAGATATTGGGTGCATCAAGCTGGGTTGCATACTGAGCCAGAGTTTAAAAGCTCATCCATTAATGAATGCAAACAAAAATGTGGTAAAAGGGATGCCATCCAATTTCAACAAACAGTAGTATTCAAGTGGATATGCTCAGGGAGCAATGGGACTTAACTTGAACACTAAACTGTTTTTGTCACAAATAGGACCTAACTAAATGTCCCGTTACATTCATATAACCACATGGATACAAATAAATGCTTCTTAAACTCCCTGAATCCATGTTTACTCATGGAAAAGTAGTGTGGTATCTATATTACGGCCTCACCATAGATACTTTCTTATAATTCCTAACTTTCTCATTGCCCTTGGAATCAGCCTGTATTAGATAGAAGCTCCTTCATGAACATTTGTGATGTGCCAAAGAAAACATCTTCATTCAACTCACTGCTTTAGTTATATAGATTAGATATACTCATGTTTATAATTATGGTAAAAATGTAATAAAAAGCTATCAAGAGTGGAAATACTATAAATAATATTGTATATTAAAATAAATTATTATAGAAAACATAATCATATTTAACTCATAGTTTAAGTTTAATCCATAGTTTAATTCATTACTGCATTCTATCCAATACACGCTGATTCCAAGAGCAAAGAATATGTATTCTATTCTGCAATTTTAGTCTTCTGTGAGCTTCTTAACTTGGTGGAAAATATTTCTACAGCAACATGATCAGCTAATACAAATTTTGTTAACACTATATTACATAGCAAGTATATCACAAACGTTAAGTGACTTATAAGTACAAATGAATTAACTATACAAATGTTCCAAATATGATGCTCCAAGTACTTATTCCGACTAATAGTAATCTAGTTTTTTTGCTTGATTCATGTCCTCCATATTTTGGAGAATTTCCAAGCATATTTATATACACCTATGAACTGGCACTGATGTACTTTAAAGACGTCAATGATCACCAGATGATCCCAATACAGACACACATCTGGAGAATAGAAACCTCATTGATTAGCCATGACAAGCATTATATCTTAATATGCACAGGGGTGTTTCATTGCCATTGCCTCTCACTACTCACAGTTCTGGAAAAACTTTATAGTGTAAGAGTTACCTAGTCCTCAATCTGTGAGACATCTCACAGAAGGAGGCCACAAAAGATGGCGGCAGGTTTGTGCCCGATTTGTTATATTTCCCAAAGGACAGAGTGGGTGAGCTGTGTTGGGTGAAGATCAGTCACTACTATATTGGTAATCAACAATTCTCACCAATTCCTAAGTCTACCTTTCCTGTCAAGACCATATTTCTTTAGTGAGCTTCCTCTCTAGCTTCTTTTGTTTGCTCCCTGGTATCTGATAAAATCTCAACATTGTTCCATTCCATTATGAATATCTGCATACACATAAGCTGCATTTGGTCAGAGTTTAAAAGCTCATTAATTAATAAATGCAAACAAAAATGTGGGAAAAAGGATACCATCCAATTCCAACAATCAGTAGTATTCAAGTCCAATTCAAGTGGATATGCTCAAGGAGCAGTGGGGCTTAACTTGAATACTGAACTGTTTTAGCCACAAATATGACCCAACTAAATGCCCTGTTACATACATATTACCACATGAATACAAATAAATGCTTGTTAAACTCCCTGAGTCTATGCTAACTCATAGAAAAATAGTTCAGTAGCTATACCATGGATTCACCATGGACACTTTCATATAATTCTTAACTTTCTCCCTAAAATGTGACCCCAAAATGACAAGTTATTTCTTATATATCATAAAAACATTGGATATTTATTGAAGCTAATATCACACCAGATGAATAACTTCAATATCTGATATACTTACTGAAACAATCAAAAAAGTTCAATTTATTTAATTGAATTTATGTCTCTTAAACTTCTAAGTTTTGCTTAAAACACAACCATTTCTTGACTTCCTTTAAATTTTCCTTGAAGAAACAGTAAGCTTTATTTTCCCAATGAAATAAAGTTTAAAGGTAGTATAATTACCACTGTTTTTAATAAACACATATTTAGTGAGTACCTATTATTTCATTTATCCTTGAGGTAAATAAAAGGTAGATATGGGAAGTAGCCAAGGCCAAAAAAAAATGTTAATATAACCAAACAAGTGTGCTACGGTTTTTATGTGCTCCCTAAAGTTCATGTGTTGGAACTTAACCACCAATTCAGCAATGTTGAGAGATGGAGCCAAATGGAAGTTGTTTCAGTCATAAAGCCACCACCCACATGAATGGATTAATGTCATTATCACTAGAGCAGATTTGTTATAAAAGAGATTTCATCCTCCACTTCTTCTCTTGCATTGACTCTCTTCCCATGTCATGCCTTCTATCATGTTATGGCACAGCAAGAAATCTCTCACCAGAAGTAGCCCCATGATTTTGAACTCCCCAGCCTCCAGAACCATTAACCAAATAAATTTCTGTTCATTATAAATTACCAAGTCTGCGAAATTCTTTTATGGAAGCATAATACAGACTAATAAGACAAAGTATGTGAGCATAGGAAATTTAGGTTAAAATAGTTGAAGTTTGGAATAAGAGTAAAGGAGTGTCAAGAAATTGAGGCATTTGCAAGGATGAGAATATATGGTAGGACTGGTAAGAACGTTTGGGCTTTCCTGGGTGCAATGACAAATCACTGACACAGCAAAAGCATAGAAATACCATGACTAAATCTGTATTCTAGAAAGATTACTGAAAAGTGGAGGCTAGATTGGAGAGAATGAATTTGAAGAAAGGACACCAGCTAAAAACTTATATAATCCAAACAAGAGATGTGATGTAGGAATGAAATTGGCGGTAATGTAAGGGAGAGAAGTGAAAAAAAGAATGGAGGTGTAATTTGGAGGCAGAACTTATAGAATTTGATGATTACTCAGGTTATGAGATAAAAGGCAGAGAGAAGTCAAAGACAACATCCAGTTTTGGGCTCAAACAGTGGAGTGCATGGTGTATGACGCACAGGGATATGTACCACAAAGAAAGTCAAATGTTTCAATAATGAGGAGGTAGTGGTGCATATGTGAATTTAATATAAATGGTGGTGGGGCAATATGTGGATTTAATATAAATATGGATTTCCAATTGGAAATATCCAATAGGCAGATGAAGTCTAAGCTATAAAGAAAACTGAAATAGCAATAACCACAGAGAGTCATTAACATATCTGCAATAACAAAAGCTTTAGGAGTAAGCAAAATAATTCAAAAAGAGTATTCAAAGAGAAGAGCATCAAATCCTAGGAGAGAATTCCAAAGTTTTCTAACAGTTTAGAGAGAAAGGAGTAAATGATGCAACAATGGACCATGACAAGGTGAGTCCAGAAAGGCAGGCAGAACACCAGGACAATAGGTTGTTCCCCACAAAATAAAAATCTATTTCTAAGTTATTGGTAGCAAATGTTTTTAAAGCATCAAGTACAATGAAGGATGAAAATATCTATTATGTTTATTAACATGGAATTGATAGCTTCATGTATGAAAGAAGTATCAAGAAAGTCATGGATGTAGAAATTAGGCCACAATTTTGAGAAATGTGTTTGAGAAAAGTAGAGCCTGGAGACAAATTCCACAGTTATGCTAAAGGGAAGTACAGCAAGGAGAGTCTTGGTCAGGAGAGGGACAGTAGTAAGTATACAACCCCAAAACTATAGTGCTTTAATCTACTTGTTAGATGATTTTAATTTTAAATTTTTATGGGTACATAGTAGGTGTTGCATATATTTATGGGGTATATGAGAAATTTTGGTATACTGGTATACAATGCATAATAATCACATCAGAGTAAATAGGATTATCCATCACCTCAAGAATTTATCATTTCTTTGTGTGAAAAACATTCCAATAATACTCTTAGTTATTTTTTGAAATGTATAATGAATTATTGACAGTTGTGCTATCAGATATTAGATCTTATTCATTCTATTAACTATATTTCTGCACGCATTAACTACCCCCACTACCCCCACCCCCATTACCTTTCAAAGACTCTGGAAACAATCATTCTACTCTCTAGATCCATGAGTTTAATTGTATCAATTTTTAAATCCCACATAGGAATAAGAACAAGCGAAATTTGTCTTTCTGTGCCTGCCTTATTTCACTTAACATAGTGACCTCCAGTTCCACCTATGTTCTAGCAAATGACAAGATCTTAGTCTTTTTTTAATGCCTGAATAGTACTTCATTGTGTATATGTACCAGATTTTCTTTATCCATTCATCTGTTGATTGACATGCAGGTTGCCTCCAAATCTTGGCAATTTTGAATAGTGCTTCGATAAACATGGAAGTGCAGAGATACGTTTGACATGCTGGTTTCATTTGCTTTCTATAAATATCCTGTAGTAGAATTGTCGTATTATATGATAGTTTTATCCCTAGGTTTTGAAGAAACCCTTATAATGTTCTCCAGAGTGGCTGTAATAATTTACATTCCCACCAAGGCTATTTGGGTTCTCTTTTCTCCAAATCCTCGCTAGCATTTGTTATTGCCTGTCTTTTGGATGAAAGCCATTTTAACTGGGGTAAGAAGATACCTCATTGCACTTTTTATTTGAGTTTCTCTGATGATCAGTGATATTATGCATCTTGTAATATATCTATTTGCCACTTGTATGTCTTCTTTTGAAAAGTGTCTATTCAGATCTTTTGCCCATCTTTTAATCAGATTATCAGATTTTTTTCCTAGTGAGTTGCTTGAGCTCCTTATATGTTCCGGTTATTAATCCTTTGCCAGTTGTGTAGTTTGCACATATTTTCTCCCATTCTGTGGGTTGTCTCTTCAGTTTGTTGACTGTTTCCTTTGCTGTGTAGAAGCTTTTTAAATTGATGTGATCCCATTTGTCTATTTTTCGTTTGCTTGCCCGAGCTTCTGGGGCAAGCTTCTGGGGTATTACTCAAGTAATATTTGCACAGACCAATGTCCTCGAGAGTTTCCCCAAAGTTTTCTTTTAGTAGTTTCATAGTTTGAGGTCTTAGATTTAAGTCTTTAATCCATTTTGATTTGACTTTTGTATATAATGAGAAATAGGGTCTAGTTTAATTCTTCTGCATGTGGATATCCAGTTTTCTCAGCACTATTTATTGAAGAGACTGTCCTTTCTCTATTGTATGTTCTTGGCTCCTTTGTTGAAAATGAGTTCATTGTAGACATATTGAATTATTTCTGGATTCTCTCTTCTGTTCCACTAGACTATGTGTCTGCTTTTATGTGAATACCATACTGTTTTTGTTACTGTAGGTCTGTGTATAATTTGAAGTCAGAAAACGTGATTCTTCCAGTTTTGTTTCTTATACTCAGTATGGTTTTGGCTATTCTGGGCCTTTTGTGGTTTCACATAGATTTTAGGATTTTTTTATTTCTGTGAAGGATGTCATTGGTATTTCGGTGAAGCTTTCATTGAATATTTAGTTTGCTTTTGGTAATATTAATATTTTAAACATACTGATTCTTCCAAGCCATGAGCATGGAGTATCTTTCCATTTTTTGTACCTACTACAATTTTGTGCATCAATGTTTCATTGTTTTTATTGAAGAGATCTCTCAATTTTTAAGTTTATTACTAGGTATCATTTTATTTTTAGCTATTGTAAATGAGATTACTTTCTGGATTTCTTTTTCACATTGTTCACTGTTGGCATATGGAAAAGCTACTGATTTTTATATGGTGATTTTGTAGCCTGCCACTTTACTGAATTTGCTTGTTAGTTCTAATAAATTTTTGGTAGATTCTTTGGGTTTTACAAATATAAAATCATATCTTCTGCAAACAAGAATAAATGGACTTCCTCCTTTTCAGTGTGGATGTCTTTTTTATCTTTCCCTTGTCTGATTGCTCTAGCTAGAATTTTCAATACTATGTTGAATAACAGTGGTAAAAGTTGACATCGTTGTCTTTTTCTTGATCTTAGAGGAAAGGCTTTTAGCTTATTCCTCATTTAGTATGATACTATCCGTGGGTCTATCATATCCGGCTTTTATTGTGTTAAGGTATATTCCTTCTGTATCCAGTTTTATGAAAGTCTGTATTATGAAGGGATGTTGAATTCTATCAAATGATTTTTCAGTATAAATTGAAATGATTGTAAGGTTTTTGTCATTTATTTTATTCATATAATGTAAGACATTACTTGATTTACATATATTGAACCATTCTTGCATCCCTGGGATAAATTCTACTTACTCATAATAAACGATATTTTTAATATGTTGTTGAATTTGGCTTGCTAGTATTATGTTGCAGATTTTTGCATCAATGTTCATAATGGATATAGGCTTAATTTGGTTTGGCTTGTTTGTTTTTTATGTGTCTTTGTCTGGTTTTGGTAACAAAGTAATACTGGCCTTGTAGAATGAGTTTGGAAATATTTCCTCTTCTACTTTTTAGAATACTTTGAGTAGGATTGATATTAGTTATTCTTTAAATATTTGCTAAAATTAAGCAGTGAAGCCATCAAGTCCTGGGCTTTTCTTTGCTGGGAGACTTTTTCTTATGACTTCAATCTTGTTACTTGTTATTGGTCTATTCTTGTTTTGAGTTTCTTCATGGTTCAGTATTGGTAGGTTGTTTGTTTCTAGGAATTTATTCATTTCTTCTAGGTTTTCCATTTTATCAGCATATAGTTGCTCATATTACTCTCTAATAACTCTTTGAATTTCTCTAGTATTGGTAGTAATTTCTCCTTTGTCATTTCTGATTTTATTTTTGGTAGGTCTTCTCTTTTTTTTCCTAGTCTGACTAAGATAGGGCAAATTTGTTTATCTTTAAAAAAAGGCTTTCATTCCACTTATCTTTTGTATTTTTTTAAAACTGAGTCTCACTCTGTCATCCAGGTTGGAGTGCAATGGCCACAATCTCAGCTCACTGCAACTTCTGCCTCCTGGATTCAAGTGATTCTTGTGCCTCAGCCTCCTGAGTCACTGGAATTACAGACACATGCCACCATGCCTGTCTAATTTTTGTATTTTTAGTAAAGATGGGGTTTCGCTGTGTTGGCCAGGCTGGTCTCGAACTCCTGCCATCAAGTGATCCACCTCGGCCTTGGAAACCTCGGCCTCCCAAAGTGCTTGTCCTTGTCTCTCCTCAATAAATAAGAAGAAGAAAAAAGAAGAAAGAAGAAAGAAGGAGAAAAAGAAAGAAAGGAAGGAAGGAAGGAAGGAAGGAAGGAAGGAAGGAAGGAAGGAAGGAAGGGAAGGAGGTTTTTGATTTGAGGTTATCATAAGGCTTGCAAACAGCATGTTATAATCCATGATTTTAAACTGTTGACAACACTGATTGCAAAAACAAATAAATAAACTAGCAAACAAGCAGAAGGATAATAAAAACTCCAAATTTTAACTTAATTTCCTCTTATTTTTAACTTTGTATTGTTCCTATTTGTATCCTATTGTACCATCTATGTCTTCAAAAGTTGTGGTAGTTATAAATTTTGAGCAATTCATCTTTTAGTCTATCTACTCAAGATAAAAGTAGGTTACATACCACAATTATAGTGTTTTATAATATTATGTGTTTCTCTGTGTCCTTACCAGTGAGTTTTGATGTATTATTTATTATTGCTTATGATTTATTGCTTATGAATGCTCTTTTCTTTCATATTAAAAAACTCCCCTTAGCATTTCCTGTATGACAGGTGTGGTGTTGATGAAATCCCTCAGGTTTTGTCTATGAAAGGCATTATTTCTCCTTCATGTGGGAAGGATATTTTCTGCTGGATGTACTATACTATGATAAAAGTTTTTTTTTTTTCTTTTCACACTTTAAATGTATCATGTCATTCTCTCCTGGCCTGTAATGTTTCCACAGAAAAGTTTATTACCTGATGTATTGGGGCTCCTTTGTATGTTCTTTCTTTCTTTTATCTAGATGCTTTCATGATCTCTTCTTTATCCTTGATCTTTGAGAGTTTCAATATTAAATGTCTTGGGATATGTGTTACTCTGTTCTCATGCTGCTAACAAAGACATATCCAAGACTGGGTAATTTATAAAGAAAAAATGTCTAATTGACTAACAGTTCAGCATGGCTGGGGAGGCCTCAGGAAACTTAACAATCATGGCAAGGGGAAGCAAGGGGAAGCAAAAACATCTTTCTTCATATAGTGGAAGCAAAGAAACGAAATAGGAAAAGGGACAAAAGCCCCTTATAAAACCATGAGATCTCATGAGAGCTCACTAACTATCATGACAACAACAGCATGTGGGTAACCACCCATATGATTCAATTACCTCCCACTGGGTCCCTCCCACAACACATGAGGATTATGGGAGCTACAATTCAAGATGAGATTTTGGTGAGTACACAGCCAAACAATATAATTCCACACCTGGCCCCTCCCAAATCTCATATCCTCATATTTCAAAACCAATCATGCCTTTCCAACAGTCCCCCAAAGTCTTAACTCATTCCAGCATTAACCCAAAAGTCCAAGCCCAATGTCTCATCTGAGACAAGGCAGGTCCCTTCCTTCTATGAGCCTGTAAAATCAAAAGCAGGTTATGTACTTCCTAGATCCAGTGGGTGTACAGGCATTGGGTAAATACACCTATTCCAAATGGGAGAAATTGGCCAAGACAAAGGGACTACAGGCCCCATGCAAGTCCAAAATCCAATAAAGCAGTCACTGAACTTTAAAATTCCAAATGATCTCCTTTGACTCCATGTCTCACATTCAGGTCATGCTGATGCAAAGGGCATCATTGCCTTGACCAGCTCCACCTTTGTGGCTTTGCAGGGTTAAGCCCCTCTCCTGGCTTTTTTCACAGTCTGGCATTGAGTGCCTGCAGCTCTTCCAGGTGCACAGTGCAAGCTGCCAATGGAGCTACCATTCTGGGGTCTGGAGGATGGTGGCCCTCTTCTCTCAGCTCCACTAGGCAGTGCCCCAGTGGGGATTCTATGTAGGGGACTCCAACCCCACATTTCCCTTCCACACTGCCCTAACAGTGGCTCTCCATGAGGGCTCCACCCCTGCAGGAAACTTTTGCCTGGACATCCAGGCATTGCTATTCATTCTCTGAAATCTAGGCGGAGATTCCCAAACCTCAATCCTTGACTTCTATGCATCCACAGACTTATCACCACGTGAAAGCTGCCAAGCCTTGGGGCTTGCACCCTCCAAAGCCACAGCCCGAGCTCTACCTTGGCTTGGCCCCTTTTAACCATGGCTGGGATGCAGGGCACCAAGTACCCAAGCTGCATACAGCAGGGAGGCCCTGGGTCCAGCCCATGAGACCATTCTTCCTCCTAGAACTCCCAGCCTGTGATGGGAGGGGCTGCCGCAAATGTCTCTGACCTGCCCGGTACACATTTTTCTCATTATCTTGGTGATTAACATTCAGCTCCTTGTTACTTAAGCAAATTTCTACAGCAGGCTTGAATTTTTCCCCCAAAAATTTACATTGTCAGGATGCAAATTTTGCAAACTTTTATGCTCTGCCACCTCTTGAATGTTTTGCTGCTTAGAAATTTCTTCTGCCAGATACCCTAAATCATCTCTCTCAAGTTTAAAGACCCACAGATCTGTATGGCAAGGGCAAAATGCTGACAATCTCTTTGACAATCTCTTCCCAAGAAGTTCCTCATCTCCATCTTAGACCATCACAGCCTGGATTTCATTGTCCATATCATTATCAGCATTTTAGTCAAAGACATTTAACATGTCTCTAGGAAGTTCCAAACTATCCTACATTTTCCTGTCTTCTTCTGAGCCTTCCAAACTGTTCCAACCACTGCCTATAACCTAGTTCCAAAGCTACTTCCACATTTGTGGATATCCTTACAGCAGCAGCACCTCACTCCTTGTACCAATTTACTGTGTTAGTCCATTCTCATGCTGCTAATAAAGACATACCCAAGTCTGGGTAATTTATAAAGGAAAGAGGTTTAATTCACTCACAGTTCAGCATAGCTGGGGAGGCCTCAGGAAACTTACATTCACAGCATAAGGGAAAGCAAACACATCCTGCTTCACATGGTAGCAGCAAGAAGAGTCAAAGGGGGAAAAGCCCATAATAAAACCATCAGATCTCATGAGAACTCACTCACTATCACAAGAACAGCAGGATGGGGGTAACTGCCCTCATGATTCCATTACCTTCCACCAGGTCCCTCCCATGACATGTGGGGATTATGGGAACTACAATTCAAGATGAGATTTGGATGGGGATACAGCCAAATCATATCAAGGTTGTCTTTTGGGTGGTTAAGTCTGATTGTGTTCTGTAATCATCCTGAAATTGAATATTGATATAATTCTCTAGGTTTCAACAGTTCTCTTATTATCCTTTAGAATGAACTTTCTACCCCCAATCTCTCTCTACCTTCTCTTTAAGGACAGTACCTCTTAGATTTTTCCTTTTTAGCGTATTTTTCTTAAACTTACAGGCATTCCTTATTCTTTTTTATTCTTTTTTCTTTTGTCTGCTGTGACTGTGTTTTCAAGTAGGCTTTCTTCAAGCTCACTAATTCTTTCTTCTGCTTGATCAATTCTGTTGTTGAAAGAATATTTTTTCAACATTTCAATAGCATTCTTCATCTCCAGAATTTCTACCTGATTCTTTTTAATTATTTCAATCTTTGTTAACTTTATCCAAGAGGATTCTGAATTCCTTCTCTGTGTTATCTTGAATTTCACTGAGCTTCATCAAAACAGTTATTTTGAGTTCTCTATCTGAAAATTCACATATCTTTGTCACTCCAGAATTGGTCACTGGTGCCTTATTTAATTCATTTGTTGAGGTCAAGTTTTCCTGGGAAGTCTTGATGCTGGTGGATGTTTGTCAATGTCTGGGCATTAAAGAGTTAGGTATTTATCGTAGTCTCCACGGTCTTGGCTGCTTTGTATGCATTCTTCTTGGAACTGCTTTCCAAGTATTCAAAGGGCATTGAGTTCTGTAATCTAAATCTTTGGTCACTGCAGCGACATGTGCATTAGGAGGCACCCCAAGTTTAGTAATACTGTGACTTTTGCTAACTCATGGGAGTACTGCTTGGTGGTCTTGTGAAATACCCAGGAGAATTCCCTGGATTACCGTGTAGAGACAGTTGTTCTCTTCCCTTACTTTCCCCAAAACAGGCAGGCTCTCTTTCTCTCTATGCTGAGCTGCCTGGAGCACGGGGAAGGGTGAAACAAGCACCCCTGTGGCTACCACTATTGGGACTGTGCTGGTTCAGACCTAAAGCCAGCACAGCACTGTGCCTTGCCCAAGGCCCATGGTAACCACTGCCTGGCTACCACCTATGTTCACTCAAGGCCCAAGAACTCTTTAGTCAGTATATGGCACATTTCCAGCCTTGTATCTTACTTTAAAGAGAAGTAGTCTCCCAATTGGCCCAGGGCAGGTCTTGGAATGCCATCCAGGAGCCAGGGCCAGGAGGCAGGAACCTTAGCAGTCTACTTGGTGCTCTATTCAATTGCAGCTAAGCTGGTACCCAAGCCACAAGACAAAGTCCTTCCCACTCTTCTCTCTCCTTATCTAACAGGAGTCTCTTCCTGTGGCCACCACTGCACTAGACCCACAGAGATTTCTGCCTGGCTATTGCTGATATTCACTCAAGACCCAAGGCTCTCCCTTCAGCTTGCTGGAATGCTTACAGGCCTAAAACTCACCCTCCAAGGCAGTCAACTTCCCTTTGCCCTGGACTGTGTCCAGAAATGACACCTATGAGCTCAGGCCTGGAAGTGGGGACCCCAGGAGGCTACCTGGTGCTCTATCCCACTGTGGCTGAGCTGGTGCCCAAGCTGCAAGACAAAACCCCCTTTACTCTTCCCTCTCCTTTCCTTTAGCAGAATGACTCTTTCCCTATTGCCACCACAGATGGGAATGCCCTAGATCACACCTAAAGCCAGTATAGCAGTGGATTTCACCCAAGACCTACGGTGAGAACTGCCTGAGGCCACTAATGCTTATTCAAGACCCAAGTACTCTAGTCAGCAGGTGATGAATCCTGCTATGACTGGGTCATTCCCTTTAAGGCAGCAGATTCCCTTCTGGCCCAGAGTGTGTATAGAAATGGGAGCTAGGGCCTGGAATCAGGGCCTCAAGTCTCTGCCTAGTGCTCTATTCTCCTGCGGCTGAGCCAGTATCCAAGTAGTAAGGCAAAGTCCTCTTTTCTCTCCCTTCACCTCTTCTCAAGTAGAAGGAAGACATCTTTCCTGGAGCTGTGGGATACACTGGCTTGTGTTGGGGGAAGAATTGCACAAGCACTCTCTTGGTCACCCCAGCTGGTGTCTCACTAAGTAATATGCACCCCAAGTCCACTTGCCCTCAGCCCAGCACAGTACCAAGGCTTGCCCAGGAATTGCAACTGTTGAGGTATAGAACACCTTTCAAGTTTATTTAGAAACCCAAAGTGCTTTATACCACAGTGGTGAAGCCAGCCAAAACTTCAGAACTCAGATTCTAACTGCTGAAATGGGCAATTCCCCTCTGGTCTACATGCTCCTTCTATGGGACTGGAGGGATCATACAGACCAATAAGCAATAAGAGCATGCAGAACAGAGAGGAATCATCCCTCTTATTCCTTGTGCTGCTTTCTGCTGTAACATGGCAGCATGCAGTTACAATGCAAATTCCCACAATCATTGTGCTCTTCAGTACACACAGATTCTCTCTCCACCAGGCAGCCACAGGGAAAGCATAGGGTAGGAGTTGTGTCAGCAACCCAAGACTGTCTTACCCTCTTCAGTGCCTTTTTCTTTGACATGATATTAAAACCAGATTCCGTAATTGCTCACCTGATTTTTGGTTCTTACAAAGGTGCTTTCTTATGTGAATAGTTATTCAGTTTCATGTTCCTGCTGGGGGAACAATTGGAGGCTTTTTTTTTTTTTTTTTTTTTTTTTTTTTGAGACGGAGTCTCGCTCTGTCGCCCAGGCTGGAGTGCAGTGGCGGGATCTCGGCTCACTGCAAGCTCCGCCTCCCGGGTTCACGCCATTCTCCTGCCTCAGCCTCCCAAGTAGCTGGGACTACAGGCGCCCGCCACTACGCCCGGCTAATTTTTTGTATTTTTAGTAGAGACGGGGTTTCACCGTTTTAGCCGGGATGGTCTCGATCTCCTGACCTCGTGATCCGCCCGCCTCGGCCTCCCAAAGTGCTGGGATTACAGGCGTGAGCCACCGCGCCCGGCCAATTGGAGGCTTTTATTCAGCCATTTTGCTCTTCTTCCACTTGTTAGGTGATTTTTTTATCTCAATCATCTGCAATACTAATGGCAGCTGTGGCCCATCCAGAGTGGCCATTGCCATGACACTAGCTTCAGTGGGGAAGGCTTGGCCAGGGCTCTGTGCTCCACAGAGCTTGCAGGAGCAGTAGAACAGGCAGAAGCCCTGACCCCTTCTGAGTTGGCAGGGTGGGAGCTTCACACTCCTTAGGCTATCCTAGGCTATCTGTGCTCTTAGGGGCTGGGAGCAGCCAGGAGCCCCACCCTCCTGGGTATGGCTGCACCTGTCCAAGCCGCGGCCACTCCCAGGCATCTCCACACTCTTGGAGGCCCAGGAATGCCCCCTGTACCTCCACAGGCTCAGAAATGCCTGCTCCCACTTCCTGGCCTCTCCCTGCTCCTGGCACCCACTCTGATCTGGGAGAAAAGTTGAGGCTGAGCCAGGGCACTGTTGCAACCTGGCTGGGTGTATGCACACTCAGGCCAGTGCTGAGATGCCAGACCCCTGCTTTCTTGGTCCCCTCTGGATATTTGGTGCCAATAAGAATGAGTCAGGCTGGCCAGGTGCAGTGGCTCACGCCTGTCATCCCAGCACTTTGGGAGGCTGAGGTGGGCGGATCACAAGGTCAGGAGATGGAGACCATCCTGGCTAACACAGAGAAACCCCATCTCTACTAAAAATACAAAAAATTAGCCGGGCACGGTGGTGGGTGCCTGTAGTCCTAGCTACTCAGGAGGCTGAAGCAGGAGGATGGTGTGAACCCGGGAGGCAGAGTTTCCAGTGAGCCGAGATTGTGCCACTGCACTCCAGCCTGGGCAACAGAGCAAGACTCTGGCTCAAAAAAAAAAAAAAAAAAAAGAATGAGGCAGGCCAAGGGCAAACAGCCTGGGTGCCATGAATAGCAGCAGGAAGCAGACAGGCTCTTTGGTGGAAAGGGGGAGGTCCCTTGAGAGCCTCATTTTCAAGCTGGGGAAGGCCTGAAGCTTGAGGGCCAGGCTGCTGGCCCTGCAGAGTAGAGCAGGAACTTATGGTGCTTTTTCTGGGCCCAAGCATGGCTGCCTATGGACCATCAGCATGAACTTCCTCCCCTCTGATGCCCATAAAAACCCCAGACTCATCCAGACTCAGGGAGAGTCTCAGGGAGAGACTCAGTCAGACTCAGGGCGAGTCTCAGGGAAAGGTTCAGAGAGATGGCCAGCTCTAGAGGAGCTACCCACCCCCAGTCTCCTCTCTGCTGAGAGCTGAGATGACAGAATGACCAGCTGTGGAGAGGAGCTACCCATTCCAGGGTCTCTTCTCTGCTGAGAACCTGAATGCTCATCAGGACACCCTGGCTACAGAGAGGAGCTACACACTGTGAATCTCCTCTGAGCTGTCTTATCACTCAATAAAGCTCCTGTCCATCTTGCTCACCCCCCACTTGTCTGCATACCCCATTCTTCTTGGGCAAGGGACAAGAATGCAAGACCCACCAAATGGCAGGGCTGAAAGAACTATAACACAAACAGGGCTGAAATGTGCCCCTTCCCTTGCTCACCACACTGTGGGCAACAAGAAGGAGAGAAGAGCTGTGGCCCTTTGGGGAGCCCAGACCTAGCAGCTCCCCAAGCCAGGTCTGTGACACCTTCTTTGGGGTTCTGTGGTTCCTGGCATCTCTAAGCTTCTGTGTCCCACTATGTTCCTTGGTCCCAGCTATGGAAGCTGCTTGTGGGATGTCCGATCCAGCCATAGCCTTGCAGAAAGCTGGCACCCATGCTGGTTTTTGGAGTTGCCCACCCCATCACAGTCAGCATGCCCCACACCCAGTCACTCATACACTTTTCACTGTTCCACTCACTCTTGGCAGGCTTGGGATTCAGATCAGTAGCATAAGCCAGTTGCAGCCTGCCAGGTCAAGTGAGCCCAGTGGGCCCATGCAAAACATGGGCAAAGGTGCTACTAGCCACAGAGGTATGTGGCTGGTGAAGCAACACCCCAAGAATCCTGTAACACTACAAAAAAAGTCTTCAGAAAATTCACAAATATTTACATGCAAGGGGATTAAAAATCTCTCAGGAATAACGGAAATATGAAATCTTGAAATACTATGACACTGTTGTTTATTCCAAAAGTTCTATGTCTGTGACATATGAAAATATAATAAAACCCATAATAGTAATCTCAAAGGACTAGGCTTTAGTAATTAGTAGAGTTAGTAATTAAATATATTGCTAAAATTATATTATTATAAATATAATTTACTTAAACTCCAGTATCACGTCATACATGGACTTCAAAATATGCATTTTCAATGTGATGTTTTAGCTAGATGTCTTCTCTAGTAAATAAAAACATTTTCTAACTGATTAAGAAGATCCTCCAGAAGTAATCTATCCCTATTACACACATTTTTATTATTAAAGTTTTAAATTCAGTGCTTGTAAAATAGAGTTTCATTTATTAATTCACACATTAAACAGATTTAATTCAATTTTTCAATAAATCTTTCTTAACAGCCACTGTGTACCATTTACTATAATAAAGTTGGAGATCTGGTAGGTAAATTGAAAGAAATAGTTCTTTCTCTTAAGAAATTTAGAGTGTATGGATAATAGCTATCATGGAACAAGTAAATTTAAATAAAAGAAATGTTAACAGGTTTTATTAAAGTATATAACAGTGTTATCTAGTCTACTGTGAGGATTATGGAAGCGTATACGTGGTCAGAGGACACAGCCTCATAAACATGTTTGAAAATTTAAAACCATAATTATATAAAAACAACCTAATTTCACATGAATCTATATTAGCATGAATCAGAGAAATTAAACCTTTAGAAAATTATTTTTTAAACTGAAAAAACCCACTATAGTTATCTGAAGCTACTAGAAGGAATATAATGAAATTCATGTAATATTAAAAGAAAAAATGATGGGATTCTGTAGAAATAAGATGTGTGGTTAATTAGATTTTCTGGTTAACTGAGCATTGAGTTTTTACTGCAGTGTCACACTCAAGTTGAGAATTTGTTTTAGTATGATCATGTATTTTAATTGGCTACAAAACTCATTGTTCTGATTATGAACATAATATTTCTGAGGCATGCATTCTAACTACCTTTTGAAACTGAAAGAAAAAAACAATGCAAATATTTTAAATGTAGAAATATTTTAAATTTCATTTTAGACTCACAAATATATTTATTTTTTAAGTAATGTCACCACCTGTTCTTCTGTTATTTCAAATGTTGGCAGTAATTTAAACATTGGGGAGATTTTGCAATAGAGAACTAATCATTCTTATAAATCATTCCAGAGGACGTAGTCTGTCATTTCATAGGAAGATATTATTAAAAGAGAGCTTGATTCAACAATGCAAAGTTCAACAATGAATTTGTTGCTGATGCCTTTAACATGCATTATATTTTGATTTGTTGCTGATAGAAGTGAAGGTGGGGAGTAACACTAGCTGATTCACTGAACTAAATGATAATTGCTTTCCCTTCAGTTAAGAGCAAGTCAGCTGTTTTTCTTCATTAACACTGGATGTGCACATTTCTACAGAAACTCTTCTCTGTTAATGTGTGAAGGGAATGGTAGATTTACTGGTTTGACACATTGGTGGAGAAAACATAGTTAATGTATTAAATGTTTTTCACAAATGTAAAAGGTACCTGACTAAATTTTAGTGATGTTAACATTGTTGGAAAGTCCATTCATTTTTCCTTCCTTCCTTCCTTCCTTCCTTCCTTCCTTCCTTCCTTCCTTCCTTCCTTCTTTCGTCCCTCCCTCCCTCCCGCCCTTCCTCCTCTATCTCTCCCTACTCTCCCCCACCCCACACTTTCCCCATTTCTCTTTCTTTTTGGTAAGAAATTCTGCTGGGTCCCTGTAAATAGATATTATTGAATTTATTTGTGCGTTTTTCTAAAAATGTTTTGAAGTGGCTTAAAAATGGAATATCCTGGTGAAGGAATATGTAGTTAAGATGAACATGGTCACTTTGAATAAATTTGTATCTTGCCCAGTGCTTCCTCTCAGCCTGGGTAAAAAGGAGAAGTAAATTGCATCACTCTTATTAACAAAGAGGAAGAACTGTACAATTATCTGAGGATAAAGGAAATTCTTCCACATACAAATTACAAAGAAAAGTTCTCACATGGTAGTTCATGTAGGTATGATCCAATGCAACAAATAAAATAGCAGCTATGTATATTAAATAAAAGTTTCATAATTATATTTCTTGAAAAATAAAGAAAATTTGTCATTTACTTAGATTCTTATAATGGTCTAGTTTCTAGGGCCACTTTGTAAAGAGTCACTGTACTTGCTTGGGTAGAAACACCCTAATTTTGATTCCATTGATACAGATAGTAAATTCATAGATACAGATTTTATTATTTTTATTATTATTATTTTTTTTGGAGATAGAGCCTCGCTCTGTCACCCAGGCTGGAATGCAGTGGCACCATCTTGGCTCACTGCAACCTCCACCTCCCAGGTTCAAGCAATTCTCCTGCCTCAGCCTCCCAAGTAGCTGGGATTACAGGCACCCGCCACCATGCCTGGCTAATTTTTGTATTTTTAGTAGAAACGGGGTTTCACCATGTTGGTCAGGCTGGTCTCAAACTCCTGACCTCAGGTGATCCACCCGCCTTGACCTCCCAAAGTGAGGGGATTACAGGTGTTAGCCACCGTGCTCAGCCTCATGGATAAAGATTTTAAATTCATGCATATATCAAAAGAACTGTTTTGCTTTACATGGTAGAATTTAAATGCAAGCTTAGTAAATTTGTCTAAGAACACAAATTGTAGTTATATTTCATATACGATTATATATTAGGCTGTGTTCTAGGTCATCTGAAATTACACTATACTTTAGAGATATCTGAGTGTACAGAAATGCCCTTATGTTACAATATAAAACAATGAAAAGAAAAAATGAATACATGAGAAAATGACTTGTAATTTTTGCCCTGACTGTAATTTTTGCATTGACAGTGGATGGCAACTTTAAAAAGTGATCATTTTTTCTTCCACATTGTATGGAAAGAGGCATATTTATGACATGTTACTTATAATGTGTTTCGCCCACCAAAAACACATAAGTGGGACTTGGTACAGGATTTAGAGTGCAGAGGTAGGGAGAATAGAACAATAATTGGATTCTGATTTTTAGGAATGAGGTATTTCTATCAATTTTGTGCTTCACACTCTGTTCTGTAAAAGTTAACATGATATATGAGCACCATATTAAAGAGTATATATAAGTAAAACTTCTAGTAGAATCTTAAAAAAGAAAGGTAAAGTGGCTCAGACTTTTCTTTCTTCTTTTTAATTTTAATAATACGTAAGTAAAAGAGGGTGTTTAAAATCTCAGACTCTGGATCCAGATTTCCCGACTTAACTGAGGCCCTGCTACTTTCTAGTTGGTTACACTGGACAAATTACTTGATTTCTTTTGCCTCCAGTTTTTTTGTCTATCAAGCAAGGATAGTAGTAGTAAGTAAGTTAGAGCATTGCTATGAGGGATAAATAAGTTATTGCAGGTAAAGCACTTAGAAGAGTGCCTGGCATCTAGCAAGTGTGCAATAAATGACAGGTAAAGTGAGACACAGTTTTCCACAGCATTTTCATAGTATTTCATAGTAAAGTATAGTATTTTATGATGATGAATAATATTTTACCAGGTAAACTATAGATTAAAGGCCATGAGAGAAATAATGACAAAAATTTCATGAAAGGTTTTTTATTGGAATGGTACTGGCCAGCTGATACTGGGAAATGTGTGGTGGTGGTATGGGGGTAGTAGCTGTCTTACTGAATGAAGGGGAGAGTGATTGGATACTTGCTACTGTCATTTAGTGAGTAGAGACAGGAGAGGCTAACAGTCCTGCAACGTGCAAGAAAGTACCACAAAATGATAAATTGTTCTGCCCCAAGTGCCAATATCTCCCTAGTGGAGAAATATTACTATAGGAATTAAGGTCTAAAAACAAGTAGAAGGACTTTGTGGCTACAAAGGTATGTTAAAGAAGAAACACATTGATACCTTACATAAACTTTCTGTTTATAGATGTAATTATATCTCAATTATTATGATTGTATTTATGAACCACCTTAATTGCAAGAAAATCGATAAAACATGTTAAGCAAATTAGTTATTTAGTATTCAAAAGGAATGATAGCATTTTAATCTAGCCAAATAAAAGCAGAAATTCAACACTCACACTAACTGATAAATTATCCTTAGTCATAGTTAAAAATTATTTAAGGTTATGAGAGATATGTCCGAAGAAACCGACTGAAGGAACGAACTTCTAACATGAAAATAGTTTAAATGATATGTCACACAAGAACATAGGTAGGCTTTATAAAATTCATTTCAGCTAGTTACTCAAAAATAGTTTTCTTGCACCACCATAGTGAGTCAGGAAAACAAATAGTTGAAGTTTATAGTGGTGACCATGTGTCTGCAGCATGACTTAGTATGTCAACTGGTTTTAAAAATAAAACTGAAAGTCAGTCTTTAAAAAACAAAATAGATAAAAAAATACATTTTTAAACTATTGAGAAACAAAACATTTTTAAGAGGATAACATTTTAAATGTTCTTGTGTATTAGTATGCAGGCTAAAAACATTTTTCCTAAAGAACATGTGTGTTGTGTAAACTGTTTTATAGTTAACATTAATTGGAAGGCTTTTCTCTGATCCTACTAACTACTATTTCCCCTGTTACTGAGACATACAAAACCAGTTGGTGCCTATCTTTAACTTAAAAGCTAAGAAATAAGCATTTCTTAGTTCAATGAATAAGACTGAGTAAATTTAGAGGGAGAAAATATTTGTCATTGTTAAGATGCAAGTTTTTCGATATGTATAAGCTGTTTTTTAAAGTAAGAGTTTGTTTTTCTATAAGATCAACTCTAGAAAAAAAATACAGAGCAGCATTGTCCAACAGAAATACAATATGAGCCACAAATGCAAGCCACACAATTTTAAATTTCAAATTTTAAAATATTCTAGTAGCCATATTAAAATAAGCTAAAGTAAATGGTTGACATTAATTAATTTATTTATTATTTGGTTTAAAAATATATTTCTTATATACCCAAAAGACTATTTCAAAATATAATTGATTTGACCATATCTCAACAGCCATTAACAACAACTTGAGGAGGGTGGAGCCAAGAAGGCCAAATAGGAATAGCTCTGGTCTACAGCTCCCCGCATGAGCGACGCAGAAGACGGGTGACTTCTGCATTTCCATCTGAGGTACCGGGTTCATCTCACTAGGGAGTGCCAGACAGTGGGTGCAGGACAGTGGATGCAGTGCACCATGCATGAGCCAAAGCAGGGCGAGGCATTGCCTCACTCGGGAAGTGCAAGGGGTCAGGGAGTTCTCTTTCCTAGTCAAAGAAAGGGGTGACAGATGGCACCTGGAAAATCGGGTCACTCCCACCCTAATACTGCACTTTTCCAACGGGCTTAAAAAACAGCACACCAGGAGATTATATCCCGTGCATGGCTCGGAGGGTCCTAGGCCCACAGAGTCTCGCTGATTGCTAGCACAGCAGTCTGAGATCAAACTGCAAGGCACCAGCAAGGCTGGGGGAGCGGCGCCTGCCACTGCCCAGGCTTGAGTAGGTAAACAAAGCGGCCAGGAAGCTCAAACTGGGTGGAGCCCACCACAGCTCAAGGAGGCCTGCCTGCCTCTGTAGGCTCCACCTCTGGGGGCAGGGCACAGACAAACAAAAAGACAGCAGTAACCTCTGCAGACTTAAAGGTCCCTCTCTGACAGCTTTGAAGAGAGTAGTGGCTCTCCCAGCACACAGCTGGAGATCTGAGAATGGGCAGACTGCTTCCTCAAGTGGGTCCCTGACCCCCAAGCAGCCTAACTGGGAGGTAACCCTCAGTAGGGGCAGACTGACCCTCAAACGGCCGGGTACTCCTCTGAGACAAAACTTCCAGAGGACTGATCAGGTGGCAGCATTTGTGGTTCATGAAAATCCACTGTTCTATAGCCAACGCTGTTCTGCAGCCAGCGCTGCTGATACCCAGGCAAACAGGGTCTGGAGTGGACCTCTAGCAAACTCCAACAGACCTGCAGCTGAGGCTCCTGTCTGTTAGAAGGAAAACAGAAAGGACATCCACACGAAAACCCCATCTGTACGTCACCATCAACAAAGACCAAAAGTAGATAAAACCACAAAGATGGGGAAAAAACAGAGCAGAAAAAATGGAAACTCTAAAAAGCAAAGTGCCTCTCCTCCTCCAAAGGAACGCCGTTCCTCACCGGCAATGGAACAAAGCTGGATGGAGAATGACTTTGACGAGTTGAGAGAAGAAGGCTTCAGACAATCAAACTACTCCAAGCTACAGGAGGAAATTCAAACCAATGGCGAAGAAGTTAAAAGCTTTGAAAAAAAATTAGATGAATGTATAACTAGAATAACCAATGCAGAGAAGTGCTTAAAGGAGCTGATGGAGCTGAAAGCCAAGGCTTGAGAACTACGTGAAGAATGAAGAAGCCTCAGGAGCCGATGCGATCAACTGGAAGAAAGGGTATCAGTGATGAAAGATGAAATGAAAGAAATGAAGCGAGAAGGGAAGTTTAGAGAAAAAAGAATAAAAAGAAAAGAACAAAGTCTCCAAGAAATATGGGACTATGTGAAAAGACCAAATCTACGTCTGATTGGTGTACCTGAAAGTAACGGGGAGAATGGAACCAAGGTGGAAAACACTCTGCAGGATATTATCCAGGAGAACTTTCCCAATCTAACAAGGCAGGCCAACATTCAGATTCAGGAAATACAGAGAACGCCACAAAGATACTCCTCGAGAAGAGCAACTCCAAGACACATAATTTTCAGATTCACCAAAGTTGAAATGAAGGAAAAAATGTTAAGGGCAGCCAGAGAGAAAGGTCGGGTTACCCACAAAGGGAAGCCCATGAGACTAACAGCGGATCTCTCGGCAAAAACTCTACAAGTCAGAAGAGAGTGGGGGCCAATATTCAACATTCTGAAAGAAAAGAATTTTCAACAAAGAATTTCATATCCACCCAAACTAAGCTTCATAAGTGAAGGAGAAATAAAATACTTTACAGACAAGCAAATGCTGAGAGATTGTCACCACCAGGCCTGCCCTAAAAGAGCTCCTGAAGGAAGCACTAAACATGGAAAGGAACGACTGGTACCAGACACTGCAAAAACATGCCAAATTGTAAAGACCATCAACCCTAGGAAGAAACTGCATCAACTAACAAGCAAAATAACCAGCTAACATCATAATGACAGGATCAAATTCACACATAACAATATTAACTTTAAATGTAAATGGGCAAAATGCTCCAATTAAAAGACACAGACTGGCAAAATGGATAAAGAGTCAAGACCCATCAGTCTGCTGTATTCAGGAAACACATCTCACATGCAGAGACACACATAAGCTCAAAATAAAGGGATGGAGGAAGATCTACCAAGCCAATGGAAAACAAAAAAAGGCAGGGGTTGCAATCCTAGTCTCGGATAAAACAGACTTTAAACCAACAAAGATCAAAAGAGACAAAGAAGGCCATTACATAATGGGAAAGGGATCAATTCAACAAGAAGAGCTAACTATCCTAAATATATATGCACCCAATACAGGAGCACCCAGATTCATAAAGCAAGTCCTGAGTGACCTACAAAGAGACTTAGATAGACTCCCACACAATAATAATGGGAGACTTTAACACCCCACTCTCAACATTAGACAGATCAATGAGACAGAAAGTTAACAAGGATACCCAGGAATTGAACTCAGCTCTGCACCAAGTGGACCTAATAGACATCTACAGAACTCTCCACCCCAAATCAACAGAATATACATCTTTTTCAGCACCACACCACATGTATTCCAAAATTGACCACATAGTTGGAAGTAAAGCACTCCTCAGCAAATGTAAAAAACAGAAATTATAACAAACTGTCTCTCAGACCACAGTGCAATCAAACTAGAACTCAGGATTAAGAAACTCACTCAAAACCACTCAACTACATGGAAACTGAACAACCTGCTCCTGAATGACTACTGGGTACATAATGAAATGAAGGCAGAAATAAAGATGTTCTTTGAAACCAATGAGAACAAAGACACAACATACCAGAATCTCTGGGACACATTTAAAGCAGTGTGTAGAGGGAAGTTTATAGCACTAAATGCCCACAAGAGACAGCAGGAAAGATCCAAAATGGACACCCTAACATCACAATTAAAAGAACTAGAGAAGCAAGAGCAAACACATTCAACAGCTAGCAGAAGTCAAGAAATAACTAAAATCAGAGCAGAACTGAAGGAAATAGAGACACAAAAACCCCTTCAAAAAATTAATGAATCCAGGAGCTGGTTTTTTGAAAGGATCAACAAAATTGATAGACCGCTAGCAAGACTAATAAAGAAGAAAAGAGAGAAGAATCAAATAGACACAATAAAAAATGATAAAGGGGATATCACCACCGATCCCACAGAAATACAAACTACCATCAGAGAATACTACAAACACCTCTACACAAATAAACTAGAAAATCTAGAAGAAATGGATAAATTCCTCGACACATACACCCTTACAAGACCAAACGAGGAAGAAGTTGAATCTCTGAATAGACCAATAACAGGCTGTGAAATTGTGGCAATAATCAATAGCTTACCAACCAAAAAGAGTCCAGGACCAGATGGATTCAGAGCCGAATTCTACCAGAGGTACAAGGAGGAACTGGTACCATTCCTTCTGAAACTATTCCAATCAATACAAAGAGAGGGAATCCTCCCTAACTCATTTTGTGAGGCCAGCATCATCCTGATACCAAAGCCGGGCAGAGACACAACCAAAAAAGAGAATTTTAGACCAATATCCTTGATGAACATTGATGCAAAAATCCTCAATAAAATACTGGCAAACCAAATCCAGCAGCACATCAAAAAGCTTATCCACCATGATCAAGTGGGCTTCATCCCTGGGATGCAAGGCTGGTTCAATATACGCAAATCAATAAATGTAATCCAGCATCTAAAGAGAACCAAAGACAAAAACCACATGATTATCTCAATAGATGCAGAAAAGGCCTTTGACAAAATTCAACAACGCTTCATGCTAAAAACTCTCAATCAATTAGGTATTGATGGGATGTATCTCAAAATAATAAGAGTTATCTATAACAAACCCACAGACAATATCATACTGAATGGGCAAAAACTGGAAGCATTCCCTTTGAAAACTGGCACAAGACAGGGATGCCTCTCTCACCACTCCTATTCAACATAGTGTTGGAAGTTCTGGCCAGGGCAATGAGGCAGGAGAAGGAAATAAAGGGTATTCAATTAGGAAAAGAGGAAGTCAAATTGTCCCTGTTTGCAGATGACATGATTGTGTATCTAGAAAACCCCATTGTCTCAGCCCAAAATCTCCTTAAGCTGATAAGGAACTTCAGCAAAGTCTCAGGATACAAAATCAATGTACAAAAATCACAAGCATTCTCATACACCAATAACAGACAAACAGACGGCCAAATCATGAGTGAACTCCCATTCACAATGGCTTCAAAGAGAATAAAATACCTAGGAAGCTTACAAGGGATGTGAAGGATCTCTTCAAGGAGAACTACAAACCACTGCTCAATGAAATAAAAGAGGATACAAACAAATGGAAGAACATTCCATGCTCATGGGTTGGAAGAATCAATATCGTGAAAATGGCCATACTGCACAAGGTAATTTAAGGATTCGATGCCATCCCCATCAAGCTACCAATGACTTTCTTCACAGAATTGGAAAAAACTACTTTAAAGTTCATATGGACCCAAAAAAGAGCCCACATTGCCAAGTCAATCCTAAGCCAAAAGAACAAAGCTGGAGGCATCACGCTACCTGACTTCAAACTATACTACAAGGCTACAGTCACCAAAACAGCATGGTACTGGTACCAAAACAGAGATATAGATCAATGGAACAGAACAGAGCCCTCAGAAATAATGCCACTTATCTACAACTATCTGATCTTTGACAAACCTGAGAAAAACAAGCAATGGGGAAAGGATTCCCTATTTAATAAATGGTGCTGGGAAAACTGGCTAGCCATATGTGGAAAGCTGAAACTGGATCCCTTCCTTACACCTTATACAAAAATTAACTAAAGATGGATTAAAGACTTACATGTTAGACCTAAAACCATAAAAACCCTAGAAGAAATCCTAGGCAATACCATTCAGGTCATAGGCATGGGCAAGGACTTCATGTCTAAAACACCAAATGCAATGGCAACAAAAGCCAAAGAGCTTCTGCACAGCAAAAGAAACTACCATCAGAGTGAACAAGCAACATACACAATGGGAGAAAATTTTCGCAACCTACTCATCTGACAAAAGGCTAATATCCAGAATCTCCAATGAACTCAAACAAATTTACAAGAAAAAAACAAACAACCCCATCAAAAAGTGGGCGAAGGGTATGAAGAAACACTTCTCAAAAGAAGACATTTATGCAGCCAAAAAACACATGAAAAAATGGTCATCATCACTGGCCATCAGAGAAATGCAAATCAAAGCCACACTGAGATACCATCTTACACCAGTCAGAATGGCGATCATTAAAAAGTCAGGGAACAACAGGTGCTGGAGAGGATGTGGAGAAACAGGGACACTTTTACATTGTTGGTGGGACTGTAAACTAGTTCAACCATTGTGGAAGTCAGTGTGGTGATTCCTCAGGGATCTAGAACTAGAAATATCATTTGACCCAGCCATCCCATTACTGGGTGTATACCCAAAGGATTATAAATCATGCTTCTATAAAGACACATGCACACATATGTTTATTGCGGCACTATTCACAATAGCAAAGACTTGGAACCAACCCAAATGTCCAACAAAGATAGACTGGATTAAGAAAATGTGGCACATATACACCATGGAATACTATGCAGCCATAAAAAATGATGAGTTCATGTTCTTTGTAGGGACATGGATGAAACTGGAAACCATCATTCTCAGCAAACTATCGCAAGGACAAAAAACCAAACACTGCATGTTCTCACTCATAGGTGGGAATTGAACAATGAGAACACATGGACACAGGAAGGGGAACATCACACTCCGGGGACTGTTGTGGGATGGGGGGAGGGGGGAGGGATAGCATTAGGAGATATACCTACTGCTAAATGACGAGTTAATGGGTACAGTACACCAACATGGCACATGTATACATATGTAACAAACCGGCACATTGTGCACATGTACCCTACAACTTAAAGTATAATAAAATAAAAAACATAAAAAAAGAACAACAACAACTTGAACTAAACACATCTCACGTTGCTCATAGGTACATGTGGCTAAGGACTATTGCACTGGACAGCACAGATCTTGAGTGTCTTCTTCATCCCCTTCAGCCTCTACCAACTCTACCTGAACCCTTTGTCTCAGTGTGTTAGTCCAAACTAACATGTGGTTTAACTGTAAAATACACACTGGATTTTGAAGCCTCAGTATAAACAAACAAATGTAAATATAACACTTTTGTATTGATTACCTTTCGCATAATATTTTGGGTATAAGAAATAGATCATTAAAATAATATAATTTAATTAATTTCATCTGTTTCTTTTTCATTTATTTTAATATAGATATCATTTGTCTTTTTTTAACATTCTTATTGCCTCCAGCACAACCTGGTAATAAAAAAGTTAACGAAGAGCCAAATATTTACCAAATACCTCAAAATGCAGCACATTATTTCTGTCTCTGACCTCAAGAAGCCTACGTTAAAATGAAATAAATAAGACATAAATAGGAATAATCATAAGATGTAGAATATGATGAATAAAGTAAGAGTCTTGTTAACATGATGTGATAGGGCTTTTTCGTTGAAAAAAATGATAATATATCTCCCTGGCCTTTAATAACAATTTCCTTTCTATTTATATTGGCTCATCAAATCATTTCTCCTCACTAAATTAATTAGTGCCAATAGGAATTTATCTTACTTCTGAAACAGTTAAAAATTAAATATTTTTTATTTTAATAATCACCTGAAACTAGCAATTGTAAAATACATATTTTATATGATGAAAATTTATAACTTTAAATAAAAGTCAGTACCAGTAATCACTCAGAGAATATTACCAAAGAAGAAAAGTCATTAGAAATAATTTATTCTCAAAGAATTACTATGGCATTATCATTCTTTATCTCCTATTTCTCTAATTAGATGGTAGAAGAAGATTTTCTATTGTTAACAATATCAGGTTCTACAGAAGAATTTAAGCATAAGTAGTTCCTCCTTGTGCCAAGTCTTTATACTCCTTTTTTGCTATTGCTCACAGTAATTCTATTCTGGCCTCTTTTTTGTATATAAAGATTCTTCACAACAAGTGAAGAAAAATGTTGAATGGAGTTACACTGTGCTGTTTCTAAGATTCAATGCTTATCTGTGGGAGGTATATGTGAATGCCTATGTTTTATTCAATAGTTTCTCATTCAAAGACTACAAGAAGTGAACAGATATGTAGGGATAGCATTTGGGGGCTGTCTTAGTCCGTTTACTACTGCTATAACAGAATACGTAAGACTGTTTAATTTATAAGGAACGAAGATTTATTTCTTACAGTTCTGGAGCCTGGAAAATCCAAGGCCAAATGGCTGGCATCTTGCTGACAGCCTTCTTGCTGTGTCATCCCATGGTGACAGAGGGCAAGACAGAAGGTGGAAGACAGAAGGGCAAGAGAGTGTATGAGAGGTGGGTGGGGGAGGGAGCTCATCCTTTTATCAGGAACCCACTCTGGTGATAAGAAACCCACTCTTGCAATAACATCATTAATTTGTTCATGAGGGTAGAGTCCTAATGACCTGTTCACATCTTGATGGACCAACATCTCAACAAAATTGTACTGGGGATTAAGTTTCTAACACATGAACTTTGTGGTGCATTATTAAAACAATAGCACAGAACCAACTTGGGATTAGAATTCCAAACTGTATAACTAACTGTTTTGTTGTACTTAAAGTACAAAAGTCTAGCTTGACCTGTCCTGCTGAAGTTCCCTATAGTATTATTGACACTGAATAAGTAATACTTAGGGTATGTACTCTCAGGTACATACTGAATCTCCCAGATAACCTAGGCAGCAGGCATAAATTGGGAAAAGAGGCCAGGTCATATGCCCACATTTCTGTGGGTAAAAGGTAGGGTTTCCCAAAGTGGGGAGGTGTAGAGATTCAAACAGAGTTTTAAGGAAGAAGGTCCTTTCTAAGAGGAGGAAAGGCCTACCTATAGAGCAGCATGGCTAGCAACTGAGTTGAGTCCCTGAGAAAATTGCTCTGAATGGGGTTTAACCTTCCTGTGGCTTGACATTAGAATAAGGAAACAGTCATATTTAGCAGTTTTAAATGTATAATATTTCCTTTAATTATCTCCAGCTCCTCAGTAAAACTTAACATGCCTTTCCATTCTTTAGTATTGGTAGCATGGGAGTAAAGGAATGAAACAGAAAAGAGAAATGTGGCTGCCTCATGTCCATTTCATCTCCCAAGGCCCATGCAGAGGGAAGGGAGGGCCTTGTATTGAAAGGACTGCCTTGGATTGGCAGTAGGGGTTACGACAGCCACCACGAAGGAAGAGCCAGGCCACAGTCAAGTTAGGAACAACATGGATGTGCATGAGCCATTGGGATGAGCCAAAAATGGTTATAAAACAACCCATTTTTTTCCTCATATATCCAGAGGAGAGTACTTTTGTTAAAGAGAGATAATGGCATAGCATATAGAAGAGAGGCTGGAAAAAAAGCTGCATATTTTTTCTAATTGTTATCCCTAAGGAAGACAAGGAAGTGACCAAGAAGTTGGACTCTGAAGTCAGATAAACCCATGTTTGTATCCCAGATCTACCTCTAAATAGCTGTGTGAACTGAGGCAAGCATTGTCCCTTAGCTTTCCAAAAATAAATTGATATTAATATTAGTATCTATTTTGTAGTATTGTAAGAAATAAATTACACAATGCATATAAAGTTTTTAGTAAAATGCCTGTCAGAGAGTCAAATTTTCAATATTATCTGATTTTATAATTGTTCTTATTTTAATCTTTATATTTTCATGTTTATTTACCATTTATTACTTTAATAATCAGAAAACAATTTAGTATAACACTCTGAATAAGGACATTTCTGTGCTGTGGAACAAAACCACACTGGTCATAAAGAAGATGCTCTGAAATTTTAAAGTAAAATGTTGATACTGTCAGGTCAAGTTTACGGTATGCAATAATTCTCCAGTCAAGTTTCAAATCACTTTCAAAATATATTTCTTTAATTTTTAATTATTATATATTATATATTATTATAAATATATTTATTTACTTTCTTTAATTTTTAATTATTCAATAATCACTCACCCTAAGACAACTTGATACATATACTTAGCAGTCATTTTTAGAGAGGTATTAGCTGCAGCATGTAAATAAAAGCTAAGAAAACACCACGGATATATCTAGGGAACATGGGAACTGCCAAGATTTAATAACCAAGAAAGAGACTAGAAGCTTCACACAGTTTGGAAAACAAAAGGAAGCACAATATGTTGGAAGTGAAAAGAAACAAATTTCAAGAGATAAAAGATAATCAGTGCCAAGTGCTACACAGAGAACAAGGAGAACTGATTATTAAACTGAATTTGGCAGAATGCCAAATTAAAAGACTTGTGGAAATATCAATTTCACGCTATTTTTCCAAATACTTTGAAAAACAGCGAACAGATAGTGAAAGAGTAAATCAAACTCAGATGAGTAAGGAGAAAAATATTTTTTCCTAAGAAAAGTTGTTCAGTTTGGAGGCAGAAGGAAAATTTGTAGATACATTTATTGGCACTAAGACTTTAAGGACTTTTAAGTGTTTATAATTCCTGGAGGGTTGTATAATCATTGAACTCTACAAAACTGACCCAACATCCCAAAGTAATAAGTCTTGGAAAAAATCCAGGTAGGAAAAATAGCAAACCTATGTTTGTCATCCTCTGTTTGGTGTGGGCATATCTCCATGGGCTGAGTATAACAGCTCCCAAATCACAAACTAAAGCCATCGGTATCATTTATAGATTTACAATTTCTGACAAGGCTGTGCAGACCTATAGGTCCCTTCATTTCCTTTCTAATTTCCCTGTTCTGGAAAAGGGAGTGGCTCCTCCTGACAGTCTTTCTCTTCATTAAACTGGAATTAGAGGGAAACTAACTATACAAATCATTGCTCCTCTGAGCTGGATCTTTCATCTTTGACTCCTGTAAGGTCCCCCAAATATGCAAAGTTTCAAAAAAGGGTTAAGGAAATCTCTCATTTTACCCCTCTCTCCATGCCAGGCCTAATGCCAATGTTTTTTTATAGAAATATCCTTAGAGTCATCATCATCTTACATGTTTATTGCACCTTAGTATCCGTGTTTTAGAAGACGAAAACCCAGAAAGAGTGAATGAATTGCCCAAGTAAATTAGCTAGAGAATGTCAAAGCTCTTTATTGAAACTATTTCCTAATTACTAGACCCAGGCTTTTCCAAGTGAATCATATTGTCTCTAATCTTTAAAAAGACCAAGTCTTAGCAGTAAAAAGCAACAAACTGTGGGATGTTTTATTGAAGAAATGAGCCTTCCTTTTACCTCTGAACTATTTCTAGCAGGCATATTCTTTCCAGTTACATGTAAAATCTTTCTGTTTTAACTGATCATTAACAATTATAAAGGGATTTAAATGCAAACTATTTTTAAGTAATGTTTCCACTCACATAAATAGAAATGACTTAGAATAAATGTGACTTTTCATGACAAAACATATATTGCACAACTTTTACTCTATATTGAATGACAGGACTTGAAAAGGAGGCCAAATTTAGTCTGGTGTAACTCTTTTTCTGGATAAATTTCAGAGATTTAGTTACTCTGCCTAGAAATTGGTATGTTTGAATAAGAGAAATTGAACTAGTCTTTGATTTAAAAAAACATTTTAATGTTCTTTCCGTTTTCAATTTTGGAACTAACAGATGTTGCAAAGAGCCAAATTCTGAAAAATTAAATTTTTGTCTTTAAAATAAAGTTTACTATGAAAATTTAATTCCCAAAATAAAGTCTTTATGAAATTAGAAGAAACCCTTGGACAAAATGTGATTAGCCTACTGAATTGACATTCTACTCTTTGGTTATTTTCAAAATTCCTTTTCCATATGACTTCAAAAATTGTATTTATGGCTGTCCTAAATCCATGATTCTCTGCAGCATTAGCAAAGATTTTCTCACGTGTTCATTCCATGCCCTCTTCATTACTCAGCAATACAGAGTCTTTACTCTTTCTATAGCATCACAACAGGTCACCTTTCTAAACCGATTCCTTTCTAAATTCTCCGGAGACTCTCAGTTTTCTCCAGTAGCTACTCTTCATTATCCTCTGCCCTGTTTTCAGTGGCCACTCTTCCCTCTCAACCCTATCTTTCTTGAAAGACTTCTAAGAATATCATGGTGATGACTCATCTAAAACTTCAAGTGAGTAAATTCAAGGGCTCCACTCTTCTCATTTCTCAAAGATATACACATAAAAATTAGGGAAGCCTCTCTACCTAATGTACAATTTGGCATATGGTCCAAGTTTTACAGACTGTTTTATTGCCACTGAAAAAATCAGCATTATTTTACAAACCAATTATTTACTTTTGAGAAATTGAGTCCTTTTTGTAAGCTGGAGATACAGTGAATCACATTTGTAACAACAAATATCCAAAATTAAACACAAGTTTCATGCAGATAAATTGAAAGCAGCGTTACAGGTCGCGTGTTTGCAACCTCCAAGCCTCATGTTGAATCTTGATCTCCAATGTTGGAAGTGGGGCCTAAGGGGAGGTGTTTGGGTCATAGCAGTTGATCCTTCATGAATAAATTAATGCCCTGGAGGGTGTAGGGAGTGAGTTCCCATTAGATTCATTCCCATAAGGGTTCCCCTAATAGCTGGTTTTTGAAAGGAGCCTGGCATCTTCACTTTCTTTCTTGCTTTCTCTCTTGCCATGTAATCTCTTCAAATGCTGGCTTCCCTTTCACCATGAATGAAAGCAGCTTGAGGCCCTCATCAGAAGCAGAATCTGGGGCCATGCTCCTTGAACAGCCTGCAGAACCATGAGAAAATAAACCTCTTTTCTTTATAAATTACCCAGCCTCAGCTATTCCTTCGTAGCAACAGAAAAACACTCAGATAAATGTGTTAGTTAAGATAAATGACCAATTAATTGTCTGTAACCCATGTGCAGCCTGTAAAATATTGAAATCATTAAGAGAATGGTATTTTTTAATGAAATCATAACCATACAGTTCAGATTTATGGTGGGTATATAAACAAAATTTGTTTCAACTTTCTTCTAAAGTTACCAAAATACCTGCGCCATTTGGTAGATGACCAAAAACAGTCATTTTATAGATTGCAATAGATTTTTTTAAACAAGAGCTTCTATAAAAAGACTTATCAAAAATCAAAAATCTGTCTCATCATTATCTCAGGTTTTGCATTTTTGAAAAGCATATTTTATAGACATTAGTGTGTCTGTCACTTGTGCCATCAGGTTATTGATGATGTGATATATCCAATTAGTCATTTTTAGCAGATAGCTAATAATTGTTGCAAGCACCCTATTGGGTATGTATGGATTGAGTTGTAGATGTACGAGATTCCTCAAAGACTATTTTATTGTAAAATTAGTATCAGGGAAACATGGGTAGTTAAGTTTCAAGACAGAGGCCAATTTGGAATACTTCTTTCTGATCCAGATTATTTTCAGGCTATAAATCAAGAAAATACATGAAACAATTACCATCTAATAAAAAGTCAGCAGTTCTCAATGCATTTATATTACTTGATTTATGTACAACCATTCATTGAAAAAAAATAACTAAATGACCATATGCCAAGCCCTAGGGATCCAAAAATAAATAAGGTTATTCCTAGGTACAAAGATCACACCATAGAAAATTTCTTCTTAAATATTTACTTATCTGCTGGGACACATAATTGACGGACGGCACACATGGGATGTGCTCTTGTACAGCTGTACAGGTAAGATAGTCTGGGAATTATGGATAATCTTGGGCCAGAAGCTGTAATTTTTTCCTTCTTTACAATTTACAAATTCATGTGGGAATGCAAGTGACTGAAAGTGTTATTATATGAATAATCTTAAATCTACTCTAATTTATCTATTCACAAATGTCAACACCATAATTATCAACAGCAATGTTCTTCACATATACTTCAAGAAGTGAAATACTACAAGAGCTGATACAGTATGACTTAAACAGGAGGCAGCAGACAAAAAGCTGTAAGTTACCTTTTTTTCTCAGTGTTCTTTTGACAGACATCAAAACCAGTAAGGGAATCTAATCTTCACATGTCATTCATTCAAAAGACCGTGAGTCCCCACAATTGCTAATATTCTATCCACATATCTTAAGAGCAAAGTATTAAAATTGCCTTTTGGGTTCCACAGAAGACATCAGTTAACTGATTAATCATACTGCTTCTTTAGTTTTCTTTATTTAAAAAGGTCAGTAATTATAATTCACCAATTAGAAATAAATTAATCCAACAAAGGATTTACAATTATTAGTTATAAATAAATCTAAGCTAATACACTACCTATTAAAAAAGAGCATAAATTTTAATAACCCACCCATAAGTATTCTAATGTAATTCAAATGGCACATATTTGAAGGGTTACAGCCCACATGCAAAAGTGGTAAAGGAAAATAACGTCACTAATGGTTTGATGGATACATGGAATATCCATTTGAAGGTTTAAATGGCAGTATTTTGCAAATGGAATGCATTAGTGCTTAAGCACTAATATCACTGAATAAATCAAAGTTTGTAACAGTAATACAAACCTGGGGAACTCTTTTTGCATACATATAATCCGAGTGATTCTGTGTAGACAAGGTGGCATTATATACCTTTTCTGCTTGAAACATGCTGCTGGCTAAATGAAACAAAATGTATGACAGCATTTCCTACTTTACCTAAACTGAAACACATGCAATAGCTGTGTAGCTCCTAACTAATAAAGAAAGAAATAAAAACATCAAGGAACATTTTAGTTTAGTACTTTTAAATTTTGATTCAATGAATCAGAGTTGTAGTAAATTATTCCTTTTTTTCCTTAATCTGCTTACATTGGAATTAGGGATGTTTAGTGTTCTCTTGTCAATAGACATATATTTAAAATATGTTACATCCAAAGACACTGCTTTTATATTACCAAATAATCAGTGACCCTTTTTATAAATTGCTTAAATATTCTTACTTAAATTTTACTTTCAACCAACAGAAGAGTTAATACTGAATTTTCTCTACTATAAGAAGCAAAAAATTATAAAACTGGAAAAAACATAGGAAGTCAAGCACTGTTGTTTCAAATAACAAACAGCATAGGATTATTACACTTGAAAGAAGAAAAACATAAAAACAGCAATCGCTTGATTGTTCCTTGATCACCCTGACCTTCTGCCTCGGGGTACTTTTCTGCTAAGAAGCAAGGAAGTGAAGCCCGAGCTCAGCACAGGCATTGATAAGATGAGGTATCCAAGATAGGAGTTCCAGTTTTGCCGAGGTGAATGGAATTGACAGACAAGTCTATTTAAGAAAACAAGAGTGCATGTCCCATAACACTTCATGGAGTAATCACTGTGGGTGCTTTTCTGAAGGAAGGGTGCATATACACAAATAAAACTAGAGATACCAGAGATCAAGCAGTTCTGGAAGATATCAACATTCCAGTCTACCTGTAGTTGAGAGACTTCACTGAGCATCTCAGGCATTCAGTTGAGACCAGTGAATGCCAACCTTTAGGAAAGAATCATGTCCTAGAGTAAGGATCTCCACTAGGACTAAATTTGAAACAGTAATAGATCCATCCTATCAAAGAATAAGAACAAGCCAGACAACCAGAAAAAAAACAAGCTGCTAGTGGTTTCACTGCCTACAAGAACAAATTTTAAAAAGAATAGCACAATTCATATTCTCTGCAATCTTTCATCAACAATGTCCAACAAACCCTCAAAAATTACAAAAAATACTAAGAAACCAAAAAAACATGTGACTCACATTCAAGAGAAAAGAAGGAAATTAAAAATAATCATGAGATGAGTCAGATATTGTAGTTTGCAGACAAAAGCTTTAACGTAGCTATTTAAATATGTTTAAGAACTTAAGAAAAAATATAATCATAATGAATGAACAGATGGGACATTTCAACAAGAACATAAAACTGTATAATAAATTTCAAATTCTAGAATTTTTCCAGTACAATATCTGAAACGAAAAATTTAGGGCCGGGTGCAGTGGCTCATGTCTGTCATCCTAGCCCTTCGGGAGGCCAAGGTGGGCAGATGACCTGAGGTCAGGAGTTCAAGTTCAGCCTGGCCAACATGGTGAAACCCTATCTCTACTAAAAATACAAAAAATAGCCTGGCGTGGTGGCACGTGCCTGTAATCCCACCTACTCGGGAGGCTGAGGCAGGAGAAACACTTGAACTCAGGACTCAAAGGTTGCAGTGAGCTGAGATGGCGCCATTGCACTCCAGCCTAGGTGACAGGTGGAGACTTCATCTCAAGAAAAAAAAAAAAAAATTACTCTATAAGCCTAACAGCAGATGGAAAGTGACAAAAGAAAAAAATAAATGAACTTAAAAAGATGGCTCAATAGAAATTATCCAACTTGTAAAACAGTGAGACAATGATTGAAAATAAATGATAAGAGTTTCAGTCACTGAGGGCACAATATAAAGTAGTCTATTTTAAGGAAACTTGGGGTTTATGAGAGAAGGAAAAGAGTATAAAAGGCAGAAATATTTGGAAGAAAAAAATGGCTCAAACCTTCTAAAATGCAGTAAAAACATAAACTTGTGAATCAAGTAGATCAAGTAGCTCAGCAAGCCTCAAGCAGGGTAATCAAAGAACATCATACTTAAGTGCAACAGAATTAAACTATTAAGGTTAAATACAAACAAAAATCCTTCAAAGCAAACATACAAATAAGTACACATTACACATAGATAAACATAAGTGATGGCTGATTAAATGTAAAAATATAATCCAAACCACAATAAAATATATATTAATTGTGTTGAAATAAAATGTGCCCAACCTAGAATTTTATGTGCAGCAAAAATTGTCTTTAAAAAAGGAGTTCGAGTAAGGACAGCTTCAGATGAATAAATAAAGACATTTGAGATAAAACTGAGGTAATTTGTTGCTAGCTGACCTGCACTGAGAGAAATTTTAACGTTTGTTCTGGCTGAAAGGAAATGATGCTAGATACTAACCTGAATTTATAGGAATAAAAAAATCAGAAATGATAAATATGTTAATAAAAATAAAAGAGTATATACATACATACATACATATTTAATTTCTTTTACAAGACATAACAGACACATACGTATATACCACTATATTGTAAAGTTTATAGTGTATGTAGATATAACATATGTGATAAAAATAGCACAGAGTTTAGATTGCATATGAAACTATACTGTTGTTAAGATTCTTATAGCTTACCTGAAGTAATACAAGATTAACTTTCAATTAGACTGTGACAAATTGAGAATATTACAATCCCTAGAGGGAACACTAAATATATATTTTATATATATAAATTTATATTTAAAAATATATATGTTTAGTTATATTTTAGCTGTCTCTTTATGTTTATAATATAACTATATACATTATATCTTTGTAATATAAATATATATTATATATACAATATAATAAATTGTAATATAAATATAACTAAATATACATTAATATTAATATAAATATAACTAAACATAAATATATGATATATTTATATTATATATGTTATATATTATATATGTTATATGTTATATATTACATATGTTATATAGTTATAATATATATTAGTTATATTTATATTATAAATATATTACATATTTATATTTATATTACAAATATATTATATATTTAGTTATATTCCTATTATAAATATATATAATATAAAGAGGCATAGCTAAAGTAAATGAAATAAATATGGAGTACTCAAGAAAAAGCATTTAACTCAACAGAATACACAGTAGGAGGAACAGAGGAAAAATTAGTGAGTGGGAGAAACAAAGAAAGAAAGAGAGAGAGCAAATGGTAAACCCAATAAAGTTAATAAATGTTTTACATGTAAGTGGATTAAACACTTCAATTAAAAGACAGATTTCTACACTGGATCAAATAACAAAACCTAAGTATATGCTGTGCAATATAGATGTGTATTAAATATAATACTGGGTATAGGTTGAAAGTAAAAGTGTGGAAAATTATATACCATGTGAACAGCAAGTATAAGAAAGCTGGAGTTGACATATTAATATCAAATAAACGACACTTTACTGCAAGGAGTTTCTGCAAAGATAAAATGAGATATAAGAATAATGAGGTAAATTCATAAGATGCAGCAGTCATGAATATATACATGAATATATACATGATTAATGCAGTTTCCAAATACATATGACAAACAAATTAAAAGAATATGAAAGACTAATAGATAAATTCACAAATATGGACACTTTAATGCCCTCTTTCACTGATTCATCAAATAAACAAAACATTAATAATGATATAGAATATCTGAACATTACCTTGCTATAAATGACATGTGTAGCACATTAAATATAACTGTAAATACTTATTTTTTCATGTGTCCATGCAACATTCATCAAGATAAACTATTTGCTGTAACACAAGATACTCCCAATCAATTTTAAAGATTGAAATTTTACTTGATTTGTTCTCTGACAACCAAGTTAAAGTAGAAATCAATAAAAGTACAATAGACAGAAGAAGTCAAAATATTTGCAAATTAAACAAAGCCTTTGTAACTAACACATGTACTATGGTTTGAATGTTTGTGTTCTGTCTAGAATATTAAAGCTTAACTCCCAATTCAACAGTATTAAGAAGTAGTGCCCCTAGGAGGTGATTAAATCACGAGGGTGAAGCCCTCATGAGTGGGATTGTGACCGTTTTTAAAAAGCTGCAGGGAACTAGCTAGGACCCATTTACCCTTCCATCCCTTTCACCATGTGAAGACAGAGTTTGTCACTTCCAGGTGACACAGCAACAAGGCGCCATTTGGGAAGCAGAGACTGAACCCTCACTAGACACTGATCCTGCCAGCAACCTGATCTTAGACTTTCCAGGCTTCAGTATTATAAGAAATACATTTCTGTTGTTTATAAATTACCCAGTTTGTGCTATTTTGTTATAACAGCAGAAACAGACTAAGAAACATGGATCAAATATTATTTCTAACATAAAGATAATGAAAATACAACGTATCAAGACTTGAGTGATGCTGCCAAACTAGTGCTTAGAGGAAATATACAGCTTTAAATATTTATATTAGAAAAGAGGAAAGGTCTGAAGTGAATACTCTAGGCTTACATCTTAAGAAGCAAAAAAAAAAAAAAAAAAAAAAAAAAAGTAAAGAAAGTCCAAATTAAGTACAAGATGAAATTATGATGGTAAGAACAGAAATCAATGTAAGAGAAACCTGAGAAAAATAGAGAAAATCAACAAGGCTAGAAGTTGACTCTTTAAATAGAACAATAAAATCGATAATGTACTAGAAAAACTAAAGACATATGGAAGAAATGAAAATTATCATTATCAAGAATTTAAATATGATATCACTATGGATTCTATTAAAAGTAATAAGGACATATTTCCATCTACTTTAGCCAATACATTAGACAACCATCAGGAAAGAACTTTGAAAAATATAATTTACTAAAAATCCCTGTATTTGTAAAGCAGTGATTCTTAAAATATTATTGCTGGATTAGCAGCAGCAGCATCACCTGAGAATATGGCAGAAAGACAAATTCTCAGGCCTTAACCCAGATCTACTGAATCAGAAACTTTAGGAGCAAAGCTTGTTGATCTGTGTTGTATTGAGCTCTAAAGCTGATAAAGTTGGAAAACCACTGTATTGAATAAATTATTTTTTAAAATCTTCCCACAAAGTAAAATCCAGGCCAAAAAAGACTTTAGCAAACATTGAAGAAAGAAAAAAAAAAAAGAAAGAAATAATACCTATTTTATACCAACTTTTTCAGGTAATAAAGAAAAAACGTTCCAAATTTGCTTAGTGAGTCATCATAACCTTAATACTAAAACCTAAAAAAGTGTACAGAACAATATCCCTTATGAGTATGGGTATAATTGCAAAAATTATAACAAATTGCTAAAATCTCAGCAACTTAAAACAACACAGATTGAATATTATCTTACAGTTCTGGAGTTCAGAAATTCAAAGTGGGTTTTCAGCAGAATTGCATTCTTTTTAGAAGCTGCAAAGGAGAATTCATTTTCTTCTATTTTGTAGCTTCTAGAGGCTGTTTTCCTTGAATTGTGGCACCCTACATCACACCAATTTCTGTATCCTTGGTCACGTCTCCTCTCTGAATTTGATCCTCCTACCTCCCTCTTATAAGGGCCCTGTGTTTATACTGGGTCCACTTAGATGATCCAGAATAATCTCCCTATCTCAAAATTCGTAATGGAATCAATCACATATGCAAAGTCCCTTTTACCATGTAAAGTTTTACAGGTTTTGAAGATTAGGATGTGGCCATCCTTGGAGTTTTATTCTGCCTACTCCAATAAATCAAAAGTTTATACATTATGACCAAATGAGGTTTATCTCAGTATTAAAATTAAAATTTGAAAATCAATATAATTCACTTTATTAATAGAATAAAGGAAAAAAACATGAATACCTCAATGCATAAGAAAATAATATTTGATAAAAGTTAAAACCCATTCATGATTTTAAAGAGCCCTCTCAGCACACTAAGAAGAGAGGGAAAAAAATTCCTCAATCTAATAAAAAGGTATGTGTGAAAAACCTACAATTAGCATCATACTTACTGGGGAAATGCTGAATTCTTCTTCTAAAATGGTAACATGGTAAGGACATGTGTATTTAATACTTCTACTAAACATTGTACTGGATGTTCAGCCCGGGGTCAAAAGGCAAGTAGAAATAAAACACATAAAAATATTCAAAAATTGTGCCTTATGCATAAAATAATAATAAATAAATTACGAGAACTACTAACTCAATTTATCAAATTCAAGAATAAATGGTTAATATATAAAATCAATTGTATATCTATATACTAGCAGCAGACAGTGAAAAATAACATTTAAAAATAATAGGTTTACAATAACGGGAGAAACATAAAACTCCGGTGGATAATTTATCAAAAATATCTACACAGCTTCAACTGTAAAAAATAGATAATATTTCTGAATGCTCTTAAAGAATAGTTAAACAAATGATCTATGCTCATGTTTTGGAAGAATTATAATGCATATTCCTCCCAAATAAACTGATAGGTTCAACCTAATCTCACTCAAAATTTCAGGAGGCTTTCTTTGTAGAAATTAACAAGTTGACCCTAAAATGTATTTGAAAATGCAAAGGACCTACAATGTCCAAAGGATTTTTGAGAAGAAAAATATTTATAGCTACCTGATTTTAAAACTCCCTGTAAAGCTTCAGTGGTGCATACAATGTGGTATTAGCATGAGGACAGGAAGATCGATTGGACAGAATAATACATCCGGAAATATATCCATCCATATTCAGTCACCTGATTTTCAACAAAGGCATAAAGGCAATTCAATGGGGAAAAGAAAATCTTTTCAACAAATAATGCTGGAATAATAAAATATCTATTTGAAAAAAATTCTACCTCAAAACTTTGAAAAAAAATGTACAAGAATCATAAAAATAAACATAAAAAGTAAAAGTATAAAGCTTTTCAAAGAAAACACTGAAGAATGTCCTTGCTGTCTTAAGGTAGAAAAGAAACAAAAAACAATACAGTCTCAGTCAATTTAGGCTACTATAACAAAATACCATAAACTGGGTAGCTTATAAACAACAGAAATTTGTTTCTCTTGGTAAAATTTTAAGTCTAACAATACCAAATGTTGGCAAGAATGTGGAGCAACATAAACTCATACTTTGTTAGTAGGAGTACACAATAATACAATCCCTTAGAAAAAATATTTTCAGTTTTTTTATTTTTATCTTATTTTTGTATTTTATAGAGATGGGGTCTCACTGCGTTGCCCAGGTTGGTCTGAGACTCCTATCCTCAAGTGAACTTCTTGTATTGGCCTCCCAAATGTTGGGATAAGAGGGATAAGCCACCATGCCCAGCTTATTGTCATACTATTTTTTACACTGTCCATTGCATACATACCCTGTGACCTAGCAATTCCAGTTATAAGTATTTACCTAAGAAAAATAAAAACATAAGTAAAATAGGTGTATAGTTTTAAACGTAAAATAGGTGTACAGACTTATAGGAGAATGTACTTGTACTGAAAATAGATCCAAATTGCAAAAACAAGCCAAATCTACAAAAGAAAAGATAAATTTTGTTATATTCATACAATGATACAACAGATTTTTATGAGAGAAAAAAAGGAACTGATATTTGAGCACATAGTACATGTATAAATCTCTAAGATTTAGGCTGAGTGAAAGAAATCAGATGCAAAAGAGGAGATACGATGGGGTTTATAAAGTTATAAAACAGGCAAGACTGAACTATGATTTAAAAAATCAGAAAAGTGTTTCTCGGTGGAGTAGGAAGGGGCACAAGAGATGTAACTCAGGTGATGGAAATGTACTATTTGTATATCTATCTATCTATATATCTATCATCTATCTATATATTGATATCCATCTATCTATCATCTATCTACCTGTCTATCTGCTGTCTTGCAACAGAGTCTTGCTCTGTTGCCCAGACTGGAGTGCAGTGGCACAATCTTGGCTCACTGCAACCTCTGCCTCATGGGTTCCAGCGATTCTCATGCTTCAGCCTCCTAAGTAGCCGGGACTACAGGCACGCACCACCACGCCCTGCTAATTTTTGTATTTTTAGTAGAGATGAGGTTTTGCCATGTTGGCCAGGCTTGTCTCAAACTCCTGGCCTCAAGCGATCCACCTGCCTCGGCCTCCCAAAATGCTGGGATTACAGGCGTGAGCAACCGCACCCGGCCAGGATATGTACTATATTTTGATATTAGATGGGTTACACAGATATGTGCATTTACCATGCAATTAATTACGTAAGAATTTGTGAATTTCCATGAACTTAAAAAATATGTAAATATAGTAAACTGTAGATAGTAAGTTTACTTTTTGCAGTTTTGTGGGTTAGCAATTCTGGAAGTATTTTTTATGTATTCTAGGCTTGAATAAGTGAAAACATTGATGATAATGTGGGCCAGGTTTCTCATTGCTTGAGAAGGGAGTTACAGATATGAAAACTGGGCCGACTAGAATTTACTCTGTGTGGTTGAAATGAGGTAGGAAATGTCAATATCAATCCATATATTTATGTATTATGTATGTGTGTATATATGTATGTATATATCTATCTACTCATGAAGAGAGAAAAAAATAGATATGTGTGTGCACACATTCACATCCACACAGAAATATGGTTATGTCCACTGAGTAGTTCTAAGAGCAAAGACACGGCAGTTAAAACAAACATGCATAGTTCATAGATCTTGGTTTATTTCACTAATGGGGCCTGAAAGCAATGACACACCAGTATCAATTAGCACAGATAATGCCCAAACCTTCGTTTCAAAGAACCATTATCTTTAAACATGAAGCAGGTCTCCTTTGGCAAAATAGCTGATTTCAAGGCTAGAATTGGAAAAGTAGAAGATGAGCCTGCAACATATCTTAAGTCTAACAGTGATGCAACCCTATCAAAAGGACATAGAGAAGCAGCTTGAATGTGCGCCCATTTGCCAAATCTGGAATAATTTGAGTATGAAAACAAATAATTATAGCCATGGACTATGTTATCCATTGAATAAATAAGAGTCCATGATACCATGAAGTTAAATAAATAAATAAATAGAGGAAGGAGAAGGAAAATTTATTCTATAGAGTAGAATGGCAACTAGTAAATGTAGAAGGAATTAAAGAGTTAGAAGAAGGATTAATAGATACTATAATAGTAAGTAAAAGTTTGATGAGTAATATGATATTTATAGAGTCTCAAAATTTCTACTTCCATATTACATTTTAAAGATCTTAATCAAATTACCAAAGTTAACATTACTAATACTGGAATAAACTGGCATCATGTGCTTCCAGATGGAGTACATTGAGGGAGGCAGAATATCACATCTGTGGGATTCTTGACAAAAATTCATAATCAGAATCTAATCATAGAGAAACTCAGATAAACCCAAATTGAGGAAAATTCTTGCCAGAACTTTTCAAAATGTCAGTCAAGAAAGACAAAGAAAGCCTCCAATAACAGTATTTAAGAGTCATAACAACTAAATGTGATGCTTGATCCTGGATTGGATCCTGGACCAGGGCATTAAATAAACTGACATGACAAAATTTGAATATGAAATGTGGATTAGATAATACTAGGATATCAATACATAATGGCTTATTTAAAATGTATACTGTGACTATGTAAGAATATTCTTCTTAGGAAATTATACTTATGTATTTAATAGTAAAAGGGCACTATGTCTTCAATTTACTTGTAAGTATTCCAGGAAAAGATATAACAATATTAAGGGATGTGTATGTATGTGGCGGCAGTGGGGGGGTTATGTAGAGAGAGACAGAATTCTAAAAATAATACAAGTTGACCAAAATATAATTGAATATTGAGTTTGGTAAGAATGTTTAGAATTTTAATGATTATTTTTGCAATTTCAAACTGGCTTGAAATTATGTAAAGAAAACATTGCAGATCAGGCATAGTGGTTCATGTCTCTAATCCCAACACTTTGGGAGGCTGATGAGGGAGGATCACTTGAGTCCAGGAGCTCAAGACTCCTCCTGAGAGGAGAGTCTTTATAGAGAGACCTCATCTCTATAAAAAATACAAAAATTAGCCAGGTGTGGTGGCATGTGCCTGTACTCTCAGATACTTGGGACACTGATGTAGGAGGATCACTTGAGTCTAGGAGTTCAGAGTCATGCTGTGCTGTGACCACACCACTCTACTCCAGTTTGGGTGACAGAGTGAGACCCTGTCTCAATAAATAAATTAATTAATTAAAAAGAAAAATCCCTATTTCGTGAAAGAACTGTGCCTAAGAAAAATTTTGTACGTGACAAAAAAAAATTTGGTAAACATACAAGGTATTTGAATAGATAACTGAAGGAATTTCTGAACAGAGAGACAGAATATAGTAGCAGATTACTTGACAAAAAATGTCAAGGAAAATAAATCCATAAAAATACAATTCAAAGTCAACAGGAATAAATTTCAGATTCAAATTATAGTCAGTGCAATAAGAATTTAAATAAATATACAAGTAAAAATTTCTATGATTTCAACTTTGATAAATTTTTATTTTAGAAGTGAAATTTTGGAGAAACATCAATTATTTTCCTCAACCAAATTTTGCTAACACCAGCTAAGATTTAAATTCTTGTTAATTTTATTCACAACCCTTAGAAAGATGGACACTGATCAATGAAACAATTGCTAATCCCAGACACGGATTAAGTTTTATCTAACTGGGCAGTACATAGGTCCAATTTAGAGTGAACAATAAACTTATATTTGCCTCCATTATACACAGAAGCCCAATTTTATCGAAATTTCAATAGAGAAAATATGATTGAATATGGTTGTAAATACTTCAGCCATTGAGTCCCCTTAATTACTATTCAAAAATTAACTTGATAACAATATTGTTTCTGAGGGTAAAACTTCACAGCGAAATCTATTTTAATATGTAATATCCTCAAAAAAGCCATAAAGTATTTTTAATAAAGATGTGTGTATTCCAAGAAATCTAATAGTCTTAGTCTACTTAAAACCAATATATTTTAAACATTTATGTAGCACAAAAATGTTTGACAGTAGAGGGATTTTTGTTTTATTTTCTCTCAAAGGCATTATTTATATCACAAGAAATAGGACCAAATTCTATTTACGCCAGTCATATTTTAACATTATTTATCAACTAGCACTCTATAAACAGTTTCACCTTCTTACTGTTTAGGTCTTGCCTCTAGAGATTAGTTTTACAAATGTTTTTTAAGAACAATGGTTATGGTAGCCACCAAAACATTATGAGATAGCTATGAAAGACAAAATACTGAATTTCCAAAAAGCATCTATGTATTTTTATATCATTGCCATATTAATGCAATGTAAATATAACATTGGGATTATTACTGAAAAATATTGCTTATGTGAGAACTTAAAATTAATCTAATTACTTGGCTATCATTTTAATTACTATGAAATAGTACTTGTGGAATTTTCAAATCATGTATTAATAAAATAATTATATTGCTTTTCATTTATTAAAAATTATTTAGTCCACAAAGAATATCTCAATAAATTTCAAAAATCAAAAATAGTACAGAACACATACTATAACCATAATGCAAATCAGATAAAACTTTAGAGAAAAAATTAAATAACAAGTCAAAACCTAATCATGTGTAAAATAACAAAATAAGAACAGAAACCTCTCCTTATCTGACATTTAGATATAAAAACAATAAAAAATACAGTTTAAAAACTTCCAATGAAGGCTTATAGAAAATCTATCTCTTTAATTATTAAATTTATAACATGCTTATAAACCAGGAGGAGAACCCTGATCCAGCAATCCCATTACTAGATATATATTCAAAGGAAAATAAATTGTTCTACAAAAAAGGCACATGCAACTGTACATTCATCACTGCACTATTCACAATAGCAAAGACATAGAATCAAGCTAGGTGTTCATTGATGGTAGATTAGATAAAGAAAATGTGGCACATATACACAACAGAATACTATACAGCCAGAAAAAATGAAATCATGTCTTTTGCAGCAACATGAATGCAGCTGGAGGTCGTTATCCTAAGCAAATTAACATAGTTACAGAAAACCAAATACCACATGTTCTCACTTATAAGTGGGAGCTAAGCAATGGATATATATGGACATAAAGATGAGAAAAATAGACCCTGGGGACTACTAGAAGGGAAAGTAGTAGTAGGGTGGAGGGGGCCAAGAGCTGAAAAACTACATATTGGGTACCATGCTCTTACCTGGGTGAAAGGATCATTCATACCCTAAATGTCAGCTTCATGAAATATACCCATGTAACCAACCTGCACCTGTACCCCAGAATCTAAAAGTTGGATTATAAAATAGAAAAAAGAAAAGATAGCTGAACAAAAAAGAAAGAAGCATAAGAAATATCTAAAATTAGAAAGCAGACAGAAGGCACCACAGTGATCTTTAGATGCATCCTCAAGAATTTTGCCACAGAATATTAAAGTCATAATCAATAATCATCAATAACTTTTAGGAAAGCCAAGACATTGACAGAGACCCAACGAATACAACATGCAGAACTTACACCTAAAGAAAGAGACTTGATAGAGTAATTATAACAGTAATGCAATATAAGTATGTTTAGTATATGCACAAAGACAAACAAGGGAGTATGTTCATGATAAAGTATAGTGTTACAAAGCAGGAAAAATGTATGAAAAAAATCAGCTACAACGTTATAAATATTAAAATATATATAATTATTGAACTAAAAATCTCCTTAGATTTTTAATAGCAGAATGGGCACAGTTAAAGTGTCTTTGAAGTTCAACTTGATAATATATCCCTGAATATTACATTAATACCATACAACAAAGTTAAGAAATGAGAAAAATATCAAAAAGTTTCAATTCTACCTAATAGGAGTTTCAGAAAAGGAGCTTTGTAATTTTGGCAACCTTGGAAAATGCAGTGACCTTCCATCATCAGAAAAATACAACCTGAAGTAACCTTTCCAGAGAAGAAACCAAAGGAATAAATACTTTTTTCCCTCCCTACTATCTTCAGTTCTTCCTTAGCTAAAATCCATATGAAGATGGAGGCCATGGAAATCCTACTGATGTAATACCACAAGTCGGCTCCCTGGGTGAGACAGCAGTGGTATGGAGAATGAAGGGAAGTATACAGCAGGTACAGGATGAAGAAGCAGAAGATAATTACACAATGATTTTGACCCAGTTCTATTCAGGTTGTCTTTTTTGTTGTTGTTAATTTACACAATACGAATTTTTTGTCTTCTCAACATTCAAGGCTTTCCTTTCTACTCTCTTTACGGTTTCTTTTGATCCACAGAGAAATTTAATTTTATTAGTCAAATTTATAATTTTTCTCTTTAGATTGTTTTTCTAAGTCATTTTTATTCAGTATCCCGATGTTCTTTTTAATCCTTACAGCAAACATATGTTGTACATATGATTGTTTTTCTCATTTTATGAATGAGGAAACTGCCTCAGAGAGGTCAAATAACGCAACTGAGGTTACACAGCTGAAACTCCCATTTAGGCAATCTGGATCTGAGACAACAGTCTTACCCCTAGTCTATGTGGCTCCTGATGAATATTTTTATGTACATAGTTGTACTCTTGAATGTATCTCTAAACTAAATCACTAGATTCAAACTTACAAGATCAGACTGTGTACATATGAAATTTGGATGAATGCTGCCAAATTTCCCTCCAAATTTTTACCTTCCCTTGCCATTCTTGAGTACTATCACTTAAAAAAAGTATGCTAATCTTACAAGTCTAAATGGTATTATATTGTCCTAATATATATGCATTTAATTATGAGTTAGGTTTAGCATATTAAGATTTTTGGTCATTGATTATTTTTCCTCTGGGGATGTCTCTTTTTTTTTTTTTTTTTTTTGAGACAGGCTCTTGCTTTGTTGCACAGGCTGGGGTACAGAGCCATGATGTTGGTTCACTGCAGCCTTGATCTCTAGGGCTCAAGCGATTCTCCTGACTCAGCCTCCCACATAGCTGAGACCACAGGCATGTGCCGCCACACCTGGATAATTTCTTATGTCTTTAGAGATGGGTCTGAGTTTGTTGCCCTGTCTGGTCTCAAACTCCTGGGCCAAATGATCCTCTAGCTTTGGCCTACCAAGGTTCTGGGTGTACAGGCGTGAGCCACTGCATCTGGTCAAGACCTCTGCTTTAATATATCTTTCTCCTTTTTCTATTTGACTACTTGCCTTTTTCACAGTGATTTAAAGGTTAAGAACATTTATCCCTTACTATTACCCTTGGTGTCCCAGTCCCACCATTGATATTTTGCTTTTATCTTCATTTTGTTGTTGGTGTTTTTCACAAATGAAAGTTAGAACTTTTATGTAATTAAATGTATTATTATTTCCCTTTCTAGTTTTCCTTTGTGGGTTTTGTGGCAAGTATTTTATTGCTATTACGAATGATACATTTTATTATATTTTAACTGATTATTATGTTATTAAGGTTTTTAATAGAAATCACATGCCCATTCCCTTGATTGAATTATTTTAATGTTTCTCATATATTTTTCAATTTACTCTCAGGGTAACAAGTATAAATCATACCATCCAGAAATAATTAAAATTTGCTTCTCCTTCCCAGTGATTATAATTCTCATTCTGTTCTATGAACTAATTGCATGGCATAGGAATTTTGAAATAATGTTAAATGACAGTAGAAATAACAGTCATCTATTTTTAAGTCCTTATTTTAATGGGAAGTCTAATGTTTCACCATTGTGAATGATGCTGGCTTTTTATTTGAGACACATTTCCACATTGTCTGAATCTACCAATTCCTTTTTACAAAGGATTTTTAACAAAAATGTACATTGTTATTTCTCAAATGCATTATTAATGTTTGTAGAGGCCCTTTTCATCTATTTATGTAATGAAGTATCCAGACACTGGACATCTGTGTAGCCTCCAATTTTTTCCCACTATAAATCAATGTAACAGAACCATTTTACCTTTCCAGCCTCCACTCTTGCATACTCCCTCATTTTCCTACCCGAAAATCTTTGAATTACCACTGAACATCAAACTAAACTGTCAGTCTTAACTGTATACACACTATCTTTGTAAATTTAATTATTAACATTTCTACATAAGTTTGTTTATGACTTTGCTATAACATCATTTTGTGTCATCATTTATCTGTCTGCAGGTCAACTTCTATGAGACCGCACAATAAGTTATAACTGCAATTCTGTGTTACTCATTGATTTTGTCCCAAAACTTAGTGTCTGACACATACTAGACCATCAGAAAACATTTGTGCAATTATTAAATGAGCATCTGAATAATTAAAGATTTGAGTAAAGAAATATGCGAATATACAGACAGTGTAGGACCATGTGGAAAGGATGTCCAGGCTCTGTAATGATATTTGAGATTTATTTGTAGATAATCAGGAGCCAATGAAATGTTAAGAAGGTTAATGCCATGATTATCATTGAGTTTAACTTCACTATCACTTTTTTATTCATTACCTATGCACTTCTCATAAAGATCTTTCTTATCTTGTTTATACATTCATAGGACATGGACCACTATACACATGATAATATGTATACAATATATATTGTATGTGGTACATATGTGTAGTAATACAAAATTAAGGAAGTCCAAATTTCATTATAGTGGTAATACGTGACAATGAAAGAATTTAGTAATTCAACATGATTGTATGATAATAATAGCAGCAATGGCAACAAGAATTACACTTACCAAATGCTGTCTCCAAAGAGACAATAAGATACCAGGTTATCATAACACATTTATATAAATAACCCATTAAATGTAGTATTAATCCAAATTACAGATATAACAACACAGATTTAGAAAGAAAATTTAGATTACGCAGAATTTCACATTTAGTAAGTGGTGGAACCAGAATTAAACCCAACTATATTTCATTCTCAAATTAATTTTTCATCTCTTACAGCACAAACAGTGCTAATCTATGGCTTACATATCTCTTACTACAATAGCATGTTTTCTCTTAGAAGTAAACTAGTTATATTCCATTCAACAAATAATTTCTAGATTATTCATAAAAATATTTTTGAGAATACAATGTAACTTCACTCAGGTTACAAATGTAACACATTTATTAAAACAGTTAAAGTAGTTACCTGGTTTAAATGTCAGATCATCTCCTAATTACTACTAGTCTGTTAATCTTTTCCTTTTTGAAAAAAATATGCAGCTAATTCAACTTAATAAACTAGCTTGAGAGGTTTAAGGAAGTAAGAGCAGGTCCTAGAACAACTTCTTTCTTTCTGACTCCATGATGCCTTCAAGGCAAACACTGTTCTGGTCCCATGAGAGAGAGATGGGAATTATTTCATATTACCCTAGTCATGAATCTAAAAAACATAAAGACATTAAGTACACTGAGCACTTTCATTCAAGTAATTTTTCTAAAAATTTTGGAATATATTCTATACTACTGTCTTAAGATAATTTAATTACATGGCTATAATAAAGGTTATTTTATGAAACTGCTTTAGGAGACTACTGCAATTGGGAACTCATAAAAATCTTAATATTTATCTGACTGAAAATAAAACCAGAGAACTAAAGATATAAAATGCATGGCTGCTAAGAAAACCTTTATGAAGAGGGTGTGCTGCTTTTGTAAAATATTATAATTTTCCAAATAGCATAGTGTGTTTCTGAGTAACACTGCAGAAAATAAGTTTATATGCCAGTGCTCACTGTATTAGTTTTTCTGTATGCATTACTACATCACAGAATTACTGAGTTCTTTATGAACTCCATTTACAAAACATGATTATTTTGAGAGCTGATAGTCAAGCTATCCATCAAATCATTAATGTGGTACTGTTCCCTTGTGAATGCTCAAAATCCACATCTTTCATTCCTTGTATAAGTTTAAATAAAGTTTATACTAAACTGTTATATTACTGAATGCACTAGCAAATAGTTGTAGCCTGGTGATTCTGTAGCTATTTTATGTGAGAATTTGCCAAACATGCCCTATAGAAATCTTTCTCTTAAATGTGATGGTAGCTTTGGGGAAATTATTTTAAATTCAAAGTCAGTTTCTTATTTTCCAAAGTGAATGGGTTTTTAATTCCCTAATGCAAAATAGCCTTTTGCGCATTTTGAATAATGCCTTTCTAAGGCAGTACTTGTAATTATGCTCAAGCATCAGTGGAACAGAAGAAAATAAAATCAGACAATGCGAATAGAATGTCAGAGCATTAAGATGTCAAGATATTTATGTTCTCAAGGTTATTTACATTAGGACATTATATTTAAAGGTCAAGGTAAAGTTCAGTGAGAACTGTAAGTCTTTAAATTTCTGCCAAAGCCTTTAAGAAATGAAATAGAAAATGTATTGTTTAGGCTTAGAATCACTTTGTAAGATGAAAAGCTTTCAATGCTTTAAAGTTCAGATCTTTACAAGAACAAACCATTTCCTCAAAATTTCATCCTCTTTCCTATGTCTGACCCTATTATTACAAGTCTAATCAAATTCAGCAAATTAATATTGGAACAACACATTTATAGAGCAGGTTTTCTTACTCAGGAAAAGTTAACAGATGAGGACAAAAGAGATTATGTTGTAATTTGTTAATGTATTTTCTTGATCATCATTTAGCAAGGACACTGAGCTAGAGAAGTCCTTATACCCCTTAAAAAGTATTACCCAGAATGTACTAAAATTAATACATATACTCTACATGAAATAGGAGAAAGTGATATCCAACCTTATTGTTTTGAATTGTCTTTTTTATGAGCTGGCCAATTTATTAATATTTTAGTTATACGTGTGTGTGTGTATACACAAAATACCTTCAAAAATATTTGTAAAATCTCATTTTTCAAAGTGAGTCACACTATCTTCCTAAAACACTAACATTTGAGAAAAATCTTGCCAAGGGAATGGGAAAATGTAGAATTGACTGCAAGAGAAGTAAGAACAACAGAGAGATTCCTATCTCTAACCCAGCTACCTTCCTATATGTCTGATTTTGACAAAGTAAGTTAACACTGACATGATATTGTTTAACCTTACGTAAATTGTGGGAGGTTTTACTAATTAAAGATGGCAAATAGGTTTTTCTTTATAGGTCAATTCTGAATAAATGGAAGTGGCTGCATGATGCCTATGTTGCAAAATTAATCACAGGCTATTTGACCTTCAAGGTCAGAAGGTAAGAATGTGATGTATTAGAAACATCTGCCTTAGTCATGGGATGGGTCAGTGGTGACATCTGCACCTGAAATTCACCATTCCTGGGCTACATGACAGCTAAATATCTCCTAGATATGTCTATTAATATAGTAGTTCTGTAGATGCAATTAAGGGACTGCACACACACACACTCAATGAGTTGACGTTTTAAGACAATTTTATATGTTGTTCTTTTATATGAAGTTCTTGGCTCAAAGTTGTCCTATTGTACACTTAATACACTAAAGCTTTGCAGCAGGGTACAGAATAAATTTATTTTTATAAAAATATAGCAGATTTCTCATAAATAGCTACTATGGAAAACAACTATGTGAATAAAATTTAAATTCTCCCAGTTCTCAAACCCCAAGGTAATTAGCGAGAGATTATGAAGGGAAATATGTGAATTCAGCTTTTACCAATTAGTGGACTATGAAGTCCAACCACTCCTCTTCTCACAATTCTCTTATAGTTAGAGCTTATCTCTTAACTGACACCAGAAGAGGACATGGATTTTGGCAGATTACTTAATATGTCTTTCTTGGCGTGAAATTAGTGAGTGATCCCCAAAGAAAAGACAAATCTTGAAGCTAAGAGCTGAGATTACAAGGCTGAGCCATTCTTTGCAGACAGAGATTCCTCAAATCTTGAATACTTGAAGTTGTTTAAAACAATCAATAATTTTCCTTATACAAGTATTTCAATAAATAAAAAGATAGGGTATAGTATATCCAATCTCAATATATTCAACCTTGAGATAGAATTGTCACAGGAAACAAAGCCTAAAAGAAACTTAATACACTAAACAAATTAATGAATGTTTATAAATATTATAGAAGATAACTACGGGAACATGGAATACTCTAATATACCTTCTAGGGGACTTGAGAAGTTCTTGTTGAGGAAAAGAACATAAGTATAAAAAGTTTACGTGGTGAAAAGATAGACAAGAGTATATTTGTATGAGGAAACTATGCTCAAAGTAGTAGAGATAAGAGACTGCTGCTACATCAAATGAAATTTAAAAAGCCCAAGATGGCTGCAGCAAATGAAGAGGGAATTTCAGGAGATGAGAATGGTGATTTCAAAAGAAGTCTTATCATGGAGAATGTTGTAATAGTGTTATGGGATTTCAACTAAAGGCAACAGATATGTTTTAAGCAAGTTAAATGCCTGATCAGATTTGTATTTTGCATATAACATACTGGCAACAAAAATCAAAACTTTGTATACAGCTTCAAAGGGACACTTAGATTCAGGGGCAATGTGATTATGAGGATAACCTTTATTTGGCTAAATATGACATCAGTGAGCGATGTTCACAGATGGGTGACTAGACCCCAACCACATGAGGACAGCTTTCTATCAAGCACCATAAGGAAAGTATAATGTGTACAAGAACTTCAACAAGATACAGGTTCTTTTAAATAGAGACGATTTGTGTACAATCCCTATAACAGCACCCAGCGCACAGTGGATACCCAGTAAATGTCTTCTACCACTACTTAGGTCAAATTCTTAAAGATTTGTTTTAATCCTTTAGGACTTTCACGTTGAATTACCTCAAGGCAATTCAAACATAGCAGTAAATAACTTAGGATCCCCTTAAAATAACTAAACTTCTAATGAGATCTCACGGAATTTAGAATTTACTTTAAAGACTGAGATTAAAATAACCTATGACTACCACACAAGCAAAGGTCTTGTCTTATTAGACTTTGTATTTGACAGTTAGCATCTACACGATAGAATGGAGGCTCAATGAGTTGTTACTGGATTGAATGTAAATTGGGACAAATCACTTGTCTGTTTTTCTGAGACTAAAGTAAATCCCTCATACAATAAAATAATACAAATTGTTCAACTACTTATGAAGCTCCCCCTTGAGAACTTAGGAAGTAGCTAAACATTTAAAAATATAACACAGTTTGAAACAATAATAAATACAAAAACACATACATTATTAAAAGGTTAAAATTGAAAAGACAAGTACCCTTTTATTTTCCGTGTTGCTGCTAGGAATAGTATACATTTAGCCATATTTTCATCCTCATGAAGCCAAAAAGAAGAAATACGTAGGGAAAATAATAAGTTATTGTTATTTTCAGAATGTCCCCACATTTTCTAGTTAGATTTTAATTTTAATTTTTCAACAAAGAAATATAATACATGTCATGATGAGAAAGCAAAATCATATTGACACTGCACAAAATAATTGCTATATTGTAATAAAAATGAAACCAGTGAGTGTACATGCTTGTAATAATAACATCATGCATAATTGTAGATTAATTGAAATTCTTGTAATTATATATAAATGCCTGAGTTGAAAATTATTTCTACAATAATACACATGACGGAAATATTTAGCAGCTGTATATTTAAGCCACCAATACCAACTGGAAGAAATAGCACAATATTTGATTATATTTGTGTGCAATATAAAATCACAATGGGACAAAGCTGGAAAAAAAAGGTGATTTGAATCTCCTTCAGTGTTTATGTTTTTTCTTTGTTTTGTGGTAAGAACAGTTAACATGAGATCTACCCTCTTACCAAACTTTTAACTGTACAATACAGCATGATTAATTAAGGCACAAAGTCATCCATCAGATCTCTATAACTTACGCATGTTGCAGAACTGAAATTTCATACTCGTTGAACAACTCCTCAAATCTTCTTCTGTCATAAAGTCATTATCAGAAGTATAGCATCTAGATAGGTATTATTCCACTACACTCATTACTTAGAGCGTGTCTAACTATCACTTTTGTCCCATTACGGGCACCACCTTTAAGGAATATAGTGATGTAACTGATACGCCCTCTTTTTTAAAAAAAATTTTATTATTATTATACTTTAAGTTTTAGGGTGCATGTGCACAACGTGCAGGTTTGTTACATATGTATACATGTGCAATGTTGGTGTGCTGCACCCATTAACTCATCATTTAGCATTAGGTATATCTCCTAATGCTATCCCTCCCCCCTCCCCCAACCCACAACAGTCCCCGGAGTGTCATGTTCCCCTTCCTGTGTCCATGTGTTCTCATTGTTCAATTCCCACCTGTGAGTGAGAACATGCGGTGTTTGGTTTTTTGTCCTTGCAATAGTTTCCTGAGAATGATGGTTTCCAGTTACATCCATGTCCCTAAAAAGGACATGAACTCATCATTTTTTATGGCTGCGTAGTATTCCATGGTGTATATGTGCCACATTTTCTTAATCCAGTCTATCGTTTTTGGACGTTTAGGTTGGTTCCAAGTCTTTGCTATTGTGAATAGTGCCACTATTAACATACATGTGCATGTGTCTTTATAGCAGCATGATTTATAATCCTTTGGGTATATACCCAGTAATGGGATGGCTGGGTCAAATGGTATTTCTAGTTCTAGATCCCTGAGGAATTGCCACACTGACTTCCACAATGGTTGAACTAGATTCAATGCCATCCCCATCAAGCTACCAATGACTTTCTTCACAGAATTGGAAGAAACTACTTTCAAGTTCATATGGAACCAAAAAAGAGCCTGCATCACCATGTCAATCCTAAGCCAAAAGAACAAAGCTGGAGGCATCACGCTACCTGACTTCAAACTATACTACAAGGCTACAGTAACCAAAACACCATGGTACTGGTACCAAAACAGAGATATAGACCAATGGAACAGAACAGAGCCCTCAGAAATAATGCCGCATATCTACAACTATCTGATCTTTGACAAACCTGAGGGAAACAAGCAATGGGGAAAGGATTCCCTATTTAATAAATGGTGCTGGGAAAACTGGCTAGCCATATGTGGAAAGCTGAAACTGGATCCCTTCCTTACACCTTACACAAAAATTAATTCAAGATGGATTAAAGACTTAAATGTTAGACCTAAAACCACAAAAACCCTAGAAGAAAACCTAGGCGATACCATTCAGGACATAGGCTTGGGCAAGGACTTCATGTCTAAAACACCAAAAGCAATGGCAACAAAAGCCAAAATTGACAAATGGGATCTCATTAAACTAAAGAGCTTCTGCACAGCAAAAGAAACTACCATCAGAGTGAACAGGCAACCTGCAGAATGGGAGAAAATTTTCGCAACCTACTCATCTGACAAAGGGCTAATATCCAGAATCTACAATGAACTCCAACAAATTTACAAGAATAAAACAAACAACCCCATCGAAAAGTGGACCAAGGATATGAACAGACACTTCTCAAAAGAAGACATTTATGCAGCCAAAAGACACATGAAAAAATGCTCATCATCACTGGCCATCAGAGAAATGCAAATCAAAACCACAATGAGATACTATCTCACACCAGTTAGAATGGCAATCATTAAAAAGTCAGGAAACAACAGATGCTGGAGAGGATGTGGAGAAATAGGAACACTTTTGCACTGTTGGTGGGACTGTAAACTGATACGTCCTCTTTAGCAGCCTGAGTTACTGCATGAGGTCACAGCATCCATTCATGAAGTCAAAGGAAATAACATCTTCCTTCCCAGCAACAGATCCTCTTCAGTGCTATGGGGCCTAATTTCTGTGATTAGCCAATTATAAATGGGAATGCTATTTATAGCACATAAAGTAGTGGTCACTCCTTTATGTGTTCTCTATATAGAGACAGGAAAAAAAAAAAGAAAAGCTTATTTATTTGACAAAGACTCCTGTTCTCTGCTGGACAGTCTGAAGGTAGTTTCTTAAGATATGGGGAACATCATCTCTGTTATTCCAAATATAAATTGGATTATAAGTATAATATAAGTTGGATTATATTAATAGCTGCATCATAAAACAATAAGCCTGTCTCCCAATATCACACATCTTTAAATAAAATTTGCTTCCACTTTACAACAATGTTACCAAGTACAAGAACCCAATCTGGAAAGTCTACATACCATATGATTCTAACTATAGGACATTCTGAAAAAGGCAAAACTGTGGAGACAATAAAAAGAGCAATAATTGCCAGGGGTTGGGAGGGAGAGTGGGGAATTGAAATGAAATATACAGGCACAGAGGATTTTTATGGCAGTAAAAGTATTTTGTATCATATTGAAATGTAGAATATATGTCATTATACATTTGTACAAACCCATAAAATGTAAAACATCAAGAATGAACCCCAGTGTAAACTATGTGATATAGGAGTTAAGAGGAAATGACTTAGGGAGTTAGGGTATGGGAGTCCTCGGTAAGGTTTTCCTTTTTAATGAAAAGCAGCCTTAAAATCATTTTCTAACAAAGAGCAGCCTGTAAAATCGAGCTGCAGACACAGATAAGCAAGCTGGAAGCTTGCGCGGGTGAATGCCAGCAGGAAAAAGCTACCTGAAACTTGACACGTGCAAAATGGCAGTTCCATCTTCCCTTCTCTTTGCGAGTCATGTGTACAGTAAGGAGCAGATAAAATGGTGCTGGCCAAGTGGAAAGCTGATTTGTTTAATAAGATTAGGGTGGAGTGGCCAGCCTTCCCTGTGTGCTATGTAAACGTCACACCGTTCCAACCAATCTGTGAGCCCTGTGTAACTCAGACACCGCCTCCTCAAGCCTGCCTATGAAATCCGGTGCACTCCACCACCGGCCAGTCTTTTCCTCTCAGAAGCCCCTCTCTCACGCTAGAAAGAGAGTTATTTTCCTTTGTCTTTCTTTTGCCTATTAAACCTCTGCTCCTAAACTCCTCCTCGTGTGTATCTGAGTCCTAAATCTTCTTTGCACAAGACAACGAACCCCGGCTACTTACCCCAGAGAACAGTGTCACTTCACATGAACTTTGAGAGGTAAAAATGTGTCAATACATGTTCATCAACTGTAAAAAGTGGACCACTGTGGTGCAAGATGTTGATAGTGGAAGGGGCTCTGCATGTGTGGGGTCGGGGGAACACAGAAACTGTGTAGTTTCCATTCAATTTTTTTGTGAACCTAAAATTGTTTTTAAAAATAAAGTCTATTAGAAAAAAATAAGAAACATCTGGAGTATTTGATGCATCCCTAGCATCAAGCTAATTATTGTACATCAACCTAATGTGAAATATTATGAGCTATGTAGCAAAAATATAGGGAATGTCTTACAACACAGCAAGTGGAGACCTAAATGCCAAGGTTTATATACCTTATTATTAGAGCTATGGAAATGATATACGAAAATGGACATACATTGAGAATGGACTTTTGAAGTAAAGTAAATATGGGTATGTGGGTCATTTTTATTGCTTTAAATCCCTGTAACTATTGTACTATGCCACTTAGTATAAATGCATTTGCAAAGAAGGACCATGTCATTGTAGGACTCATTCAGTTGAGACTGCATGGTAAAAAATATTATCAATTGCCCCTGTGGATCACTATCCTCTGCTATATTATAGTACAATAAATAAAAATTCAACAAATATTAAAAGAACATTTAATTGTGTGCTGCAAAATATATCAGGCACCATTTATGGAATTGTGAGCAAAACATGGCATGTCTCTACTTATTGGAGGTTACATACTTATCTGAGGGAGTATTAAAAACATGTTGGGTAATAAAAATTCTCCATTGTATATATTCTACAAAAGAAAAGTACACAAAACTTTCTTTAATAACAAATAATGGGTCTGTTTGATCTAGCTAGGACAGTGAGAAAAATTCTCGAAGGAGAGATGAGCTGAGTTGACAGGTGTGTCAAAATATAGGTGGAAAAGAGAAGGGAAATAGATTCAACAAAAATAATAAGCCATGTAAAAGGTTTGGGACTAGAAAAATCTGGCAAATAGATGAGACTCAGGTAAGTTGGGTGTGGCTACAGAGGGAAATGAGATTTGAGAGGTAAATGGGCCTAATTAATACATGCCTTCAGGAACATGATGAAGCTTATTATCCTAACTGCTACAGAAAGCCCTTGAGGGATTTCTGGAAAAGGAGTGAAATGTTTACATCTAAATAATGAAAAGATCATGTTTAATGAAAGCTGTAGGAGTTGCTATTAGAGCTAGTTCAGTTTCTTAGACAAGAGATTGCAATATATTCAACCAGGCTGGTAATGACAGAAGAAAATGAACAGATTTAAAAGGTAAACTAAATTCATCCAGTGGACTGGATGGATGGATGAAGGGTGAAAGAATAAGAAGGCCATTAGGATACAGGTCAGTTTCCTTGACATGTCCTAGAAGGATTTTCCAAAGTAATTTTTCATATACCGCTATCTTCATGTTCTAATATCTCCTTCTTTGCAGCCTATGCTGTTTTCTGACCACTCACCATCCCCTGAACATGGTATCCTATCATATATTTTCTTTTTCCTGCTCTTAAAATATTCTATATTTTCACTCAAGATTAACTAGTTTAAATTTTACTTCTTCTGTAACTTTTTTTTTTTTTTACCATTTCTTTCATAGCAAACTTAGCTGTTCTCTGTGACACCACTGTAGTTTTCATATGCTTTACCACATGTTATAGACTGAATTGTGCCTCCTACCAAATTTACATGTTGATGTTCTTTACCCCAAGTACCTTAAAATGTGACTGTATTTGGATAGAGCCTTTAGACATATAACTAACGTTAAATTAGGTAATAAGGGTGGTACTTTAATCCAATATGACTTGTGTCTTTCATAGGAAGAGAAGAGACACCAGCGATACACATGCATAGAAGAAAAACAATGTAAGACACAGTGAGAAAATGGCCATTGAAAGCCAAGGAGAGAAGCCTCAGGAGAAATCAAAACTACCAACACCTTGATCTTGGACTTCCAGCTTCCAAAACCAGGAGAAAATTAATTTCTGTTGTTTAAGCCACCCAGGTATTTTGTTTATGGCAGCCCTAGAAGACTAATAGAATACATTATATTGAATTTATGTGTACCTATCTTTTTTCAAGTAGACCATGAATCAGAAAAAGGTCAATTCCATTCCTACTTTGTATTTCTAGCATCCAATACAGCTCCTATATACTAGGTCTATAATAAAATTTAGCTTTATAAATAACTTCCAAAATTGTAACTATATATTCTTCAAAACATTGTCTTTATACTCTATTCATCTATCTCCAAGAATTTAATTGAATTTCTCTCTAGACCTTCCCTCTACCTGGAGTTTGAGTAACAAATTTCCACCTACCTTCTGTTCATTTTATTGGCTGTCACAAAATTTATTCATAACTCATTTAGAATATTTGTCTCTACAAGCTAGCTTCTCTTAATTTCTATCTCCTTATACCTAAGTTTGGAATTTTAGCTTCATTTCACATATCTGTCCACTCCATCCCACAGATGGTGATATTTGCCCAAAATGTTTCTCCAATGTGTATACATCTTTCTCAGCACGTCTCTCAAATCAGCTCTCATGTGTATATGTACTACCGTAATGGCCATCTACTTACATTTTGTTCTATTTCCCCCTTTCCTTAAAAATCATTTTAAGATACCAATTATTAGTTTATCACTTACATGTTTAGATATATAAGTAAAATATCAGGGCCCATTAAAAAATACACATCAATTCATCTTAAAGGAAAGAGAACTAAAAAGGGGCTGAGACTAAAATTTCTAAAGTGTAATAGATTATGGATGGAGGAATATGAATTTATAAGCAGGAAATAACGTATGAAAAATGACAAAATATGGTAATGTCAAAGTGATTACCACCTTTAAGAGTCATGACTACAAATCAATGAGATGCAGAATCTGTATTTAGCCAGTTTTCAGTTATCTGGAAATTGGCTATATTGTTGAGGATTATCGCCTATACCCTCTTCTGAATATCAATCTATTTCCAGTTCGTTCATCATTTTGTTTTTCTTTTTTTTTTTTACATTATTATTTTCTTTGTTATTATTATTATACTTTAAGTTCTAGGGTACATGTGCACAATGTGCAGGTTTGTTACATATGTATACATGTGCTATGTTGGTGTGCTGCACCCATTAACTCATTATTTACATTAGGTATATCTCCTAATGCTATCCCTTGTCCCTGCCCCCCACCCCACAACAGGCCCTGATGTGTGATGCTCCCCATCCTGTGTCCAAGTGTTCTCATTGTTCAGTTCCCACCTATGAGTGAGCACATGTGGTGTTTGGTTTTCTGCCCTTGTGATAGTTTGCTCAAAAGGATGGTTTCCAGCTTCATCCATGTCCCTACAAAGGACATGAACTCATCCTATTTATGGCTGCATAGTATTCCATGGTGTATATGTGCCACATTTTCTTAATCCAGTCTATCTTTGATGGACATTTGGGTTGTTTCCAAGTCTTTGCTATTGTGAATAGTGCCTCAGTAAACATAGTGTGCATGTGTCTTTATAGCAGCATGATTTATAATCCTTTGGGTATATGCCCAGTAATGGGATGGCTGGGTCAAATGGTATTTCTAGTTCTAGATCCTTGAGGAATCACCACACGGCCTTCCACAATGGCTGAACTAGATTACAGTCCCACCAACAGTATAAAAGTGTTCCTATTTCTCCACATCCTCTCCAGCACCTGTTGTTTCCTGACTTTTTAATGTTCGCCATTCTAACTGGTGTAAGATGGTATCTCACTGTGGTTTTGATTTGCATTTCTCTGATGGCCAGTGATGATGAGCATTTTTTCATGTGTCTGTTGGCTGCATAAATGTCTTCTTTTGGGAAGTGTCTGTTTATATCCTTTGCCTACTTTTTGATGGGGTTGTTTGATTTTTTTCTTGTTAATTTGTTTAAGTTATTTGTAGATTCTGGATATTAGCCCTTTGTCAGATAGGTAGATTACAAAAATTTTCTCCCATTCTGTAGGTTGCCTGTTCACTCTGATGGTAGTTTCCTTTGCTGTGCAGAGGCTCTTTAGTTTAATTAGATCCAATTTGTCAATTTTGGCTTTTGTTGCCGTTGCTTTTGGTGTTTTAGCCATGAAGTCCTTGCCTACGAGGACTAGCAGTAATAACTGCATTATACAAAGAGTGCACATCTCTGGAAATGTTATGAAGATTTCTTGTCGCTATTGGCCAACAAAGATGTCTGGAGGATTATCTCTGAATTCCGTTTATTAGTGGAACATCTGATTTGGTAATAAAGTAATAGTAAAAGTTTATATCAAGATGGATAATTCTCAAGTGTTATAAAATGTTATTCTTACTGAGACTGAACACAAGTTCCAAATTTCTACAAAACCCCAGAAATCTCTTTCACTTCCTTTTTCTTCCCCTTGTCAAACATATGGACGACTCCACATCTTAAGCTATCTGTTTAAGTTTGATTTTTCAGCTTAGCTTAGGCTTGGAGTTGGTCAGATGATATTTTTTTTTTCTGGTCCAACTTCAAAAAAAGAGCAAGAGATATCTGATGAGACATTCGTTAGCATAAGAGAAAAAGAAAAATGAGTGTGAGACTGTAAGTGGGTTCAGTGTTTATTTTGAGGCAAAGTTTCAGAACTAATCACCAAGAGGCAAAATACAACTGACTGTAAATATTACTAAAGCAACACAGGCATTTATTTTTACCTGTATCTAATTTACTCTGTTCCATTATGCATGCTTAGCTGACTCGGATCATGTGTGTGTGTTTTCATCAAAATCTAAAAAAGACCAAATGAATTATTTAAGACAATTTAGACCCCAATTATGAAAGTGCTATACTTTAAGGGAGCATCCAGTTTTGAGTTTATTATTTTAATTGCTATCTACAATAAAAAATCGAATATAGGCTATATGTGCTCACCTGTGATTATTGCATTGGTTTCCTCTACAGTCACTGTTCTTCCAGCTTGATGTTTTAAAAGCAAAACAACTGATCTTACAACTTATTTTCTATTTTTCTAATTTGTTAAAGTTTACATTAAATCTCCTTCAATGTATATGTGCAAGAGGATTAAAGTGGTCGAGGAAGTATTCTATCTATGATATTTCACTTCTATTTTTATGATTATCTTTATTTTTCCTGAACACAGCTTTCTAGAAAAAAAAATTAGTAATCTACACTCCAATTGGATGAAAATATTTCACTGACAGTTTAGTTTGCCTAAGATGTCCACTTGAATATGAGGTAATAACATCTGTATAGGGGCTGTACAATGAAGATGAACTACCAGGCAAGTGAGAAACACAGTCCAACCTATTTTTAGTTTTAAAGATATTTCAGAAATAATTCTACACTGATTCCTTTAACCGTTAGAAATGATTCACTGAACATTTCAGGAGTTATATGAGTTATTTCCTTATCCTCCTATTAGAGCATTAAAGTTTTCAACTACAATTCCACATGTCAGAATAATGTTCACTTACCCCATCTGATTACAAATTAGAAATAATTTTACTGACTCCATTTTATACCCACCATATACTTTTTATTCATATCTGCTTCATGTCAGCACATACATTAGGCACCTATGTTTAAGTAGAACTTGTCAACACTCTGGAAAGAAGAATATATAAATTAACTTTAATGGTATATCCCAACATGCTATTTTTATGTGACTACATGTTCCATTTTTTTTATCAGCTACTCTACAGTCTGAATTACTAAACCATTTATAATGTAGACAGCATGAAGTGAGGTTTCACAGAGATTTCTGAATAACATGGGCATTATGACACATTTATTAATAGCTATGCATGCTGAAATAAGCAATGCCATTTTTGCAATATGTTCTCTCTAGTGTGAAAAAGTAAAAAGATTTTTAAAAAGCCATTTAGCACACACAGCATGCCCAGTGCAGTAAGAGTGGATTCATATGTGCACAAAATTTAGACAAGTATGAAAAGCATCCCCCACTTTGTAAACCCTGCTTTTCCATTCTTTAAACTTCCTCAGGAAAGACTGAAAAATATTTCTGCAGGGTTTAACAACCCCCATTATCTTTCCCCTTTTCTCTGACAGTAAGAATTTTCAACCATTCTGAGAAAAGCATTTTTAATAAGTAATGTGTTATTAAGGACAGCCCGATCTGTCCAAAAGTAAATTGTAAACTACATAGTGTCCTAAATCATTGAAGAATTTATGGCTTCTTGAATTAGAGTAATGTATTTATTCACTAAAATTGATATCCATATTTATTTCCAAATAAAGTTATTTATTTCCAAATAAAGTTAAGGGAAATATAAACTCTCCTCTATGGATTTAAAATAAATTTTAAAAATTCAACAATCGTGACAAATATATTTAGTATTAGTCTTTCAGAATCCATCCTCTGGCCCACAATAACTTATACCCCTTCCTCACTTCCTTCTAAGCCTTCATAGGAGCATCCTCAGTGTGCATTTTTTCTAATAATCTTGTGGAAGAAAATTAGGATTTCAATACCATTCTCCTCAAAATCTCCCTAGCTTCTGCCCAATTCCAAAGCTGAAATCATATTTGTAAGCATTTATTAGATCAGCAGCACTTCACTTCTAGGTATCAAATTCTTTTTTTCATTTTTGGTTATTGCAAATTACCAGAAGTGTATGTGGAGACATAGAGCATATATCAAATTAGCAGAAGTGTACATAGAGACATAGAGCAACATACATTTATTATTTCACTGTTTCTGTGGGTCAGAAGTTCAAACACAATTTAAACAAGCCCCCTGTTCAGCAATCAAGATGTCAGCTAGGGATCAAGTATTCATGATGATTGTGGCCTTCCAAGCTCAAGTGATTGTCTACAGAATTCATCTTCTTGTAACTATAGAAGTCATGATGACTTGCTTCTTTAAGACCAGCAAGACAGATCCTGTGACTTCTGGACTTTTTAAAAAAAAAAAAATTCTGCCTGATTAGATCAGGCATAGTCAAATAATCTCCATTTTCGTTAACTAGAACTTACCTAATTAGAAATCTTAAGTGCATCTTTAAAACCCCTTCACCATTAAGAAATAATGTAATGTAATGTAATCATGGAAATAATATGCCCTCGCCTTTGCCATATTCGATTGCTAAAAAAAAACTACAGATGCTACCTGTATTCAAGATGAGGTTATACAGAGTTGGGTAATTGGGGATTATTCTAAAATTTTGTCTACTATGCATTTCAAATTAAAAAGTGGGATTATACTTATTATAGAAAACATGGAGATTACTGAAAAAAACTAGAAATACAACTACTATATCATCCAGCAATCCCACTACTGGTTATATATCCAAAAGAAAGAAAATCAGCATATGATAACTATATCTACGTTCCCATGATTGATAGGGAATCAATCTGCATGTCCATCAACAGATTAATGAATAAATAAAAAGTGATACACACACACATATACACTGAAATATTATTCAGCCATAAAAATAATGAAATCCTTTGCAGCGACATGGATGGAACTGGAGGTCATTATGTTTAGTGAAATAAGTCAGGCACAGAAAGGCAAATATTGCATGTTCTTACTCATATGTAAAAGCTAAACAAGTGAATTTCATGGAAGTAGAAAGTAGAACGGTGGCTACCAGAATCTGGGAATAGAAGGTAAGGGAGGAAGTGGAATGAAGAGAAGTTTGTTAAAGGGTACAAAAACAAAGTTAGATAACAGGAATAAGTTCTAGTGTTCAATAGTACAGTAGGAAAAATATAATTAACTATCATTTAATGTATATTTCAAAATAGCTACAAGAGAAAAATTGTAGTATTCCCAACACAAAGAAATGATAAATGTTTCAGGTGATGGATATCACAATTACTCTGATTTGATCATTACACATTGTATACAGGTATCAAAATATCACATGTACCCCCAGATACATACAACTATTATGTATCAGTTTTTTAAAAGTAGTCCACCAGGCTGGGTGTAGTGGCTCACACCTGTAATTCCAGCACTTTGGGATGCCAGAGTGGGTGGATCACTTGAGCTCAGGAGATTGAGACCAGCCTGAGCAACATGGTGAAACTCCATCTCTACAAAATACACAAAAATTAGCCAGGCATGGTGGTGTGTGCCTGTAATCCCATTTTCTCAGTAGGCTGAAGCACAAGAATCGCTTGAACCTGAGAGGCAGAGGTTGCAGTGAGCCGAGATTGTGCCACTGCACTCCATCCTGGGTGACAAAGCAAAACTATGTCAAAAAGAAACAGAAAATTAAAACTAAGATAAATGAACTAGACACAAACATAGAAGAGATTTCTAAATAATAAAACTATATAACTAATGTTGCCAGTGAAAAGGACAATTTTCTAGAAAAACATATATTATATATTAGTATAAAAGATTAAAGATGAGAAAAAGCTGACTTGATCAATGATGAAAGAAACTGAAAGTGCTATAAAATAATAACAGTTGATTTTTGAACAACACAGGCTTAAACTGAGTTTACATTTTAAACTACTAGTAAAGTTTAGAAATATTATTTGTATTACTTCATTTTTAAACGTATAGGCACAAATTTTGTTCTTTTCTTTGAGGTTATTCATCTTTTACTTAATTTATATGAGTTTTTATGTAGGTAGAAAATTGTTCCTTTTCTGTTATGTGTCCGAAATATCTCCAGTTTTTATTTCATGTTAAAATTTTTGTATAGGTAGATATTTATTAGCATAAATATTTACTTTTACAGGATGTATTGGAAGGCTTTGGAAATTCTTCACTATCCCCCTCTTTATAATATATTCTTACTCACCGGGAACATATTGGTCAAATTTTCATTAAATAGGATGTGTTCATTCCAGTGGTAAATGTCAACTCTTGTTGATTCTAATACTGGTGATTTCTGCAATAATTAACCAGAGCCATTCAATCTAAGCATCGCTTATCTCAAGGTTCCCCTATGTTAATTGGCAAGAAAGCAGATATTCAGTAAAAATGAGCAATTTCAGAGCCTTAACAGAAGGGCCTGTATTTGGATAGTATTAATTCTTCTGCAATTAGTAGTCTCTTGCATATTTGAGATTCCAGCATATGCTGACATTATTACCATGAGTAGACCACAGTGAGACTGTGCCAAGAAATGAATCAGGATTTTCAGAACTCGTTTTAGCCCAGAAGCAGATGATATTATGAAAGGTTAGTGCTGAACCAAAATCCAGCTGGACAAGAAATAATTATAAGGACTGAATGAACAGATGAGAAAAATGAATTGTGGTTATTTTAGAATACTATTAGCAGTTAAAATTTTTTTCTATCTCCCTGGTAAGTATCTGTGGAGGTCATTTTTCTTCCTGATGTATCACTTTCTCACTTTAGACAGGCATTTTTATTTATTTTGTTTAGTTTTTAAGATGATTTAGCAATTTGAAAAAATTACTATTATTTTGATAAATTGACAGTGGTTGATTATAAAAGAAGTTTTGAATAATAATCTCATAATAGTGAAGAAATTGTGAAAAAGAAACAAAAAGGGTCTGATACTCCCATTTTAAAAGTTTTAAAGCAACAATAATTGGTATAATAAATTATTCATTCAACAAATATATTTGCATTTCTAATATGTGCAGGGTAGTTACAAAACTAAAATAATAAAGAAAAATAAAGTATAAAACATGCTTGCCTTTATGAAACTTACATTCTAATTAAAGGAGAGCAATACTGTTTAAGAAATAGGCAAATAACCAAGAACATTTTTGGATAAAAAGTTACTTAGAAGGAAATCCACAAAGCAGATTGAAAGAACCTGCAGAAACAGAGGAACAGGTCAAGAAAATTCTCTTTAAGGAGCTAAGACCTAAAAATGAGAAACATTCAGTTATGCAGAGATGCCAGTAAAGACCAATGAAATAAATTTTTAGGCAGACTAAGAAGTCAACTATTTCAAAAAAATTAAAATATATAAAATTACAACAATACGTGTAAATATTTATGTTATCACTGATGTTTAAGCATAAAGATAAAAGTAAAATGTAAATGAATGAAAAATCTGATAGATTTTACTGTCCAAAATGTGATATTTTACTTGTGGAAAAATATAAGCAAAAGGAAATCCAAAAAGATGAGGAAAATATTTGCTCACTTATAACTGAAAAAAAAATATTATTTTAATATATACATACATTCTAAAACAATAAAAATATAATTTCTCAGGAGAAAAGTAACTAATACACATGAAAAATTCACAAACAAAAAACACAAAGAATTAACATGTTTTAAATATTGAAACTCTCTGTTAACCAATTACCAGAGAGCTGAAATAATCACATCTAATTAAAAAGAGAAAGTAAAATAAAAGACGGCCTTCCTCAGCATCCATAAAAAGTCCTCTTAAAGGTGTTGTAAGACAGATGAGTCACTTTCTGCCTTTTGCAGGGCAATGTATAATCTTAAAAGATATACAGCACAAATTATATTACTAGAAATTCATTATAATTTATTCCAAGAAAAATTTAGATGTTATCATGAAGATTTAGGAAAAAGAAAGTTTCTTTCAGATATTTTATTTAAATTAAACTTGTAAATAATCAAACAAAAAGAACTAGTTAAAAATCTTGAGAGAAACACAGAATTAAATATTGTGGTACTCTTAAAAGTAATGATTTTTAATACATATATTTTTAAGAAACTTGAAAATATATAAACTGGCAATTAAAATTTAAGCATAACCTCTCATGTTATGAACAATAAGGAAAGATTTACAAATGTACACTATCACTTTGCTTAAGGGCATTGGGGAAGACACAAGACAATGAAGAATTGCTAGAACAATATTCCACTAAAGGAAAATCTAGAGCAATTTTTTCAGCAGAAGGAAAATGCTCCCAATATAACTCACAAAAAAAATATAGATTTTAAAAAAAGTATGTAAGGGACAATGGGAATATACTGCCTGTATTAAAAAAATTCTAACAATGATTGCAGGGAAAATATAGATACGTATGTACGTGCATGTGTGTGTGTATTTATGTATTTATATTTATGTTTATAAGTATAAATATATGATGTATTCTGTATTATACAGATTATATGATTACATATGCTTATTCATATTTATAAATATTATGAATGCATTTATACTTATGGAATATATTTTGTATGTTTATAAATATATACATCTATCTATATAAATATTTATCTAGAGGTATAAACATGTAGATATCTCTATCACTGGGTTGTCCCAGAATACAATAAAAGTATAAACAGTAGACCTTGATAAATAAAGAATTTATTTTATAATTTCTAGGTTAACTACGAAAAGAATAGCCATAAAGTTTTAACTTTTTTCTGTCCTATTATTTCATAGTTATAAAGTATCAAACAATTAAAAAACAATTCAAGAAAAGATAGGCGATACACAGAATAGATGAACCACAGAGAAAGGAAACAGTAAGGTGATAGATATAAAATCAAATATAGGTAGTAGTGAGTTAGGTTATAAAAAATGAACTGAAAAAGTTCTGGTATCTGGAAATAGCCAGGTAGGTTGTGTAAACTCACCCTGCTACAGAAAACAATTATAATATCTCAAAAAAAAGAAAAACCCTACAAAGACAAGTATTTAAAGAAATTAGAAAGTGACCAAAAGCAGCTACAAATTGTAAAAGTGTATCAGTTCCTAAAAAGAAAAAAAAAAGGTGGCATAAAACTGTAGCATTATTGGCTGGAAATATGAGAGGGTTGAGTTCAGTTCTGGTAGAGTGACTAAAGACGATGGGAATTCTGGACAAGAGAAAAGCTATAGAATGAATGAGTTTCAAAATCTGTATATGAATGCATTCACATTTTTGGCTGATGATTGAACTATGCATATAAAGGGGAAAAAGCAGTAGGCCCAACAACATTTGTCAGTTAGAAACAAATCACTGAATAGATATTTTGGTTGCTACTCATTGCAGAGCAGGCAAAGTTTAGTTTGAATCCAGCCAAGTTAACTACCTGCTATACAAGTTTAAATAGTTTGCAGAGTGACACTGAAATCGAGGATCACCGTAATTTATTATTCAAATTGTCACATATCAGAAAAAAAAATTAATAAACATGGGAAAAAATGAAAATATGACAATAATCAAGGAAAAAGACAACTCAGTAAAAACCAACTCTGAGAGTACTCGGATGATGTAGTTATAATATGTTCAAATATTTGAGGAAAAGTTTTAAGAAATAAACAGATTGGAAATGTAGTAAAAAGTAAAAAAAAAAATTTAAAGGAACCAAATACAAATTCTAGAAGTAAAAGTGCCATAAATAAAATGAAAATATCCGATGAATGAACTTAACAGCAAATTGAAATTGGTAGAAGAAAATATAAGTGCCTTAATGATTTACCAATAGGAATTTTACTATCTGATAAAAAGGGGGGAAAATGGAGAAAAATAAGCAGAGCCTCTGTGACTTACGGAACAATTTTAAGTAGTTTATTCCATATGTAATTAGATTCACAGCTGGAGTTTGGTAAAAAGAAAAAAAAATTGAAAAAATTTAATGTCTCCAAGTACCACTAATGTGCTGAAACATACAAATTACACACTCAAAAAGCTCTGCAGACACCAAGCAGCATATAGATACAAAGAGACCACATGCAGACACATACTAGACATACTGCTGAAATCCAGTGATAAAAAGAAAATCTTGAAAGAAACCAGAGGAGAAAAGATACTTTACATAGAGAGCAACAAAATATATAATGATACTTGACTTTTTATTAAAAAGAATGAAGGTCAGAAAGCAACAGAAAGCCACATTTTAGATGCAGGCATAAACAAAAAAAAAATCAAAAACATTGTATATGATAAACCTATCCTTCATAAATAAAGCCAAAAGCCTTAACAAAATTTTAGCTAAAGAGTCCACAAAATCATAATGCTGCATGACCATAGGGTTTATCCAAAGAATGCAAGGTAGTTAACATTAAAAAACAAATCCTTGTAATTCACGATATTAAAATATTAAAAAGAGCAAAATCATATAATTATCACAATAAGTACTTTAAAAGTATTTGAAGGAAACTTTCTTAACCTAATGAAGACACCTAGAAAAACACCAGTTAATATTACAAAGAATGGTTAAAGACAGAACGTTTTTAAAGAAATAAACAAATAATAAAATAAAAATTAGAAAGGAGAAAGTAAAGCAGTATTTGCAGACCACCTAATGGCTTAACTGGAGAATCCCAGTTAATCTACAAAATATCTACTAAAACCAGTAAATGAGTTTGATAAGCTCATCAGATACCAGGTGAATAAACGAAAAACAATTTTATTTCTACACATTAGTGACGCATAATTAGAATTTTAAAGATATATTCTTGCCTTTTACCCAAGTATCAAAAAGCATTAAATACTAAAGAACATATTTTAAAAATATACAGGCGATCTATTTCAATAGAAAGTATGACACATTTCTTTAAAAATTATTAGAAATTGTAAAAATAAATATGTTTAAAATAAGCAACAATATTGATAAAAATTAACTATTTCTAAATTTGTTTGCAAATACAACTCAAATCAAAACCTGGGCAGATTTACTTCAGAAATTAAAACATTGATTCTAAACTTTATAGGAAACACAAAAGATCTTGAATAGCCAAAACACTTTTGAAAAGTGGACCAGTTGGAGGTCTGACATACATCATTTCAAGATTTACAATATAGCCATAGCATTCAAGACAGTGATGCATTAACATGAAGATGGACATAGAAATCAATGGATAGAACAGAATTCAGAAATACAGAATTCAATGAGCAAGGTAATGATAGTCTTTTAAACAAGTAGTACTGAAACAAATGAAAATTGATTTCTTAAAAAAGAACCTCAACCTTTATACCATATACAAAAGTTAACTCAAAATGTTGATGAATCCAAATGATAAATTATTTAGCTGTTAGGAGAAAATGAAGGAGAAATGTTTGTAACCTTGGGTTATACAAAGATTTCTTACATAAGAACCCAAAAGAACAAATTTAAAAATTGACAAATTGTACTTCACAAATATTGAAACTTTCTGCTCTTCAAAAGTTAGTATTAGGAAAATGAAAAGGCAAGTTACAGAATGGGAAAAAATATTTGTGATTTTTATATTTGATAAAAGACTTACATCTGGAATATAAAAAGCACTTTTAGAAGTCAATTTTAAGATGACAGTCAACAGTTTTAAATTGGTAAAGATAAAGATTTTGGATATAAATAAAGAAAGCCAATAGTACATAAAATACATGCATTAGCTATCAACGAAATATTTAAGATACCAATGCACACACATTAGAATGTCTAAATTTAAATAGACTGGCAATATAAAGCAATTTTTATGATATAAGGCAGTTGGAAATTATCCTCTTTTATAATGTAAAATGTTATAATTACTTTGAAAAAGTGTTTGGTATTTTTTAAGACAACTCAATTTACACTTATTATGTACCTCAGTGATTCTGCAAATGAAAGCACATGTACACAAGAAAACCTTTTACATAAATATGCATAGGAACTTATTTTTCATAGCTTAAAATTAGAAGCAGTGCAACATTTATTAGCAGGTAAATAGAAAAAAATTGTGGTAGAAGGGAGGGGGAAAAAGAAAATAGAATAGAACCCTCTAGCAATCATCTCTCCAGAGAAACATCAGTTTTTTAACAACTATCCATGCAAGAAAACACCTTTACAGGAGAAAACAACAGCAACAACAACAACACCAAAAAGAAACCAGTGATAGATCACAGTACCCGGTTTTAGCATAATAATTAGAAAAGATACATTTAAGAGGGTAGGAAAGACAATCTCACGTTGCCTACACCACTGCTCCCCCAACCCCAAGCAGTATAATGCAGAAAATCTGTCCACTTGAGAAAGTGAGAGGAAAGTGTACATAGATTTGGAATTGGAAACTAGTACCAGCCTTGTCAGAGTAAAACACAATACCAGAGAGAACCCAGCAGCTCCTGATTCCAGGACAATGCCCCCAGACAAAGCTCCTAGACCTACCATGGGTCAGATGGGAATCTGAGGCCCCAGTAAGATGAACCCAAATCCAAGCCCATTTCACCACCAAATGACTGAAGTGACTTGGACTCCAAATAAAAGTAAATTTATTTGTAATACATTTGTAATTAATTACTTTTATTTGGAGTTGAAGTCTACTCTAGTCATTTGGTGGCAAAGTGGGCTGTAACAACTATTTTCCATGGCTGAGCCTCAGTGCTGTGCTAGTCTGGGAGGCTGTGGGCTTCAGGTGTGACTCATCATGACATCAGCTGCAGTGGCCATAAAACTGCCTGTGTCACACCTCCCCCAACTTCAGATGGCACATTGTGGAAACCTACTCCTTCCATTTGGAGGAAGGAAAGAAAAGTGGGTAAGGAACTTTGCCTGGGGACACAGGGAACTGTCCCTGGTATTCCTCAAGTATAACAGGGCTGGGCACATTGGAGTTGGCCAGAGGTTCACAGCAAAGATGGGCTTCGTGCACCCTCTAGTGCTAAAATGGTTGAAGTGACCACGGGCTCTCAACATTCAGTCCCTCTTCGAATTCCTGGAAAGCTCTCTGAAGAAGGATGGGTAGAAACAAGGCCACACTATGAAGACTGAAATAAATCTTCAGAGCCAACATATTGACATATGTCCACAGTTATCAAGAACATTAAGAAAAATATAACCTCACCAAATAAACTAAAAAAGGTGTCAGTGACAGACCCTGGAGAGATGAAAATAGTGACCTCTCAGACAAGGAATTCAAAAGAACTGTTTTGAGGATGCTCACCAAATTTCAAGAAAACACAGAAGCAATTCAGAAGTTTATCAGAGAAATTTAACAAAGAGATTAAAATAGTGAAAATTGAACAATCCCAGAGCCGAAAATAACAATGGATGAAGTCAAAAACATATTAGAGAATTTCAGCAGAAAACCCTATCGAGAAGAAGAAAATGTTAGTGAGGTCAAAGACATGCTACATGAAAATACACAGTCAGAAGAGAAAAAAGAGAAGACTGAAAAGAAACAAAGGCACTTGTGAAATCCACGGATCAAAGAGGAAATAGAAGCATCATTGATCTTCAAGAGGGAGTAGAGTAAGGAAAAGGGGTAAAAAGCATACTTTAAAAAATAATAACAGGAAACTTTTTAAACCTAGAGAAAGATGTAAATGTCCAGTTACAGAAAGGACAAAGATCATGAAGAAGATTCAACCCAGGAAATGCAAATAAAAACCACAATGAGATACCATCTCATACCAGTCTGAATGGTTATTAGTAAAAAGCAAAAAAAAATAATAATAACAGATTTTAGTGAGGTTGTGGAGAAAAAGGAATGCTTATACACTGTTAGTGGGACTATAAATTAGTTCAACCATTGTGGAACATAGTGTGGCGATTCCTCAAAGGCCTAAAAACGGAACTACCATTTGACCCAGCAATTCCATTACTGGCTATATGCCCAAAGGAATGTAAATTGTTCTATTATAAAGACACAGGTACAGGGATGTTCACTGCAGCAATATTCACAATAGCAAAGACATGGAATCAACCTAAATGCCCATTAATGGCAGACTGGATAAAGAAAATGTGGTACATATACACCATGGACCACTATGCAGCCACAACAAAGAATGAAATTACGCCCTTCACAGAAACATGGATGGAGCTGGAGGCCATTATCCTTAGCAAACTAATACAAGAACAGAAAAACAAATACTGCATGCTCTCACTTATGAGTAGGAGCTAAATGATGAGAACATGTGGACACAAAGAAGTGAACAACAGACAAGGGGGCCTACTTGAGGGTGAAATGAAGAAGGAGGGAGAGGAGCAGAGACAACAACTAGTGAGTACTACATTTATTACCTGGGTGACAAAAAAAAATTATACAAAACCATGACACAAGTTTACCTATATAACAAACCTGCACATTTTTATTTATAAAATAAAAAATATTTTATTTACAAAATAATGTTTATTTTGTAAATAAAAATTAAATAATCACATTGAGACACCATGAAAAAAAAAAAACATTCAACCCAAATAAGACTATACAAAGGCATATAATAATCAAGCTCTCAAAGGTGAAAAACAGAAGATCCAAAAAGCAGAAAGAGTAAAGAAGAAAAGAACATATATAGCAACTCTGATACAACTGTTAGCTGACTGTGCTGTGGAAACCTTGCAGGTCAGGAGGAAGTGGGATGACATATTCAAAGTGCTAAAGAAAAAATCCTGTTTACCAAGGATATTTTACCTGAAAAAGCTATCCTTCAAACATAATGAAAAGAAAAAAGCTTTTCCAGATATAGAAAAGCTGTGGGAATTCATCATCACCAGTAATATCTTATAAGAAATGCTCAGATGGATTTTTCAATCTAAAATAAAAGGATTCTAATGTGCACTAAGAAAACATCTGAAGGTATGAAACTTGCTGGTAAAAGTGAGTATACAGACAAATTCACAATACTGTAAATTGTAATTGTGGTATGTAAACCACTTATATCTTAGTATGAAAACTAGAATGCAAAACTATTAAATTAATCATTAAATACTATTACATAAATAGTTTAATTATTGATAATTAATATTAAGTATTAAAAAGTTAATAGTTTAATACTATTAAAAATAATAATAGCTACTATAATTTGCTAAGAGATCATCCATATAAAAAGATATAAATTAAGATATCAAAAAGTCAAAACTGGAGGATTATTAAAGTATAAAGGCTTTTAGTTTGAATGTTTCTCTTTTTTTCTTTTTGCAACCAAATTTAAAGTGTCATCAGTTTAAAATAAATTGATATAACTATAAGATGTTCTTTGTAAGCCTCATTGTAACTACAAACCAAAAACCTATAATGGATACACTAAAAATAAGATAAAGAATGAAAACATACTACAAAAGAAAATCACTTAACATGAAGGAAGAAGGGAAGAGAGGAGTTATGAAACAACCAGAAAACAAGCAACAAAATGGCATAGTAAGTCCTTATATATTAATAGTAACAATGAATGTAAATGGATTCACTTCTCCAATTGAAAGACATAGACGGGCTTAATGGATAAACAAGAGAAAAAGACCAAACTATATGCTGCCTCTAAGAAACTCACTTCACCTATAAAGACATGCATACACTGAAAGTGAAGGGATGAAAAAAGATATTCCATGCAAATGGAAATCAAAAGGAAACAGGAATAGCTATACTTAGATAAAATAGACCTTTAGTCAAAAACACTAAAAAACACAAAAAGGCCATTATATAATAATGTAGGTGTCAGTACAGCAAGAGAATGTGACAACTGTAATTATGTATGCACCCAACAATGCAGCACCTAAATATATAAAGAAAACAGTAAAAGACATAAAAGGAGAGATCAACTGCAATCCAATAATAGCAGAGGACTTCAATACCTCATTCTCAGCAATGGACATATTATTCAGATATAAAATTAACACAGAAACATCAGAGTTGAACTCCCCTCTAGACCAAATGGACCTAATGGACATTTACAGAACCTTCTGACGAACAACTTCAGGATACACGTTCTTCTCAACAGTATGTGGAACATCATCCAGAATAGACTACATGTTAGGCCACAAAACAAGTCTTAACAAATTTTTGGAAATTGAAAATATATCAAGTATCTTTTCTGACAATAATAGAATAAAACTAGAAACCAATAACAGGAGGAACTTTGGAAAATGTACAAATACATAGAAATTAAACAACATGCTTAAGAAGAGCCAGTGGGTCAATTAACAAGCTAAAAAGAAAATTTAATGATTATTGAGCCAAATGAAAATTGAAACACAACATACCAAGACTGATGGAATATAGCAAAAGCAGCTCTAAGATAGAAATTTATCACAATAAATGCCTGCATCAAAAAAGTAGTAGATCTCAAATAGATGACCTAACGTGGCACCTCAAGGAACTAGAAAAACAAGAACAATCTAAACCAAAAATAATAAGAAAAGAAATAAAGACCAGAGCAGAAATAAACAAAACAGAAATTAAAGATAATACAGAAGATCAACAAAACCAAGAGTGGGTATCTTGAAATGATAAACAAAATTGGCAAACATTTAGCTAGACTAAGATAAAAAAAAAAGAAACCTCAAGGAAAAAAATGTAAAAGGAGACATTACAAATGATACCACAAAAATGCAAAAAAATTTGATACTACTATAAACAATTATACTCTAACAAATTGGAAAACCTAGAGGAAATAAAGTCCTGGACACGTATAGCTTGCTAAGATTGAATCTTAAGGCCATGGAAAACCTAAGCAGACCAATAATGAGTAACAAGACCAGAGCTGTAATAAAAAGTCTCCCATCAAAACTCAGGACCTGATGACTTCACTGCTGAATTCTATCAAACATTTAAAGAATTAATACCAATACTACTCAAAGTCTATTAAAAAATTGAAGAGGAGGGATTACTTCCAAACTCATTCTATACAGCAAGAATTACCCTGATACCAAAATCAGACAAGAACCCATTAAAGTAAAAAAAAAACCTATAAGCCAATATCCCTGATGAATTTCAATGCAAAAACCCCACACAAAATCCTACCACGCTTAATTCAACAACACATTAAATAGATCATTCATCATGACCAAGTGGAATTTATCTCAGGGATACAAGGATGGTCAATATATGTAAATCAATAAATGTAATACATTACATTAGCAGAATCAATGATCAATGACAAAATCTACATGATCATTTCAATAGATGCATAAAAAGCATTCAATAAGATTCAATATCCCTTTATAATAAAAAAACTCAATAAATTGGGTATACAAGGAACATACCAACACAATAAAGGCCATACATGACAAACCTTCTGCTAACATGATACTGAACAGGGAAAAGTTGAACAATTTTTTTTAAGATCTGGGACAACATCAGGATGCCCACTTTCATCACTTTTTTTTTAACATAGTACTAGAAGTTCTATCCAAATAAGTTAGGCAAGAGAAAGAAATAAAGAGCAACCAAACTGGAAAGGAGGAAGTCAAATTGTCCCTATTTGCAGATGACATTATTATATATATAGAAAATCCCAAAATTACACCAAAATTGTTAGAATTAAAACAATGAATTTAGTAAGCATACAAAATTAACATACAAAAATAATAACAAACAAAACCAAATTAAAATTAGGACATTTGAGTGGACTCTGGTTTTATCAAAGGGGAAATTTGAACACAGAGACAGACATGTATAGACAATGTGAATACGTACAGGAAAAAGATGGCATGTGATTGGCATGATGTATTCACAAGCCAGAGAGCACACCAAGGATGGCTAGCAAACGCCAGAAACTAGAAGCGGCAAAGAAGGATTCTACTCTTCAGTCATCAGAGACAGCATAGCCTTGCCAACACCTTAATTTTGGACTTTCAACCTCAAGAACTGTGAGACAATAAATTACTATTGTTTTAAATGACACAGTTTTTGGTATACTATCAACTATAGGTCATCATTAGTTCCTAAAGACCTTTCTCATCTCTGATTCATAAACTCCATCTTCAAAGCCAGCAGAGCCACAATGAGTTCTTTGCATGCTTTAAATATCTCTGACTTCCCCTTCTGTCACATCTCTCTTCTACTTCCGATTAGAGAAAGTTCTCTGTTTTTAAAGGTTTACGTGATTAGATTGGGCACATCTAGATAACCCCGATAATCCAGGATAATCTCCTTATTTTAAGGTCTATAACCTTAATAACACCTGGAAATTTCCTTTTGCCATGGGATATATTCACAGGTTCCATTAGGATGTGAAGGATTTTCCTTTTTTTTTTTTTTTTTTTGAAAGAGGGGCATTCTGTCTACCACACTGATAGACATGGTATCATATAAATTTTTAAAAATGACTATGCTGAGCAAAATAATCCAGACACATAAAGAGCTCATACTGTATCATTCGATTTCTATGATACTCTAGAAAAGAAAATCTGAAATGTAGTGTTGGAAAGCAGATCAGTGAATTTATGGGTCTACAGGTCTACTCACTGAAAAGGGTAAAAAGGAATCCTTTGGGGGAGATGGAAATATGTATATCTTTATTGTCATGTTTACATGGGTGTGTTCATTTCTCTAAACTCATCAAACCATATATTTCAGTTGTGTTCACTTTAATTTAGGTAAAATATGCCACAATATATTTAATTTTAAAGTGTAATTAACATTACCAAGGTGAAGAAAAATCATATGGTAAATAGATATAGAAAAATATTAAATATTATTCAGCATTGATTTGTGAAAGAAATAACAATGATCTCTATGTTCATCTACATAGAAAAATACATTGTGGTATACAAAACAGAAGAGTAAAACAGCAACAACAGTACAGCTATAAGCAAATACATGGATGTTTCTCACATAATAATGATGTGATAAAGAAGCAAGACAGGGAAGATTAAATACAATATGATTTAATTTCTGTGAAGTTTAAAACAGGAAAAACTAAATTAGCTTAGAAATTTGCACAACTTTTCATTATAATGACCATTTAAGAATGGCCAAAAGAAATTTTAAGGTACTAGAAGACACTTTGTCCTCCTTTCCAGAAACTGCATGAAAAACGAGCAGGAGCTTAGAACAAGATAGCCATCTAGATGCTGCCAGTAAGAATTTTTCCCACTGACAGAGACAAGGATATCCAGTAGGCCGGCATGCTCCAAACAGATATTCAGGCTGAATATACTGAGAGTGGATAGAGAAATGATGTAGACACTGGGGCTGAAAGGGAAAGAAGCTGGGAACCCTGAATGGGGTTGCTGAGTGCGAGGACTCATTCCTAACCCTCAATGTCTCCTAAAGAAGGAGTAAGTGAAATATATGGAGAGTAGCCCACTCTCACTATATACCTCCGAGATCCTAGCTGCAGGCAGCCCCATGACTCCCATGGACACTTGAGTTGGCAGGGGGAGCTAAAAAGATAGGAGGCCAAGACAGAAACTGAATTGACATGGAGCCCAGGTGCTTTAGCAGAGGGGACAGCTGCAAGGAAACATGGCCTTAGGCACCAATCCCACAATGTTTCCAATATTTCTTTAGGTGGCTTTGGCTTTGTTATCTGCTAGACCTGGAGAGAGCAGGTCTGTCTTTCCCATGCATGGAGGCAACTCTGATCTGTGTGCCCCTCTATCCAATGGCCCCACCAAGAGTCTCTGCTTGGCTATATCAGCTCATAACACAGCCTTAGCTGCCCCACTGGAGCACTTTTGCTAGCAGACACTGCCATAGCACTTTTGCAGGCAGGCCCTGCCACCCCACCAGAGCACTTTTGCTGGTGGTCCCCCAACAGAGCATGTTTAACACTGGTACATCCACACTACCCTGCCAGAGTACTTCCACCTTGGGTCTTCCCAGCCATGCCACTGTAGCACTTCCACCTGCAGCTACCAAAGGAACACGATTGCCAGTGATCTGGGACAACCTGAGCCTCTCCACAGCACATCCAGTGTTTGGCCTCAAGTGGCCAGAGGATAAAGCCACAGTCCTAATCCCAGAGTTAAAGCATGCAGCCCAGTGCCGAGCCTTGGCACCCTCAATGCATTTAAAAATGAAGCCATTTGACTATACTCAACATGCCCCACAGTCAAACCCTCAAGGGCAGTAAAGAACATAAAAACAAAAAGCGCTGTCCAAAGGACAGGAACCTCAAAGGATAAAGGAACATTACCCCTCACAGATGAGAAAGAACTAGTGCAAGAACTCTAGTACCTCTAAAAGCTGGGGTATCGGCTTATCTCTAAATGATCATACCAGCTATCTAGCTTCATAACAACATTGAAATGACTGAAGTGTCAGAAATAAAATTTGGAATCTGGATGGCAAGGAAGCTCAACAAGATATATAAGAAAGTTAAAACCCAACTCAAGGAAAACAGTAAAATGATTTGAGAATTGAAAGATGACATAGCCCTATTAAGAGACAATCAAACTGAAGTTCTGCAAATAAAAAAAGTACTACAAGAATTTCATAATACAATTGGAAGCATTAACAACAGAATAGAACAAGCTGAGGAAAGAATCTCAGAGCTTGAAGACCACTCCTTTGAAGCAACATAGGCAGACACAAGTAAAGAAAAAGACTTAAAAAATGAATAAAACCTCTAAAAAATATGAGATACGTAAAGAGGCCAAACCTGCAACTCATTGGCATTCCTGAAAGAGTGGGAGAGCAAGCAACTTGGAAAACATACTTGAGGATAGAGTCCACAAAAATATTTCCAATCTCACTAGAGAAGTTAACATGCAAATTCAAGAAATTCAGAGAATCCCTGTTACTTAAGGTAGTGATAAACATGGAAATAAAAGAGCAATACCTGTCACCACAAAAACACACTTAAGTATGTAGCCCATTGACACTATAAAGCTAATAACACAAAGACAGGATCAAATCCTTACATATCAATATTGACCTTGAATATAATGGGCTAAATGCCCCACTTAAAAGGCAGTGTGGCAAGTTGGATAAAAAAGCAAGGCCCAACTCCCTGCTGTCTTTAAGAGACACATGCAATAAGTAATGACACCCACAGGCTCAAAGTAAAGGGACAGAGAAAGATCTACCAAGCAAATGGAAAACAAAATAACAATGGTTGCTATTCTTTCATGAGATAAAAAAGACTTTAGCATGGAATACTGCACAGCCATACAAAGAAATGAAACCATGTCCTTTGAAGCAACATGGATGCATCTAGAGTCCATTATCCTAAGCAAACAAACATAAGAACAGAAAACCAGATACCACATATTCTCACTTATAAGCAGGAGCCAAACACTGAATACACATGAACACAAAGATGGGAACAATAGACTCTGGGAACTACTTGACAGGGAAGAGTGGGAGGGGGGCATGGGTTGAAAGACTACATATAGGGCACTGTGCTCACTACCTGAGTGATGGGATCATTTGTACACCAAACCTCAGCAACACACAATTTACCCATGTAACAAACCTTCACATTTACCCATCGAACCTAAAATAAAAGTCAAGAGTAAAAGAAGAAAAAGGAGCATGATGGTTCCTAGAAGAAAACATAGATAAATTTCTTCTAACTTAGGTCGGGCAAAAATTTTTCAGAAAAGTCACAAAAAGAACAAACCATAAGGAAAAAATAATAAATTAAATCTCATCAAAATAAAAACTTACACTTATCAAAATAACCGTTAAAAAACAATCTGGCAAGCCACAGAGTGGGAAGAAATAGAAACAACAGATAATTTGACAAAGGACTTTGATCCAGAACAAATGGCAACTCAATGAAAAAATGGTAAAGATTTTAAGCTGGCCTTCCACATACCTGTTGGCATTTGTTAAAACTAATTCAACCCTTAAAATCTGAACATATTATTGTATATAAACATAACCTCAGTAGAAGTGGAGAAGGATAAATTTGTTGGAACACAGCAGCACATTTTGTGAATTGCTTTAGTAATTATTAAAGGGACCACTACTAAAACAGACTGCAGGTATGGTCAGGGTTTTCACTTTCTCTGTCTTGGAGTCTCTAAATGAAAAATATGCCTATTTTTTTAGATGAAAAATAAATTTGTAAATTGCAATAGTTTAATAAATAAAGTGGAATTAACAAATTAAAATTGGTTTTGTTTTAAAGTTACTAGTCAAATACTTTTGCTAAGCTTAAGAAAAACACTCAAATTCAGAAAAAAATATTTAGACTTCAAAATTGTTTCAACCTTCCACTCTTAAGCTAGAAAAAAAGTACTAAAATTTGCAAAAGCAGAAATTTGTTCTATTTTTTTAGCTTTCAGAAAAATTATACAATCAAGGTCAAAGTTTTATATCTTATACTACAAAGATGTCTTCTATTAAGCCTATTGCTCTTTTTTTTTCCATCGTGATCACTGAAATTCAAACTAACTAACTGTTCTCACTGAGGTTGCCTGTGTCAGGATATTACTGGTAGTTTCAATCAGCCATTCCTAGGTATACACCTTTAAATAAATTTCTAAGTGGATATAACCATATTAACCCAAAGCTTAATTCCTGTCCCAGTAGAATAATATTTTAATACTTAAAATAGGGAGGCAAAGGTAGGCAGATCACTTGAGTCCAGGAGTTTGAAACCAGCCTAGGCAATGTAGTGAGACCCCATCTCTGCTCTATATGTATATACAAAAATTAGCTGGTCATGGTGGAATGTGCCTGTAGTCCCAGCTACCCTGGAGGCTGAGGTGGGTGGATCACCTGAGCCCAGGAGGCGGAGGTTGCAGTGAGCCATGATCATGCCACTCCACTCCAACCTGGGCAATAGAGCAAAACCTTGTCTCAAAAAGGGAAAAAAAGTGCTTAAAAATTTATTTTCATTCAAACTGCATAATGTGGCAATACAAATCAAATGAGTCTAATTTTGTGTTAAAATTTTTTCTTTTAAGAATCTGAAGGTAATGAGTTATAACATAAGCCAGTTTTAGCCCAAACTGTTAAAAAATTTTATTATTTTTTAAATTGCTTTTCTGAATTAGTTTTTTGTACCAACCCAAATTTCCCTTTTACTTTACTAGACTATCTTTACAGAGTTTCCAGTTGGGACACTTCCTCACATAATTTAATTTTCTTTGTATATCTGAAATACAGAGTACATATACCATTTCTTCAGGAAAGCACATGAGGAATACATTTTTGAATAATCCAAAAACTATTTCCATTCTGAGTGATCAAATTTGGTTACCTAGACAGACTCAGTTTACCAACTTGTCAATATTTCAACTTCATTTTTCAGTGTGAGGATTTGAGTATCCAATATATATAGCTAGATCTTCCATTTATTGAGTGTTTATCTTATATCAGACAACACTCTACAGGCTTTACATATAATGCTGATTTCTTCTGTATTAAATCCATTCAAGATGAGTATTACTTTTACCATTTAACCCTTAGACTGAGGCTCAGGGATATTAAGCACCTTGCCCAAATTTGCACCATAAGAAAGCAGAAGAGTTGGAATTCAAGTTCAGGTCTTTTGACTTAACCATTATATCACATTTAACCATTATATCACACTGCCATCTACAATTTCAGAAAGCTTTCAAATGCCTTGAATTTACCTTATTTATTATTGCTCCCAAATCACTTGTTAAATGGTTAATTCATAATGAAAGCAAAAAGCATTTGTTTTCTCAGAAATTGTTAATACCATTATTAGAACATTTATATTTATTCCTGGTCTACTTTCTGAAAGTAAAATCAACAGATATTGTAATTTAAGTTAGGGTAATATTTTTCAGGTATTCTTAATTCTTTAATGAAAATTATAAAGGTTTTGTAACTAATATTTTGTAATTCAATATTTTCTAAACATCTGTGAAATTCATGCTCTAATTATTAAAACAGATTTCTATACTATTTTTCTATTAAATTGTATATACTGTTAGTCGTATATTTGTTTACACATTATATGTCAAAGAGGACTGCTCTAAGTTCTTGCTTTTTCACCTATTACATCCATCTTTCATCGTGAGCAAACTGAAAGCTGAGTTGATGGTTCATAAAATCCCCTGAAGTGAATTCATTTCAGGTTGCTCTTCCATTTTATTTTTGCACATGACATGTTTTACAGAGGCCATCAAAGTCATATTTTCATTTGGTGTGAATTAAAAACAGATAAAATCTGAAATTTGGCAGTATAAAACTGTAAATATCTTGTCAACATGCTATTTAATGAAGCTATTTATAACTCCACATTTTACTTAAAGCAGTCATATGCCATATTTTGAAATTTGCTTGTTTGTGGATGATGGAAATTCTAAATAATATTCAATTAACCTTTGTGTAAGAAGCAGTGTGACATATGGAAAAAAATATATAGACTGTAAATGGAAAGTACCTAATCTCTTCAAGTGCCAGTCTCCTTAGCTGTAAAAACATAGAATTTTGCTTTGCAAGGTTGTTGTGAGGACTAAATAAGATAACACAAGTAAAGTATATAGCAAGCCCTTTATATTTTTAATTAAATGTTGCATGTGTTTTATATACATTATCTTCACAACAGCATGAGAAAAAAGCGCAATTTTATATTTCACAAAGAATAAGAAACAAAGTTTACCTGAGCTCGCAGCAACATGATAATAACATCATAGAATTAATATTTAGTCTTTTGTAGAACACTTCAAGAAGAAATACTGTACGATTAGCAGTCACTTACCATTTCTTCCCAGTCCACCCCTGTATTAATCTGTTCTTGCATTGCTATAAAGAAATACTTGAGGCTGACTGATTTATAAAGAGGTTTAACTGGCTCATGGTTCTGCAGTCTGTACAATCATGGCAGAAGGTGAAGGGGAGAAAGCATGTTACATGGCGAGAGCAGGAGCAAGAGAGGGGTGGAAGGTGTCACACTCTACTGATTTAATTTCATTTATTTATTTTTAAATTTTATTTTAGGTTCAGGAGTACATGTGCAGATTTGTTACATAGGTAAATCGTGAGTCACAGTGGGTGGGGTTGGTGTACAGATTGTTTCATCACCCAGGTAATAAGCATAGTACCTGATAGGTAGTTTTTTGATCCACATCCTCCCGCCACGCTCCACCCTCAAGTAGGCCCTGGTGTTTGTTTTCTCCTGTTCCCTTACTTGTGTCCATATGTACTCAATGTTTAGCTCTCACTTAAAAATGAGAACAGGTGGTGCTTGGTTTTCTGTTCCTGTGTTAGTTTGCCTAGGATAATGGCCTCCAGTTCCACCACGTTGCTGCAAAGGACATGATTTCATTCTTTATTAAGGCTGTGTATTATTCCATAGTGTATATGTACCACATTTTCTTTATCCAGTCTACCATTGATGGGATACTCTTTTAAACAAACAGATTTCCCATGAACTACTAGAATAAGAACTCATTCATCACCAAGGGAATGACATTAAGCCATTCTTGAGGAACCTGCCCTGATAATCCAATACCTCTCACTAGGCCCTACCTCCAACATTAGGTATCCTATTTCAACATGAGATTTGGAGGGGACATGCATTCAAACCACACCAACCTCCCATCTCTAGGCAATTATTTATCTATTTCTTTTGTTTCTTTAGAGTCATCGATACTACACATTTTATACAAATGGAATCAATTTGTGGTTTTCTATGACTGATTTCTTTCTCTTAGCATAATATTTTTTAAATACATCCATGTTGTAGCATGTCTCATAAGTACTTCATTCCTATTGTATTATCAAATAGTATTTTATTCTATGGATATACCATATTTAGTTTAGTCATTGATATTGGTGGACATTTGGGTTGTACCACTTTTTGGCTATTATGAACAATATTGTGTAATAAATGTTATGACTCCATTATTTGACGTTTGACACTTTTTTAAGTCTTACATTTTCCTCTTTTCTTTCTGCTCCATGTCTGGAAAAGCTGATTTAAAGAATCTTGGGTACTCTATCCTTTGGAGTCAATATGAATTTCAAAGTCATGCACAGAAACCCTCAAGCCAGCCCCAAACTGCTGTTTATAAATGAGGAGACAGGTTGAAAGTGGTTAAGCCCCAGCCACATAGGGTGTAGTCATTAAACATTGGTCTTATCTCATCTTTCTTTTCTTCATTTTTGTTCTTTCCAATTTAGGGTCTCCTTTACTATCTACATTCCTGGTTTAAAAAGTACCATTTTTTAAACACAAATTTAATTCAGAGGTATTCATGTATATGTAATTAAAATACTTTTATTTAATGAGTTCCTGATTTATTTTGTAAATCCAGACTTTTATGACATGATTATTTTTTGATGCATTTGCTTATATTTTCACAGTTGAACATAGGGGAGGGATATAGAATATACCAAAATATCATTATAATGATGGTATGAAAATGAAGCCAGTCGCATGAAAAAGTTATATTACCCTATCTCTTAACATTTGGTTTACTAACATACAATGATTGGATATATTTTAGAAATTATATAATAGGTTAATATACACTGAGGTCAACAACATGGTAGAGGAGGAAGCCTTGGATCCTCCTCCTTTACCCCGAAATACACTGATTCAGCAGCAATTCATGGACTAATTATCTTTGTGGGAAATCAGAAATTAATTGAAAATGTACTGTTTCTGTTCTCCTTAGAGGAAGCAAAACGAAACTTATAAAGCCAGTAGAAAGATTTGAGACATTCCTACCCAGGCACAGTACAACATGATCAGGGAAACGCCCTCTAGCTTTCAGATTCACCCAGGGAAAGAAAAAGGTTAGGCAGTGCATTCAGGGTTTTAGCTTTCCTGAAGGGCTCCCCAGAGGTTTGGCTTCTGTCTTGCCAGGCCTGAGCTCTGACGGGTTCAGCCACCTAGGGGAGAATGAAAGTGATGGCTTGAGCTGGTAGGCATTACTAATCCTCATCCTTGCTTAGTACAGAGTAAGGGGTTAAGAAAATCTACCTCCCAGCATCCCTTGAGGAAGAAATGGGTTGGTAGAGGTTCACAAAGAGATGTCTGCTTTGGATAATGTAAAGATGCACACAAAATCAAGGAAAATAAAGACTTAGGCAAAAATGTTTCATACAAAGTAACAAGATAAATCTCCAGAAACTAATGAAACATAGTTAATAATTAACCTAAGAAAGAATTAAAAATATTTTTCATAAAAATGCTTCTTAAGATCAAGAGAACAATGCATGAAAAGTGAGAATTTCAAAAAAGAGAAAATATTAAAATGTGTCAAACAGAAATCATGGAGCTGGAGGACACAATAACTGAACTGGAAAAATTCACTGGAGGTGTTCAACAGCAGACTAGATTAAGCAGAAGAAAGAGTCACTGAACTTAAAGGTATGTCACTGAAAATAATTTAGCCAGAGAAGCAAAAAAATAAAGAAATTTTAAAAAGTGAAGAATGTTTAAGAGAATTATGGGACAGCATCAAATATGCTAATTTAGACATTATGGCAGTCTTAGAAGAGAAAAAGGATAAGAAAGATTAAAGAAATGATGGCCGAATACTTCCCAAATCTAGGGGGAGAATGGACATCAAGGTCCAAAAAACTCACACACTACCAAATAAAATGAACCCAAGGAAATCTACACTGAGATACATTATAATCAAATTGTCAAAAGTCAAAGACAAAAAGAGTATTTTGAAGCAACAAGAAAAAACAACTTGTCACACACAAGGGAGACTTCATGAAGGCTACCAGTAGATTTTCCAGCAGAACTCTTTCAGGCCATAAGGGAGTACAATGATGTATTCAAAGTTCTAAAAGGAAAAATCAGGCAACCAAGAATACTGCACCTTACCTCAAAGATATAGAATCATATAGTATCTATATAGTTACTGTAGTATTCTTATACTATACTATATTAGTCTTACACTATTATATTACAGAATACCACACTATACCTCAAAAGAATAGATTAAAAACTGTCTCAGACATACAATACTGAGGGAGTTCATCACTACTGGACCTGCCTAACAAGAAGTGTTAAAGGCATTTCTTTAAGTTGAAATGAAAAGATAAACAGCAATATCATAATATAAGAAATTATGAAACTCATTGATAAAAGTATATATAGACCAATATAGAATACTGAATTACTGTAATGGTAGTGAGTAACTCACTTTCAATTCTAGTTAAGAATTTAAATGACAAAAGTATTAAAAATAACCATACCTAGAAAAGTTAAATGATTTACAGTATGAATACAGGTAAATTGTAACAATAATACATAACAATACATAAAATATATGGGGGTGAAGAAGTATAGAGATTTCATATGCAATTGAACTTGGGTTTCTATCAGCATAAATACACTATTACAGACTTATATAGACTGTTATACAATAAAATATTTTATGTAAGCCCCAAGGTAACAAAAAAGAACTTATAGAACTTACACAAAGAAAAAGAGAAAGGAATCAAAGCATACCAATAAAAACAAACCAAGACACAAAGTTAAGACAGCAGGAAAAAAATACAAAAGAACTGCAAGACTAATGAAAAATAACTAAGTAAATGGCAATAGTAAATCCTTTGCTATCAATAATCACTTTAAATGTAAATGAGTTATACACACCAATCAAAAGATATTGTGGCTGAGTAAATTTTTAAAAAACAAGACTCAACTCTATATTGTCAACAAGAAACTGATGCCACAAAAATTAAAAGGATAATAAGTGACTATTATAATTATATACCAACACACTGGATAACCAAGAAATGGATACATTCCTGAAAATATACATCCCACTAAGACTAAATCATGAAGACACAGAAAGTCTGAACAGACCTATAACTAGTATTTTGATTGAATCAGTGTTCCAAAACCCTGTGAAGAATTAAAGTGCTAGGACCTGATGACTTTACTGGTAAATTCTACCAAACATTTAAAGAGGAATTAATGCCAATACTTCCCACACTCTTCCAAAAAAAACACATCCAAATCCATTTTATCCAGCATTATTCTGATACCAAAACTAGACAAAAGCACCAAAGGGGGAATGAAAAGCTACAAGTCAATATTTCTGATGAATATATATGCAAAATACTCAATTAAATGCTGGCAAACAAAATGCAACAGCACATTAAAAAGATGATGCTACAAGACCAAGTGGGATTTCCTGCTAGGATATAATAATAGTTCAACACACAAAAATAACTGACCACATAAAAAGAGAAAAGACAAAATGCACATGATTGTCCAAATATTTTCAGAAAAAATGTTTGACAAAATGTAATACCATTTCACAGTTTTAAAAAGTCTTAACAAAGTAGGAATAGAAATAATTACCTCAACATAACAAAGGCTATGTATGACAAGCCCACAACTAACATCATATTCAATGATGAAAACCGAAAGGTTTTCTGTAAGATTAGGAACAAGGCAAAAATGACCACACTCATCACGTACATTCAATGAACACTGGCTTTCCCAGCCAAAGGAAATAGGCAACAAAAGGGGAAAAAAAGGCATCTGATTCAGAATGGAAGAAGTAAAATTGTCCTGTTTGCAGATGACAGAATTTTATGTATGGAAAACCCTAAAACCTCCACCAAAAAACTGTTACAACTAACAAATTCAGTAAAGTTGCCAGATACCAAAACAACATACAAAAATTAGTTGCATTTCTAACTAAAAATCTAAAAATGCAATTAGAAAGATAATCTCCTTTATGTTAGCATAAAAATAATATCTCGAATAAACATAACTAAGGAGATGAAAGACTTGTATATTTAAAAACTAAAAAAAATTGATGAAAGCAATTAAACATAGCACAAATAGGATAATATCCTGTGTTCATACATTAGAAGATTTTTATATTATCAAAATGTCAACACTACCCGATGTGATGAACAAATTCAGTGCAATCCCTATCACAATCTCAGTGACTTTTTTTTACAGAAATATAACAAATAATTCCTTCTATTTACCTTATTTTTAGAGATAGGGCCCTCTTCTGTCATTCAGGCTGTAGTGCAGTTGTCCAAGAATAGCTCACTGCAGCCTCAAACTCCTGGACTCAAGTGATCCTCCCACCTCAGCCTTCCAAGTAGTCTTTAGAGTAGCTGGATTACAGGTACATGACACCACACTCGGCTAACTCTTTTATTTTTAAAAGTTGTATTAGAGATGGCGGTTTCACTATGTTGCCCAGGCTGGTCTCAAACTCCTGGCCTCAAGCAATTTTCCTACCCTCAGCTTTCCACATAGCTGGAATTATTGGTGTGAGCCACTATGTTCAATAGAGAAAACAATTCTAATACATGGAACCACGAAAGACCAAAAATAACCAAATCAATTTTGAAAAAAAAAAACAAAATTGGAGGCATCACAGTTCCTGACTTCAAAGTATATTGCAAAATCATAAAGACAGACATGTAGACCAATGAAACAAACTAAAGAGCCAAGAAATAAATCCAGACATCTGGTGTCAACTGATCTTTGACAAGGGTGCCCAGAATACACAATGAGGATATCCACATGCAAAAGAATAAAATTGAACTCCTATCTTACCAGCATACACAAAGATCAACTCAAAATGTATTAGAGATTTAAATATAAGACCTGAAACTGTAAAATTCCTAGAAGAAAACATAGGGGGAAAGCTTCATGATATTTGTCATAGACATTGTTTAATGGATTTGACATTAAAAGCACAGCAACAAAATCAAAAATAGACAAGTGGGACTATATCCAACTAAAAAGCTTCTGCGCAGCAAAGGAAATAATTCACAAGTAAAGAGAAGCCTATGGAATGAGAGAAAATATTTTCAAACCATATATCTGATAAGGGATTAAGCTCTAAAATATATAAGGAACTCTTATAAATCAATAATAAAATCCTGATTATAAAGTGGGCTAAGGACTCAAATAACATTTTTCCAAAGAAGACATACATAGGTCAACAGGTAAGTGAAAAAGTACTCAATGCCACCACTTACCAGGGAAATGCATATTAAAACCAAAATGAAATATATCATACTCAGCAATATGACTATTATCGCACACATTAAAAATAACAATATGAGTTGGTATGAAGGTGAAGAAATTGTCACTCTTGCATGGTGTTGGTGAAAATGCAAAATGGTGCAGACACTATGGAAAACAATATGGAGGTTCCATGAAAAATTAAATACAGAACTATCATATGATCCAGCAACCCCACTTCTGGGTATTTATCGAAAATATTTTAAATCAGGATCTGAAAAATGATATTAGCATTCCTATGTTTATGACAGCAATAACAATACCTAAGATGTGAAAACAATCTAAATGTCCATTGACACTTGAATGAATATACAATGGTATATATACACAAAAGATTACTCAACCTTAAAAAAGAAAGACATCCTGCCATTTGCAATAACATCTATGGACCTTGAGGACTTTATGCTAAGTGAAATAAGCCAGTCATAGAGAAAAATACACTGCATAATTCCACTTATATGAGGTATCTAATATAGTTAAATTTATAGAGTCAAAGAATAGAAGGGTAGTTTCTAGGGGCAAAAGGGGAGTTATCAATCAAGGGTCTTAAAGTTTCAGTCAAGCAAGATGAATAGTTCTAAAGATATGCTCTACAACATTCTACCTATCGTCAACAATAAGGTATTGTATACTTAAAAATTTAAGAGGCTAGATGTCAAGTCTTCTTACCACAATAAAATAAAATAATAAATACATTAAAATACAGATACACTTTAAAGTTGGGGTATTCTATAAAACATTAAATTGAAAATTGAATACCTTATTTATAATATGTATGTAAATGAGCATTTAGCATAAATTACAAATATTTGCCATGATGCACTTGAAATTGCTGATAAATTTATGTATTATCATTGATAAATTTTCCTAATGTTGTTATCATTCAAGGTAAATGTAGCCAAAATTTTTTGGCTTTTCTCAAAACCTTTTTGTCACTCCAAAATTGCCACCATCATTTTGGAATTCTTCCAGTCATCTCTACACTCTTTGTCAGTAAGGAAAAAGTTGGGGAGTGGATGATGTAAAGAAAGGACAGTTCTTTAATCTTTTGACAAAACTATTTGATCTTGGAGACATGCCGTACACTCAGAGTCAACTGTTCCTACTTTACTATCAGTACAGTTGGGGTTACTGAAACATTACTTATTTGACACAACTTTGGCTATGAAATGGAGGGACAAAGAACAGTTACTAAAATCTATATTAGCTTAAGTTTCTAGGCTTAATATGGAAAATTTTATATTATCAGACAGTACTTTCTAATGATGGCCATAGACAGTGCCATTACCTACTGTGAATTATCCCTTCCATCACTTGTTCACTTACTCTTATAACTACATTCTTTATGCTATGCAATGTGTTAGCCCTTATCATTACTCTGTAAAGGACATTTTCTATTATCATGCAAACCAATGCACTAAAACGGTTTACCTACCTTTAAGCCAGGCATGACCAGAAGGGGAAAGAAATCACTCCTAGAGACTAACGCGGGAGCAGAGGTTGTAAACATTGCCTTTGCATTTCTCATTTTTATATCTATCATTTAAAGAATGCTATATTTGCAGTAGATGACCATGTTTCACTTTTGGAATAAATACTTTTGCTTAATTTAATGTTCCAGTCTATATAGCATATTTATAACCTTCTTATTCGTTAATATACTCAAGAAAATGTTCTCATTTTCAGCCAAAATTTTTTATCTATTCTATGAACTCAACAAATATCTGAGAATATATCAAGATTCTACAACATCTAGTATATAAAATGTATAAAGAACAACTACTGAAACTACTGAACCCAAATTGGAATTTAATAAATATCATTGTTACCACATATCATTAATTATTATATTCAGGATAAGAAAATGTTTATATAAGGAAGTGATGTACGAAACATGTCAATATCTGATCTTCTATTTGAGAATGTAACAAGCATATGAAAGGATTTTGGTGCAGGTTATGTCCTGTTAACATTTGATAATGTGAGGAAAAGTTCTGCAATATATATTTAAAATTCTGAAATAACTTTTAAGACCAAGATATGGGACGGGTGCAATGGCTCACGCCTGTAATCCCAGCACTTTGGGAGGCCGAGGTGGGCGGATCACGAGGTCAGGAGATCGAGACCATCTGGCTAACACGGTGAAACCTCGTCTCTACTAAAAATACAAAAAATTAGCCAGGCGTGGTGGCGGGCGCCTGTAGTCCCAGCTACTTGGGAGGCTAAGGCAGGAGAATGGCGTGAACCCTGGAGGCGGAGCTTGCAGTGAGCCGAGATCATGCCACTGCACACCAGCCTGGGCGACAGAGCGAGACTCTGTCTCAAAAAACAAACAAACAAACAAAAGACCAAGATATGGTGCTTTAAAAGCTTATTCTATACTTATAGACAACAATAATGTATTGTACACTTAAAAATCTGTTAAAAGGATAGCTCTCAGGTTAGGCATTCTTACCGCAATAAAATAATTTTTACAAAGCATATTCTAAAAAAGAATGTGTAAAGTGTCATAACCTAGGTTAAGAATTGGCAAAATATCTGTACATTATTATGTAACTTCAAATTATGCTTTTGAGAAATCGTGCCTTTGTTAAACTGTGATAAATTAATATTGCCTTCTCTTCAAACACAGACAATAAAATACATCCTGATCAAAGTAACAAAATATTTATTTTTAATAGAATTCTACTCTTAGAAATGAAAATAAATGTGCTTATTAATACATACTTGCAATGTCTGTAATATTACTGTGGAGAAGCATTTTATATAGTACACCACTGTGACTATTATTAAACTTCCTTAATTGTCACACTCATCCAGTTTAAAGACACAGATTTAGTCATAGGTACTGTTGTTTGTGTGTGTTTGATATATTCCAATTTTTCAGAAGTCTACTTTGAGAACCTACAGCATCTTGGTAATTCTATGAAGGCATATATTTATGTAAACTCAAGTAAATAAGAAAACAAACACATACTATATATTTTAAAAGGTTATTCTCTTTGTTATTTTTTACTTATATTTTTAATCTTCTTCTCCCTCTTTGACACAAAGTTGTTAGGTTCTTTTGTTTTCTTTTTTTTTTTTTTTTTTTTTTGAGACTCCAGCCCAGGCTGGAGTGCAGTGGCAGATCTTGACTCACTGCAACCTCTGCCTCCCAGGCTCAAGTCGTCCTCCTACATCAGCCTCCCAAGTAGTTGGAACCACAGGCCCATGCCACCATGCCCAGCTAATTTTTTGTATTTTTGGTAGAAACAGGATTTTGCCATATTGCCCAGGCTGGAATCAAACTCATGAGCTCAAGTGATCTGCATGCCTCAGCCTCCCAAAGTGCTGGGATTATAGGCATGAACTGCTGCTCCTGACCCGACACAAAGTTTTTAATCACTCTGGAAAAGCAGCCAAATGGTGTTTTGAGTTTTCAACATTAAATGTATATAAATGATCGATATATTTTAAAAAATGTTTGCTAGCTAGTATATATCACTCAAATTACAAGACTTACAGTAAGATATAGTTATGGGGGTGAGGAGAAATCCCAGGAACTATCTGGATGCAAATGTGGTGAATTATTTGGTTATTTTACAGATAAATACCATTTAAAGAGAGCTGGGTTGTTCCATTTAAAGAAAGACAGTAAATACATTTAATATCTTCAAAAACTAAATGCTTATCAAAAATGTGTTTTACAACTATTTTCCAATGCCACAAAATATGTGTCAGTATGAAAGTGTCCTCGTGTCAGTGGACTTTGTAATCACATGATCCTGGATTCAAATTCCCATGTATCTGGAATAGTACGCAGCTGTTAAAAAAAGGAAGTCATGTCTTTTGCAGGAGCATGGATGGAGCTGAAGGCTATCATCCTTAGCAAACTAACACAGGAATGGAAAACCAAATACTGCATGTATTCACTTATACTGGTAGTTAAATGATAAGAATTTAGGAACACAAACAATGAAACAACAGACACTGCGGTCTACTTGAGGGTGGATGGTAGGAAAAGGGAGAGGAGAAGAAAAGGTAACTATTGGGTATTGAGCTTCTTACCTCGGTGGTGTAATAATGTGGCTAACAAACCCCTGTGACACATGTTTATCTATGTAACAAACCTTCACATGTACCCCTAAACCTAAAATTAAAATTTCAAAAAAGAAAAAAATTCCCATGTATCGTGTATCAGCTAAATAATTTTGGACAAATTATTTAATCTCAAGTATGCCACCATTTGTAAAGTAGGAATAATAATATACATACTTCACAGTATTGTTGGGAGGATTATTTGAAAAAGCTAATGGAAAACATTAAGCAAGTGCTAGGCAGAAAGTAAACATTTAATAAATGTTAGATAATTTTTTCATCAATAAGCTGAGTTATATATGAGAGAATAATAAGGAAATTTAGACTATATGATTATTAAGGTAATGAAGTGAATTACCAGGGATCTCATAAAATCTTCTTCTACAAATATATTCTCAAAATAGTTAGAACTGTTTCTTCAGTAAGCTAAGTATGAACGTTACATCTCAACACACTCACATGTTTCTTTATTGTCAATTTCCACTTGCATTTACATACAATTTAATAGCTAGTAGTATCCTGCCCAAGGAAGAGATTCTTTTTCCAGAGGGATGCAGAGCTCTCAATTCAAATTAAAAATTGTGATACGAATTTCAAAATCCTTCACTATTATTTCATCTTAAATCATCTTTATCTCCCTAGCTAATGATCCAAAGTATTGGATTCAATCTTATTAATTACTTGCTGGTTACATTTCACCAGCACAGCAAAACCAAAAATCATAGACTTAGAATGAAAATATCTAATTTTCAATCTTGTCTCCAGTATTATTCCTGAGCTTCAGGTTCTACATTTCTAAAGGAATAGCTGCCTTGTCTATCTCATAGTAGACAGTCAACATTCAATCATGTGATGGGGAACAGTGTAAGACATTGAGTATACAACAGTGAGAAACACTTTAACAAAACAGAACTTAGACTCTACTGAGGACTCTCAGAAAATTGACCAAGCTAGGTGATGAATGGCATAATTGGGAATCTCATATTTTAGTTTTATTGTAAACCTAATACAGAATACCTCTTCTGCTAAAATATCTTTCCCTGTGCTCACTGAAATATTTTTCTGATTTAAAACTCTGTAAGATCCATCATTAAATGTCTTACTTTACCAATTTATCTACAATAGGCTCTTTCCACATTTTATGTGTACAAACATTTTCATTTATTCATCTAAAATTATTGCTGATTTTGATCACATGGGCCTTTTATTTGTATATGTGTGTGTATATATATATTTATTTATCTACGTCTTCTTTGTTCCTCTTGTTAATGACTATATTTCACTATCTTCTATGACTTAATTTTTCTGATATAATATGTTTTATGTAGTAGTGTTTTTTAAAATAAATTATAATGGAATTTTGTAAATGAAGTAATATTTTAGGTAGACAGTTGATTATTCTTGAAATATTTTGCTTCCAGATTTTAAAAATATGCTATTTCTTGAGCTTATCCTGATTTTTGAGCACTAAATTCTCAATGGAATTTATAGTGACAATCTAGATCAAAATTGAGAGTAAAAGTTTAGGAATTTTCGAATTATCTAAAACTTCCACTTAGATATGTTTCTTTTTGTTAACTTTTATTTTACGTTCAAGAGTACATGTGCAGGTTTATTATATAGGTAAACTCATGCTATGGGGGGTTTGTTGTATAGACTATTTCATCACCCAAGTACTAAGCCTAATTCTCAGTAGTTTTTCCTGCTACTCTCCCTCCATCCTCCACCATCAGGTAGGCCCCAGTGTCTGTTGTTCCCCTCTTTCTGTTCATGAGCTCTCATCATTTAGCTCCCCACTTATAAGTGAAAACATGCAGCATTTGGTTTTCTGTTCCTGCATTAGCATGGCAAAGATAATGGCCTCCAGCTCCATCCATGTTCCTGCAAAAGACGTAATCTCATTCTTTTTTATGGCTGCACAGTATTCCACGGTGTATAAGTACCACGTTTTATTTATTCAATCTCTCTTTGAAGGGCATTTAGGTTGATTCCAGGTCTTTGCTATTGTAGATAGTGCTGTAATAAACATTCACATGCATGCCTCCTTATGGCAGAATGATTTATATTCCTTTGGGTGTATATCCAGTAATGGAATTGCTGGGTCGAATGGTAGTTCTGTTTTTAGATCTTTGTGGAGTCGCCATACTGCTTTCCACAATGGTTGAACTAATTTACACTCCCACAACTGTGTATAAGTGTTCCATTTTCCCCACAGCCTCACCAGAATGTGTTATTTTTTTGGCTTTTACTAATAGCCATTCTAACTGTTGTGAGATAGTAACTCATTGTGGTTTTGACTTGCATTTCTCTAATGATCAGTGATATTGAGCTTTTTTTCACATGCTTGGTGGCTGCATGTATGTATTTAGAAAAGTGTCTGTTCATGTCCTTTGTCCACTTTTTAATGATTTTTTTTTCTTGTAAATTCGTTTAAGTTCCTCATGGATGGTGGATATTAGACCACTGTCAGATGCATAGTTTGCAAATATTTTCTCCCATTCTGTAGGTTGTCTATTTACTCTGTTGATGGTTTCTTTTGCTGTGCAGAAGCTCTTAAGTTTGATTAGATCTCACCTGCCAATTTCTGCTTTTGTTATGATTATTTCTAGTGTCTTTGTCATGAAATCCCTGCCCATTCCTATGTGCAGAATGATATTGCCTAGGTTGTCTTCCAGGGTTTTTATAGTTCAGGGTTTTATGTTTAAGTCTTTAATTCATCTTGAGTTGATTTTTGTATATGGTGTAAGGAAGGGGTCCAGTTTCAAACTTCTGCATATGGCTAGCCAGTTATCCCAGCACCATTTATAATACGAAATAGGGAGTCCTTTCCCCATTGCTTGTTTTTGTCTGCATTGTTAAAGGTCAGATGGTCATAGGTGTGCAGTCTTATTTCTGTTCTCTCTCTTCTGTTCCATTCATCTTTGCGTCTGTTTTTGTATTTCTTTATTACATAAGCAATACATATTCATTGTTGAAAAACAAACTAAAGGGGAATTTCAAAGAATCACCTGTAATTTAACACTACTTGTATATTTTAGAGTATATGCTTCATATTTTATGCATATGGACAAGTCATTTTTTAAATGAAATCATGTTCTTAGTTTTGGAATTTGTTTCATTTATATGTGTTGAACATATGTACATAATAATTTTAATAACTTCCAGAGTATTCCAGTAAATATTCCTAATTTTATTTACAATTCCAATAAAACATTTACATTAATAATTTTTTGATATAAGTATTATGATGAGTCTAAGTCTCCATCCAATTGTCCAATCACTTCCCTCTGGAGAAATTTCTAACATTAGAACTTCTGTCAAAAGGATAGGTATGTTTTAAATTTCAGTATACATTAACAAAATCCTCCAAAGTTTTCACTTCATTTTCATTCCTAACAGCAGGGCTAATGAGTGCTTCTTTTCTCTAATCAATATTGATTTCAAATATTAAAAAATATCTCTGCCTAAGTATCTTGCTTTACTCACATCTTTGATTCCTATTAAGCTCGGCATTTACCCCTCTCTTAGTTGGCCATTGTATTTATTATTTGAAATGTCATTTTGTGTCCTGTGTTCATTTTTTTCAACTGAGTAGTTTGTATTGCTTCAAAAAGAGCTGTGTAGACATTAATGCTGATAACTTTTTTTAACCTGTCTGCATGTTGAAAATATCTTTTCAAGGGTTTCTCCCTGCCTTTGTTTATTATTGTTTTTGATATACAGAGGTTTTAAAATTGCATGTATCAATTATGATATGTGTAAGTTATTCACAACACTAAAATGACACAAATACATAGTTGGGAACTCCAAGTCTCCTTGGGTCTCAGTTTCAAAGTCAGTGTAACTTCCCAAGCCCCCTCACTGTGCATGAGGGCACCTCTTTTATGCCTCCAGGGCTCCTCTGCTTCCCCACGATAACACTTAACAAGCTGCATTACCAGTATCTTGTTTTCTCTTCTGACTCCACCCTCAGACCATAAGCTACTACAGGTTATAAGCAATCTTATTTATTTCTCAGCATAAATAAAAATTTTGCTAAATGAATTGATTAGATCCCTCAATTATTTTCTGATAGTTATTCATAAACTGTATTTAAACTTACTGGTATAATGCACTAACCCAGCTTTATTGGTATAAATATTTAATTACATAAACAGTATCATGTACTTCTTCAAAATATGTCACAATTGTAATGCTCATATTAGTTATGTCACTGTCAGGTTAATATTTATTGTCTCTCTAGAGATAAATCAAGTCTATTTTGTGCATTAGTGGATCACCATTATATTTCATTAACTGTAGTAGGTGTAAAATAATTGAGAATTATAAATGAATCAACAAATAAATAGTATATAGGAAACCACATATTTCTAGAAAATATATGATTTAGCATAAATATAAATAATAATACATATAAATGTATGTATATACATTTATATCATGTACCATACATACATATAAAAATATATCATATAGCATTGTTCTCACCTTCTTGAAGATAATTTAAACTATTTTAATATTTTAATCCATATTATAATGGGAAGTACTAATAATAGGAAATACCATGAGGAATATTTCCAGTTAAATTTCTGCTGTCATAATTGTCATATTAAAATAATTTAAAAGCCTATAATATTTAAATTTTAAAATAACCATCCTATTAAATACTTCAAAGCAAAAGCGTTTTACCTCAAGTTGCCAGTAATTTTTTAAAAATGTTTTATTATGAACTCATTTTATGTATAAACAGCAAAACACAATGCTGGACAGGAGAATAATAAAAACAGATGGAAGACATTTTCAGTTGGATGACCTTTTAGTTTCCAGGCTTGAATAAGGCTGAATCTAGTTATGCTAAATAACTAGTGGTATCGGTGAGCACCTGTTCTTACTACTAAATGCATTCAAGCTTTGCTTCTGGGTTCTTTAGAATAACAGGAACTTGGTGATGGAAGGCAGATGTGATCTGAAGTTGATGTGACTTCACAAGCCATTCTAGTAAATGCTCAAGGGTAAAAAATGTACAACCCTTGAAGACAAACTATAAAGATGACAAGCATTTGCTTAAAGCCTTTCCACACTATCGCAAACACATATTTTTCAATAAACAGAGGAAATATTTTTATATTTTAGTCTTTTAGTATGATAGGTGACAACAAAATCAAATTGAGTTTATTCACATCCATTAAAATTACATAAAACTTATTTTTGATATACTAACAAATTGTTTTAACAGAAGGGTACATTAGCTTAGGTGCTGGTGTCACTGTCCCTACGCACAAATTTTGGTTCTAGCTGTATATTGCACCAATTATTATTAAGTAGCTATATGAACTTAAGCAAGTTCCTCAACTTTCAGGTGTTCTTGGCTATAAAATGGGGTTTATAATAATTCTATTAATAATCATTTCAAGACTTGATTGTATGTAAATCATTACTATGGTGTACACTAAAAACACTATTAGTAATTACTAAGACTATTATATGAATAAAAACCTAAATTATAAGTTTCCTAGGCATAGATTATTGAATAAAAATGATGATTAAAAATCCAGGTCCAAAGAGCATAGAATTTCAGTAGCACTTTTAGAAAACAAAAGTAGTAATTTATCTTGCTACTCTTATATTTTCAATATTTAAAAAAATTAAATTCACTTTTAGAATTATATAGAAATTACCATATCTTCTTATCACTTTTAATTAAGAATACTTAATAATTATTTTGAGTAAATTCTGAAATATCATATTATAGCCCCTTATGCTTTTGCAATGCTTTTCTCAAAATACTCATTTGAAATAACAAATTTTGATTGTTGTTATTTATAGACAAGTTCTCTCAATAGGACATGATGGATCCTGAACGCAAGCAAAATCATTTCTTTTGATTTCAAATCCGATGTTTCTACAAGGAATTTAATAATATGCAGTTACTAACCCCTGATTCATCTATAAGGCAGCCCAAAACATTTTAAAAATAAAAAAGTGAAATCAGTGATCCATTAATTGTGAAATGTTGAGTATTTCCCCTAAGTAATGAAGAATTTCCTGATATTTATAGCTGCAGCACAGTCAGTCAACCTTCCATGATTTATAACATCAGCAAATTCTGACCAAACTCATTGATCAGCCTCTCATTGATTATGGCATCTGGACAATGTATTAACTCCTTATGCAATCCAACCAGTTTCCCTATGCTACAGATCAGACGTTTACTCGAAGGTACTGAGAAAAAGTATCTGGAGTCCTGATTCCTAGTACAGTCTATGCCACCACTAAGGCTATGATCTTGGGCAAGTCTTTTCACATCCTGAAACTTATTTGTAAAATTACATAACTACTGAATAAAGCATGTCACAGGAAACGAAAGGGTCCAGCTACAAAAACTATACAATCCTATGTGTGTCATGGGGCCAGTCACATAGTACTTTTTCAATAAATATTTTATGAATGAATAAATGAGGAAGCACAGAAAACAATGAAAACATTCTAATTCCTGAAATCTACTTGGAAATGTTTGGGTTTAAATGCCCTTATTTATACTGCATTGATCTCAGTAAGTGGAAAGTGGTAACTGTGGTATAATGGCATTACTATAACAGGAAATAAGCAGTTCTAAGTGAAAGGAAGGACGATAAAGATAGAAAATTTTAAAATAGTTGAAAAAATATCTAAAGGATACTAAGCTTAATACCTGGCTGATGAAATAATCTGTACAACAAACCCCCATAACACAAGTTTACTTATGTAACAAACCTGTGCTTATACCCCTGAACTTAAAAGTTAAAAAAGAAAAATATAGATATAATTCACTTAATTTTGCCACCTGTCCACAAGTATAGTTTTATAAAATGAGTATATGGTTATGTGAAATAAGTAAACATAAAATAAGTACAATCAATAATTATTAAGAGTGCATTTAATAATTGGTATTTATTTTGTTTACTTACCTAGCCAACCAGCTATCAAGCTAGGAATTACTTTCCTATGGCTCACTTTTGCCTAAAGGAAATACCTGGATTCCACAGCATGCCATTTAAGACCTTTCATGACTACTACTTCAACCTCATATTTAGGCATCCTTTTGCCCTTGTTAAACGCTAAACTGAGACACCATAAAATTTTAAATAATTTATTTGAGCAAATAATAATTCAAGAATCAGGCAACCACAAACTAGAAGTGGTTTGGGAGCACTGTCAAGGGAATACAAGAGGAAGGTTTTTATAAGGCAAACAGAAATAAAGCAACAAAAATATTTGATTGGTTACAGTTATACAGTTGCCTTATTTGATCTACCTTGCTGGGAAGTCCCTAGTTACAAAAATTAGTTGGTAGCTTCTGATTTGTTAGCCTTAAGTTTTATTTTTCTCAAAGGCATATACAAGAAGTAGCCCAAGTTAAGTGTTGTTTATACTTGCAAATTAAGCAAGACTAAGGTCACTTATGAGGCATAACAGGCTTTGTCTCCCCAGGCATTCTTTAGGCCTTGTCTCCATTTTAATTTTCTTTAACACTCTCAGTAGCCATAATTTAACCATAGCAAACTACAACTTCCTCCAAGGCATGCACTTTTCATTCTTCATGCTCTGTTCATACCCTCCGCTTTTATCTGAAATGCACCTTCAACTTATCTACCTGGAAGATCCTTATGTGTTCTTCAGATCCAGACTGTAAGTCACTAGTTTTATTAATTTTTCTTAGCCAGTGCAGATTTTATTGCATATTCATCTGAGTATCTATTACCTCATAATTAGTTCACAGAATGAGTTTAATTTGTTGTTACTATTTAGGTAAGCTACTTGGACTGCACTGAAACCCTTCAAATGCCATTGCTTAGGAAGCAACAAGTATTCACCATTCCATTAACCACCAGACTTATGTTTTGCCAAAAGAATAGACTAAGCAGAACTGCTTAGGGTAATAAAGGAGATCCACAGAGTGAGGAAAAAGCAGAGAAATGAGGAGGTCAAGAGATTGGAGAAACCCTGGAGAGAAGAACATATATACCTACTGAAGAAATTCACTAAGTTTCTAGCATGAGTTGGTCTAGTATGAGTGATCTTCCCCACTAAATCTTTAGTAAATTATTTCTTATTAAAGCCTTTTAAAATTTGATGAGTTTGGAAGAGAGGTGTAACAACATACTGACTGTCAGGCCTCTGAGCCCAAGCTAAGCCATCATATCCCCTGTGACCTGCACATACACATCCAGATGGCCGGTTCCTGCCTCAACTGATGACATTCCACCACAAAAGAAGTGAAAATGGCCTGTTCCTGCCTTAACTGATGACATTGTCTTGTGAAATTCCTTCTCCTGGCTCATCCTGGCTCAAAAGCTCCCCCACTGAGCACCTTGTGACCCCCACTCTGCTCGCCAGAGAACAACCCCCCTTTGACTGTAATTTTCCTTTACCTACCCAAATCCTATAAAATGGCCCCACCCCTATCTCCCTTCGCTCTCTTTTCGGACTCAGCCCGCCTGCACCCAGGTGAAATAAACAGCTTTATTGCTCACACAAAGCCTGTTTGGTGGTCTCTTCACATGGACACACATGAAATTTGGTGCCGTGACTCGGATCGGGGGACGTCCCTTGGGAGATCAATCCCCTGTCCTCCTGCTCTTTGCTCCATGAGAAAGATCCACCTATGACCTCAGGTCCTCAGATTAACCAGCCCAAGAAACATCTCACCAATTTCAAATCTGGTAAGTGGCCTCTTTTTACTCTCTTCTCCAACCTCCCTATCCCTCAATCTCTTTCTCCTTTCAATCTTGGCACCACACTTCAATCTCTCCCTTCTCTTAATTTCAATTCCTTTCATTTTCTGGTAAAGACAAAGGAGACACGTTTTATCCGTGGACCCAAAACTCCAGCACCGGTCACAGACTAGGGAAGGCAGCCTTCCCTTGGTGTTTAATCATTGCAGGGACATCTCTCTGATTATTCACCCAGGTTTCAGAGGTGTCAGACCATGCAGGGACACCTGCCTTGGTCCTTCACCCTTAGCAGCAAGTCCCGCTTCTCTGGGGAAGGGGCAAGTACCCCAACCCCTTCTCTCCGTGTCTCTACCCCTTCTCTGCCTTTCTGGGGGGCAAGAAACCCCCAACCCCTTCTCCTTCACCCTTAGCGGCAAGTCCCACTTTTCGGGGGGAGGGGCAACTACCCCAACCCCTTATATCTCTGTGCCCCAATCCCTTATTTCCACACCCCAACCTCTTAAATCTCTGCACCCCAATCCCTTATTTCCACGCCCCAACCTCGTATCTCTGTGCCTCGACCCCTTTCCCGATTTTCTGGAGGGTAAGAACCCCTGAACCCCTTCCCTCCGTGTCTCTACTCTCTCTTTTCTCTAGGCTTGCCTCCTTCACTATGGGCAACTTTCCACCCTCCATTCCTCCTCCTTCTCCCTTAGCCTGTGTTCTTAAGAACTTAAAACCTCTTCAACTCTCACCTGACCTAAAATCTAAGCATCTTATTTTCTTCTGCAATGCCATTTGACCCCAATACAGACTCGACAGTAGTTCCAAATAGCCAGAAAATGACACTTTCAATTTTTCCATCCTGCAAGACCTAAATGATTCTTGTCGTAAAATGTGCAAACGGTCTGAGGTGCCTGACGTCCAGGCATTCTTTTACACATCGGTCCCTCCCTAGTCTCTGTGCCCAGTGCAACTCATCCCAAATCTTCCTTCTTTCCCTCCCTCCTGTCCCCTCAGTCCCAACCCCAAGCGTCACTGAGTCTTTCTAATCTTCCTTTTCTACAGAACCATCTGACCTCTCCCCTCCTCCCCAGGCTGCTCCTTGCCAGGTGAGCTAGGTCCCAATTCTTCCTCAGCCTCTGCTCCTCCACCCTATAATCCTTTTATCACCTCCCCTCCTCACACCTGGTCTGGCTTACAGTTTCATTCCGTGATTAGCCCTCCCCAACCTGCCCAGCAATTTACTCTTAAAAATGTGGCTGGAGCTAAAGGAATAGTCAAGGTTAATGCTCCTTTTCCTTTATCCCAAATCAGGTAGCATTTAGGCTCTTTTTCATAAAATATAAAAATCCAGCCCAGTTCATGACTTGTTTGGCAGCAACCCTGAGACACTTTACAGCCCTAGACCCTAAAACGTCAAAAGGCCGTCTTATTCTCAAAATACATTTTATTACCCAATCTGCTCCCGACATTAAATAAAACTCCAAAAATTAAATTCCGGCCCTCAAACCCCACAACAGGACTTAATTAACCTCGCCTTCAAGGTGTACAATAATAGAAAAATGTTGGAATTCCTTGCCTGCACTGTGAGACAAACCCCAGCCACATCTCCAGCACACAAGAACTTCCAAATGCCTGAACTGCAGCGGCCAGGCGTTCCTCCAGAAACTCCTCCTCCAGGAGCTTTCTACAAGTGCCAGAAATCTGACCACCAGGCCAAGGAATGCCTGCAGCCCAGGATTCCTCCTAAGCTGTGTCCCATCTGTGTGGGACCCCACTAGAAATCGGACTGTTCAACTCACCTGGCAGCCATTCCCAGAGCCCCTGGAACTCTGGCCCAAGGCTCTCTGACTGACTCCTTCTGGGCTTAGCAGCTGAAGACTGACGCTGCCCAATTGCCTTGGAAGCCCCATAGACCATCACGCAAGCTTCGGGTAACTCTCATAGTGGAAGGTAAGTCCGTCCCTTTAGTCAATACGGAGGCTACCCAATCCACATTACCTTCTTTTCAAGGGCCTGTTTCCCTTGCCTCCATAACTGTTGTGGGTATTGACGGCCAGGCTTCTAAACCCCTGAAAACTCCCCTACTCTGGTGCCAACTTGGACAACACTCTTTTATGCACTCTTTTTTAGTTATCCCCACCTGCCCAGTTCCCTTATTAGGCCGAGATATTTTAACCAAATTATCTGCTTCCCTGACTATTCCTGGACTACAGCCGCATCTCATTGCCACCCTTCTCCCCAACCCAAAGCCTCCTTCGTGTCTTCCTCTCCTATCCCCCCACCTTAACCCACAAGTATGGGACATCTCTACTTCCCTGGCAACCGATCACATGCCCATTACCATCCGATTAAAACCTAATCACCCTTACCCTGCTCAACGCCAATATCCCATCCCACAGCACGCTTTAAAGGATTAAAGCCTGTTATCACTTGCCTGCTACAGCATGGGCTTCTAAAACCTATAAACTCTCCTTACAATTCCCCCATTTTACCTGTCCAAAAACCCAACAAGTCTTACAGATTAGTTCAGGATCTGCGCCTTATCAACCAAATTGTTTTGCCTATCTATCCTGTGGTGACCAACCCGTACACTCTTTTGTCCTCAATACCTTCCTCCATAACTCACTATTCCATTCTCGATCTTAAAGATGCTTTTTTCACTATTCCCCTGCACCCCTTGTCCCAGCCTCCCTTTGCTTTCACTTAGACTGACCCTGACACCCATTAGGCTCAGCAAATTACCCGGGCTGTACTGCCGCAAGGCTTCACAGACAGCCCCCATTACTTCAGTCAAGCCCAAATTTCATCCTCATCTGTTACCTATCTCGGCATAATTCTCATACAAACACACATGCTTTCCCTGCTGATCGTGTCCGATCAATCTCCCAAACCTCAATCCCTTATAAAACAACAACTCCTTCCCTTCCTAGGCATGGTTAGTGCAGTCAGAATTCTTACACAAGAGCCAGGACTGCACCCTGTAGCCTTTCTGTCCAAACAACTTGACCTTACTGTTTTTAGCCTAGCCATCATGTCTCTGTGCAGCAGCTGCTGCCACCCTAATACTTTTAGAGGCCCTCAAAATCACAAACTATGCTCAACGTACTCTCTACATTTCTCATAACTTCCAAAATCTATTTTCTTCCTCATACCTGACGCATATACTTTCTGCTCCCCAGCTCCTTCAGCTGTACTCACTCTTTGTTAAGTTCCACAATTACCATTGTTCTGGCCCGGACTTCATTTCGGCCTCCCACATTATTCTGGATACCACACCTGACCCTCATGACTGTATCTCTCTGATCCACCTGACATTCACCCCATTTCCCCATATTTCCTTCTTTCCTATTCCTCACCCTGATCACACTTGATTTATTAATGGCAGTTCCACCAGGCCTAATCGCCACACACCAGCAAAGGCAGGCTATGCTATAGTACGAGTCACTAGCCCGCCTCTTAAAACCTCTCATTTCCTTTCCACCATGGAAATCTATCCTCAAGGAAATAACTTCTCACTGTTCCATCTGCTATTCTACTACTCCTCAAGGATTATTCAGGCCCCCCTCCCTTCCCTACACATCAAGCTCGAGGATTTGCCCCCACCCAGGACTGGCAAATTAGCTTTACTCAACATGCCCCAAGTCAGATAACTAAAATACCTCTTAGTCTAGGTAGACACTTTCACTGGATAGGTAGAGTCCTTTCCTACAGGGTCTGAGAAGGCCACCGCAGTCATTTCTTCCCTTCTGTCAGACATAATTCCTCAGTTTAGCCTTCTCACCTCTATACAGTCTGATAACAGACCAGCCTTTATTAGTCAAATCAGCCAAGCAGTTTTTCAGGCTCTTAGTATTCAGTGAAATCTTTATATCCCTTGTAGTCCTTAGTCTTCAGGAAAAGTAGAACAGACTAATGGTCTTTTAAAAACACACCTCACCAAGCTCAGCCACCAACTTAAAAAGGACTAGACGATACTTTTACCACTTTCTCTTCTCAGAAGTCAGACCTGTCCTCAGAATGCTACAGGGTACAGCCCATTTGAGCTCCTGTATAGATGATCCTTTTTATTAGGCCCCAGTCTCATTCCAGACACCAGACTAACTTACACTGTGCCCCCCAAAAAAACCTGTCATCCCTACTATCTTCTGTCTAGTCATACTCCTATTCACCATTCTCAACTACTCATACATGCCCTGCTCTTGTTTACACTGCCGGTTTACACTGTTTCTCCAAGCCATCACAGCTGATATCTCCTGGTGCTATCCCCAAACTGCCACTCTTAACTCTTGAAGTAAATAAATAATCTTTGCTGACAGGACTATGCTGAATTTCCTTAGGCACTCTAATTAGATGTCCTAGGTCCTCTCAATTCTTAGACCTTTAATACCTGTTTTTCTCCTTCTCTTATTCCGTTTAGTTTTTCAATTCATACCAAACCATATCCAGGCCATCACCAATAATTCTAAATGACAAACGTTTCTTCTAACAGTCCCACAATATCACCTCTTACCACAGAATCTTCCTTCAGCTTAATCTCTCCCACTCTAGGTTCCCATGCCGCCCCTAATCCCGCTCGAAGCAGCCCTGAGAAACATCGCCCATTATCTCTCCATACTACCCCCCAAAATTTTCACCATCCCAACACTTTACCACTATTTCATTTTATTTTTCTTATTAATATAAGAAGACAGGAATGTCAGGCCTCTGAGCCCAAGCTAAGCCATCATATCCCCTGTGAGCTGCATGTACACATCCTTATGGCCACATCCAGATGGCCGGTTCCTGCCTTAACTGATGACATTCCACCACAAAAGAAGTGAAAATGGCCTGTTCCTGCCTTAACTGATGACATTGTCTTGTGAAATTCCTTCTCCTGGCTCATCCTGGCTCAAAAGTTCCCCCACTGAGCACCTTGTGACCCCCACTCTGCCCGCCAGAGAACAACCCCCCTTTGACTGTAATTTTCCTTTACCTACCCAAATCCTATAAAATGGCCCCACCCGTATCTCCCTTCGCTGGCTGTCTTTTCGGACTCAGCCCGCCTGCACCCAGGTGAAATAAACAGCTTTATTGCTCACACAAAGCCTGTTTGGTGGTCTCTTCACACGGACGCACATGAAACTGACTGCATTCCAAAATGACTCAAAAAGTGAAAGAAGACTGTCAACGAGAGCTCTGCCATCTGCCATCTCCACTGCCAGCCTGTGAGTTCCTCCAGGCAGGACAACGTCTTTGTAGCTGATGCCCACCAGAGAATCTAAATAGGTGCTGGGGATTATAAGTAAAGTTCCTACATATTTTTAACTCTTGCAAACTATGAAATCCTATCTTCCATTAACATTGTGAGCTGAACTTATGAGTGCAGTCATCTTACCCCTTTGAAAGGAACAGAGATTCTGATATGATGATGTACCTAAACCTGTAACAAATACATATAAACAGCAATCGTCATAACTATGTAGATATTCAAGAAAATATTTGCCTATTTAACAGGCAGTTATATAATCTCCTTAAAACTTTACTTTTTAAAAGTTTTATATAAAGTTTGCCAAAAATTTATGGTTTGATATGGCATTCTAAATATTGATTTTAGAGCTAGGATCTATCAAAATAAATTTATCTTCAAAGAATTACCAACTACACAATGACTTTTCAACATTCCTTAATTAAATAAATCACATTTTTTTTCCAGCTAATTATGATGTCTATTGAAGCTGGGAATAATGAAGCTGAAAAGTAAAATTTAAACACTCAGTATTGCCAAAGATGGGAAAAGGGCATATTTAAAACACAGTATCAGAGCAAAGAACTAGAGAAATAAACCTAAACACATTACAATAAATGCATTACGTATTTGATAAATTCCAGGTAATAGTTTTAAAAATTAGGTCTAAATCGAATCATTTCTATCAGGTTATTACAAAAATCCATTGGCACTCATAATTAGAAATTTTAGCACCTCATGCACATCTAATTGCAGGTGCATAGATTTGCCTATATATAGTCTCTCTCTCTCTCTCTCCATATATATATATATATTTATATATATTATATATGATATATAATATTTATAAATATATATTATATATGATATATATTTATATATATTATATATGATATATAATATATATAAATATATATTATATATGATATATAATATATATTTAAATTAAATAAATAAATTAATTAATTAAATAAATTTAAATATATATTATATATTTACAATATATATTTATTATATTTATTATATATTATATATATTATATATATTATATATTATATATATTATATATTATATATATTATATATTATATATATTATATATTATATATATTATATATTATATGTATTATATATTATATATTATATATATTATATTATATATATTATATATATAATATATATATTATATATATTATATATAATATAATATATATTATATATATTATATATAATATAATATATATTTATTATATATAATATATATTATATAATATATATTTATTATATATTTTATATATATATATAGCATTTCTTTTGCCCACAGTCTCTGGATAAACACCATAAGATTAGACTTAGATAATTTTATCTATAACAGAAAATTAAGGAATATGACTAGTGATACGGTATTCCCTTTGGTATGGTCAAAGCCTGTGTAATACTTAAGCATGTCTCATACACGGCTTGACCATTTTGATTGAATTCACAATTCACTGGTGTGATCAACTGGATTAGTCATTTCTGCTAAATTTAAGCTGATGGCATCGTTTTCTCTCAGGAGCAAAATGAATCCTGGAACCTCTTGTTTCTGAAGTTCTGCAAGACGTTTTGTATCCTGAAAAACTAAAAGAAAACTAGGAAGAGGAAGCACAAAAGTCATATAGATACTTTTAATATTTTCATAGTCTCTGCTGGAATATTTAGGAATCTCTATGCCTACATCCAACTGTGACGCCCTCTCTCATTTAAAGTTTTAAGGAGATTACATAACTGAATCAAACTTTCACATTTTTTAAGTTACTAGCTGCAGGAGTTTCATTTTTTTGTCTTCACTCAGCTGGGTCCTTTTATATTAGGATCCTATTAGCTGGCTTTGGAATGATGATAACATAGCTTGGCCAGTTCAATTACCACATTTTGTCTGTCGTTTTCGTCTCACGCACTTAATGTCTGCTTTGTACAAGATGAAAGACACTTAGTGCAAATTCCCCTCGAAAATGAACACAAATAAGTTCACAGAGTCATAAATTAATGACAGGCAATCTTTCATTTCTACCTGCTTGTATCCTTTTGTCTGATTGCTCCATTAGTCTCTATTCTCTGAAGTTTCAAATAAAGAAAATGTAATGCCACATTTAAGTATAATTAGAATGGATAAGTGAACAGAACAGAGAGAAGCATTCTCAGTCATTAATTGTCCTAACGGGCTTAATCTGGGTAATATGAATAACGAATATGCTAAATAAAATAAAGAAAATGCACATTATGCTTAGAAGCAAAGTAAAAACCAGTGAGAGAGAGAATAGGCACACAGGAGGAAAATACAGGATGTGCGTTGCTAAACATCCCTTAGTGGATGCTGTCTGTTTCTTCATTGTGATATTGTTATCAGAATTATAATAACCATACTGGTACGAAGCTTTTTGTTTAAATTAGTGTGTTCTGGAAACCTTGACTTATTGACAGGGCTAATATTAAGATTTGAAACTTTCATTTTTAGGTTGTGTTTACATATTTAAACTGATCATTTAAATTATTTTTATTTTTGTTATGTAAACTCAAAAGAGAGTTTGTTATTTGCGTGTGTGTGTGTGTGTGTGTGTGTGATTATGTGGCTATATTTTTAACATCAGCTTAGTCGCTGGCATTTTGGTAAAGAATATATAGCAAGAATGAGAGCAATTGCACATCTATACAACCATATGTCATAGATTCCTCTTCCTAACAGAGAGACAGTGTGATGAGAGAGTTAAGACAAAAGAGCACACTCCTTGGACCCAAATCTCAGCTCTGTCACCTTTTGCTCTGAGATCTTGAGCAAATTACTTGTTCTCTATACCTCAATTTTCTCTGCAAAGTGGGGATATTTGTTCCTGGCTAGTAGGGCTTAAATATGAAATATCATAATGACAAATAGCACTGTCATCTGTGTCCTGGTTGATGTTGCAAGATGACATCAAATTTTTATTAGATAGTCTTCGGTTTCAACAATATATTCAAAGTCTGAAGGGATACGCATTAGCATACTATAAAATAGTTAAGATTAGTATTTATACTAAAGAACTGTTATATTATGCTTATACAGGTTTTATAATAATTATAAAGATAAATTAGATATTGTGGAGATTATAGATATGTCACTTTTCCTCTGTTTCTGAGCCTTTCTGGTCTCACTCCTAAATGTGCAGTAAATCCGAAATTCAAAGTTCATGTAAGCTGATAGTACAAAGTCTCATATATACAAAAAATTCTAAATGTGTCTAATTTATGTTTGCTGTTTCCCTTATCTTTCACTTTAGTAATTCATCAGTAGATGAAAAATGGCAAGTTGGTAACCATAAACATAAAACTAGTCTGATATGAAGAATATTATTGGAGTATCTTCAAATATAACTGTCCTTATCAACAAGCTAGTTACTGGCCCTTGCCCCAACTCACCATTATTGCTCAAGACTATAGAGCAAAGCAAATAGGTAAATAGGAAGTTATGAGTTAATTGAGGATCCACCAGGCATGAAGAAGAAGTAGAAAGCAATGTATCCTCTCACATTTCTACTCTTTGGCTTTTGGAAGGAGTAACAGAAATGGAGAGAACTTAAGGAGAGCATGCCAATGTCCCTATGACTTATTCATAGTTCAAACATGATGTGCATTGGTGAAGAAGGAGGCAAACTGTAGAAGTACCTAGATAGGAATAGGGTAGCACAGGAGCTAGGGGCATGTTTCCCCACATATGGCTTGAAAGAATATAGAAGCTCATAAGAGACACCCTCCAGTCACCTCACCACCACATCCGTTATAACAGGGGAGTGTCAGCAGCTCTCACACATGCCTTAGAGAACATGCATAGGTGCCAATGGGGAAACAGAAGAGTGTAGTCAGGAAGAAAAGCAGCCACGGGCAGAGACCCAACATCTGAAGGCAAGGGAAGAATGGAGCAGACTGGACCACCCCTCTGAAAAAAGCTGAGTAACGAAATTAAGGGTGCTTAATCCCCAAGAAACTAAGATACTTCAAACTGTCATTGGAAAGTACATTTTACGTACACCCACACAATACTGTCACCAGTCTAGCCAAGTGGAGGTTCCTGTTAATAATTAAGTCTGTTACAGGCAAGAGAGAAGCTACATTTTATTTTTTGATGTTAGTTTTCATTTTAAAAATGTGGTTATATTAGTCTATTATCACACTGCTATAAAGAACTGCCAGAGACTGGGTAATTTATTAAGGAAAGAGGTTTAATTGACTCAGTTCCACAGAGCTGAGGAGGCCTCAGTAAACTTACAATTATGGTGGAAAGGGAAGCAAATACGTCCTTCTTCACATGGCAACAGGGAGGAGAAGTGCCAAGCAAAGGAGAAAAGCCCCTTATAAAACCATCAGATCTCATGAGAACTCACTCACTATCATGAGAACAGCAGCATAGGGGGACCACCCCAATGATCTAATCACCTCCCACGAGGTCCCTTCCCCAACACATGGGGATTACAATTCAGATTACAATTCATGATGAGTTTTGGGTGAGGACACAGAGCCAGACCATATCATTCCGCCCCTGGCCCCTCCCAAATCTCATCTTCCTCACATTTCAAAACACAATTATGCCTTCCGAATAGTGCCCCAAAATATTAACTCATATCAGCATTAACCCAAAAGTCCAAGTCCATAGTTTCATTTGAGACAAGGCAAGTCCCTTCCACCTATGAGCCTGTAAAACCAAAAGCAAGTTATTTACTTCCTAAACAAAATGGAGGTCCAGGAATTGGGTAAATACACCCATTCCAAATGGGAGAAATTGGCCAAAACAAAGGAGCTACAGGGCCCATATCAGCCTGAAATCCAACACAGCAGTAATTAAATCTTAAAGCTCTCAAATAATCTCCTTTAATCCATGTCTCACATCCAGGTCACATTGATGGAAGAGGTGGGTTCCCATGGCCTTGGGCTCTGCCCCTATGGCTTTTCAGGATAGAGCCTCCCTCCAGGCTCCTTTCATAGGCTGGTGTTGAGTGCCTGTGGCTTTTCCAGGTGCACAGTGCAAGCTGTCCATGGATCTACCATTTTGGAATCTGGAAGATGGTGGGCTCTGCCCCTGAAGCAAACTTCTGCCTGGATATCCAGGTGCCTCCAAACAGCCTTTGAAATCTAGGTGAAGGTTTCCAAACCTCAATTCTTGACTTCTGTGTACTCACAGGCTCAACACCACATGTAAGCTGCCAAGGTTTTGGGCTTGCACCCTCTGAAGCAATGGCTGACCTGTACCTTGGCCACTTTTAGCCATAGCTAAAGCTGAAGCAGCCGGAATGCAGGGCACCATGTCCCAAGGCTGCACAGAGCAGGAGAGCCCTGGACCCGGCCCACAAGACCATTTTTCCCTTCTAGGCCTCTGGGCCAGTGATGAGAGGGGCTGACGTGAAGGTCTCTGACATGCCCTAGAGACATTTTCACCACTGTCTTGTTGACTAACATTCAGCTCCTTGCTACTTATGCAGATTTCTGCAGCTGGCTTGAATTTCTCCCCTGAAAATGGGTTTTTCTTTCTATCACATTGTGAGGCTGCAAATTTTCCAAATGTCTATTCTCCACACTTCCTCTTGCACACTTCACTGCTTAGAAAGTTCTTCCACCAGAACTCATCCTTTTTTATGGCTGCATAGTATTCCATGGTGTATACATGCCATATTTTCTTTATCCAGTCTATCATTGATGGGCATTTGGGTTGTTTCCATGGATGAAGCTGGAAACCATCATTCTCAGCAAACTAACACAAGAACAGAAAACAAAACACTGCATATTCTCACTGATAAATGGGAGTTCAACAATGAGAACACATGGACACAGGGAGGAAAACATCACACCAGGGCCTGTCAGGGGCTGGGAGAATAGGGGAGGGATAGCATAGGAGAAATACCTAATGTAGATAATGGGTTGATGGGTGCAGCAAGCCACCATGGAACGTGTATACATATGTAATAATCCTGCACATTCTGCAAATGTACCCCAGAACTTAAAGTACAATAAAAATAAAAGAAACAACAACAACAAAAAAAGAAATTTTTTCACCAGATACTCTAAATCATCTCTCTCAAGTTTAAAGCGCCACAGATCTGTATGGCAGGGGCAAAATGTTACCAGTCTCTTTCTATAGCAAGAGTGAACTCTACCTCCAGTTCCCAACAAGTCCCTCAGTCTCCATCTGAGACCATTTCAGCCTATCAACATTTTGGTCAAAGCCACTTAACAAGTCTTTAGGAAGTTCCAGACTTTTCCACATCTTGCTGTCTTCTGAGCTCTTCAAGTCTCTAGGAAGTTCCAAACTTTCCCACATTTTCCTGTCTAATTCTGATCCCTCCAAAATGTTCTAATCTCTGCCTGCTACCCAGTTCCAAATTCACTTCTACATTTTTGGGTATGTTTAAAGTAGCACCCCACTCTCTGTGGTACCAATTAACTGTATTAGTTTAGTTTCATCCTGCTATAAAAAACTGCCCAAGACTGGGCAATTTATAAGGAAAGAGGTTTAATTGACTCACAGTTCCACAGAAGCCTCAGTAAACTTACAATTGTGGCTGAACGGGAAGCAAACATGTCCTTGTTCACATGGCAGCAGGAAGGAGACGTATCAAGTAAAGAAGGAAAAGCCCCTTATAAAAACCATCAGATCCCGTAAGAACTCACTCACTATCATGAAAACAGGATGGGGAGACCACTCCAATGATCTAATCACCTCCCACAAGGGCCCTTCTCCAACATGTGAGGATTATAATTCGATTACAATTCATGATAAGATTTCGGTGGGGACACAGAGCCAGACTATATCAGTGACCCTGTTACTCTTCTTATCCATGAAAAGCAATTGTACTGAAATATATAAAAATTGGTTCTGTCTACAATATCCAAAGGCCAAATATGTTCTCACTTAAGAATCTAAATAAATAAATGGTTTTTCTTAGTTCAAAAAATATAAAACAAATAAGATAAAAAGTGTGGCATATTTTCTAATGAATGGAGAATTAGGGTTGTCTTGGTTTCAGTTTGCTTGGGGAAGGGGTTTTAAGTGGGAGGTAATTAGTTTTAGACTCAGCCACAGCTTTTGGGTTTCATACACAGAAAGTGTAGAAGGGACAAGAAAGCATTTTTCAGTAAAGCAAAGAAGATGCAGGGAAGCCCAGAAGAGATTAGTGTGGTGTCCTAGGTATAATTTGCATCCAATTTGTAAGCAGTGGAAACCCAAGGGCCACATTTCATTCACACTACTTAACATATTAGTTTTCCCTGAAAAGAGTCTACAAAGCACACATACAAAAAGCCTTCTTTTAACTTCCTTTACTGGATATTGCTTAACAAATCCTTTATTCAGAAAAATAAAAATTATTTTTTTCATTTTGAATTAATTATGTCTTCTGATGCTTATCTAATCTAAAGCCAAAGTATGTGATAATTAACAAGAAAACACGGAGGGCAGAAAGATATTGTTAAGTATGCCAGTATGACTATAATATAAAAATTTTAGCCACATTATCTTGAATTATCATAAAATATTCTAACACTTTTTAGAAAAGTAAATAAAAACTAACAAAATAAAATTTTTGTTGGCAATTGTCTCCCTTCTTTATTAAGCATACAAAATATGTTTTCTAAACTGCCATGTACAATGTATTAAATCTGGGGTCTGAATATCTTTAAATCTTTAATTAGATCCCAAAATTATATCATGGAATGGATTCAGGTTTAACTGAAGAACAATAATGCAATGAGACAAAAATTTAACATATTTACAATTTACAATTTTAAAGATGAAATATTTAATTACTAAGAAAAGTCATTTACTTATTAAATGATTGAGAATAAAATTTTTCAGTGTTTTATCTAAAATAGATGAGAATATAGTAACAGACATATACAAATTCTGGTCCCTAGAGCTGAGTTTTAGAGAGCCTTCACCAGGCTTTTCTTTTCTAAGATACATATTTTAGGCACATCTGTTCATTTCTATCAGTTGCAGTCTTCTCTGATGGACCAAAACAGATCTAATAGAGCAGTAGGAAGTTTTTGAACAGGTTCTCAGTAGCTGTGGTAACCATGCCTCCATCAAAAGTTAGGCAACAGCCTGGTTCTTCAGATTCCTCATTTTTTAAAATCTTGTCACAATCTTTATGCTCACCATTCCATCTCCTTCCAAAGCATGCAAAGAAGATATGATTTGGAATAAAATTAAAGAGGCAATAAATGAGACCTCATAATTCATATCCATGTTTTATCTCTTCCTTGAGTATCTATTTATATAGGAATTATAAGAAAGGCCATTAAAAAAGGATAAGGGCCAAATAAATAATTGATAAATCATCAACTGATAAGATTTTTATGGATGCAGGAATGCAGAAATTAATACTATATTTGCTTTTGCCATAAGTAAATGTTCTATTTTAAAATCCTCTATTTTTTTCCCTTTTTGTATCTTTGGTCTTATTCATTCTTGACTCCTTGGACTGTTTGATTGGCTCTGAGATCATGAATCAAAGAAGCCTATCCCAGTGTTCCTTAGGTAGTACTGTGGTTCATTTGGAGAAAATTCAGTGCCTGATAACTAGATCGAAGTAATAAACAAATAACTAGTTTTAGAGATCCTTGTCAAAAGTGAAACTTTAAGAAACTCAGTTAATTCTTCTTACCTAGCTGTATTCTTCTGCAGAGAATTCATTTCTTCAACATCTATTTAAATATCTTTATCATTTCTCACCAGGAAAATCATTCCATAAGAATTGTTCAAGCCTTTCTCTGAGTGTCAAAGTAGAAGTTTCATAAGGCTTTAGTGTGTCACCTAGCAAGATCATCAGGCAGGCAGGAATCAAGCATTTATGTAAACTGAATCTTTGTTCTATTTAATACAAAATCTCAGAGTTTATATAACAGCTTCTGAGATTTAAAAAGACAATAAGCAAAAAGGCTGAATTAAATAGAACCCATTGCAAAAAAATGGCACCGTTGGTCTGTATCAGAAATTGCGGCAAAGCAAATTAAGCAGCTCATTAAAATTATGACTAGCTTAATCATATTTGAAGAAAGATATTTCTCTAAAAATTATATCTCAATTTTTAAAATTTAAAAATATATCTACATTTAGACAAAAATACTGTCATTTTTATTAATAAATATGTTAAAGTGTTAAAAATATGTTACAATAAGATATTTTTAACATATATATTGCAAGAAAAATGAGCTAAGATGCATTTTAGTTTCCTAAACTGTAAGAAATAATAAGTTTGGCAATATCCATTAGTTAAGAGTACTAGATTTGAAATTTCCCTCTGAAACATGTATCACTAAAAAAAGAAAAAAAAAGGCAGCTTAATTAACCCTCAACCAAATGGAGTTTAAATTCATGTAACCACTTTGGAAAACTCTTTGGTAGAAATTATCAAAGGTAAACATGCACAAACTCTGTGACAAGGAAATTCTGTTTTCAGATCTATGTAAAGTAAAAATGTGTATGCGTGTTTACCAAGATATCAACAAAAATTTTTTAGAGCAGCAGTATTTATAATAGTCTCAAATGCAAAGCAATCCACATTTTCATCTATAGTAGGAAAGATATACAGCAATAAGAAAGAATGAACTAGAATTAGTTGCAACTACATGGATAAACCTCACAAACACAACCTTGAGTGAAAGACGCCCGACTAAAAGAAGAGCATACGACTCTATTTATATGAAGTTCAAAGACAGGCCAAACTAATCCATAGTTTTAGAAGCCAAGATAAAGTTTATTCTCTACTTATAGACAGGGGGTTAGTGTGAAGACTGACTGTAAAGAGAGAGGAGAGGTCTTCCTGTTCTGGTAATATTCTGTTTCTTCTTTATCTGGTTACTGGTTACATAGGTGAAAATGCTTTGACATGTACACTTATATGTATTTTGGGGAGTATGTATTATATTTACATAAAGTTTACATTCAAAAAAGTTCATCCACATATTCAATTATAGTCCCTAGAGATTATAGAATAAGTGTAATTTTCAAAATGTTTGGCCTTATCAAATGAAAAATTTATGAAAGTTCAGTGCTCCAGAGAAAACTTTGGCTTCCACAATGGTTGAACTAGTTTACAGTCCCACCAATGGTGTAAAAGTGTACCTATTTCTTAACATCCTCTCCAGCACCTGTTGTTTCCTGACTTTTTAGTGATCGCCATTCTAACTGGTGTGAGATGGTATCTCATTGTGGTTTTGATTTGCATTTCTCTGATGGCCAGTGATGATGAGCATTGTTTCATGTGTCTTTTGGCTACATAAAAGTCTTCTTTAGAGAAGTGTCTGTTCATATCCTTCACCCACTTGTTGATGGGGTTGTTTTTTGCTTGTAAATTTGTTTGAGTTCATTGTAGATTCTGGATATTAGCCCTTTGTCAGATGAGTAGATTGCAAAAATTTTCTCCCATTCTGTATGTTGCCTGTTCACTCTGATGGTAGTTTTTTTTGCTGTGCAGAAGCTCTTTAGTTTAATTAGATCCCATTTGTCAATTTTGGCTTTTGTTGCCATTGCTTTTGGTGTTTTAGACATGAAGTCCTTGCCCATGCCTATGTGCTGAATGGTATTGCCTAGGTTTTCTTCTAGGGTTTTTATGGTTTTAGGTCTAACATTTAAGTCTTTAATCCATCTTGAATTGATTTTTGTATAAAGTGTAAGGAAGGGATCCAGTTTCAGCTTTCCACATATGGCTAGCCAGTTTTCCCAGCACCATTTATTAAATAGGGAATCCTTTCCCCATTGCTTGTTTTTGTCAGGTTTGTCAAAAATCAGATAGTTGTAGATATGTGGCATTATTTCTGAGGGCTCTGTTCTGTTCCATTGGTCTATATCTCTGTTTTGGTACCAGTACCATGCTGCTTTCGTTACTGTAGCCTTGTAGTATAGTTTGAAGTCAGGTTGCCTGATGCCTCCAGCTTTGTTCTTTTGGCTTAGGATTGACTTGGCGATGTGGGCTCTTTTTTGGTTCCATATGAACTTTAAAGTACTTTTTCCAATTCTGTGAAGAAAGTCATTGGTAGCTTGATGGTGATGGCATTGAATCTATAAATTACCTTGGGCAGTATGGCCATTTTCACGATATTGATTCTTCCTACCTATGAGCATGGAATGTTCTTCCATTTCTTTGTATCCTCTTGTATTTCATTGAGCAGTGATTTGTAGTCCTCCTTGAAGAGGCCCTTCACATCCCTTGTAAGTTGGATTCCTAGGTATTTTATTCTCTTTGAAGCAATTGTGAATGGGAGTTCACTCATGATTTGGCTATTTGTCTGTTATTGGTGTATAAGAATGCTTGTGATTTTTGCACATTGATTTTGTATCCTGAGACTTTGCTGAAGTTGCTTACCAGCTTAAGGAGATTTTGGGCTGAGACAATGGGGTTTTCTAGATATACAATCATGTCATCTGCAAACAGGGACAATTTGACTTCCTCTTTTCCTAATTGAATACCCTTTATTTCCTTCTCCTGCCTAATTGCCCTGGCCAGAACTTCCAACACTATGTTGAATAGGAGTGGTGAGAGAGGGCATCCCTGTCTTGTGCCAGTTTTCAAAGGGAATGCTTCCAGTTTTTGCCCATTCAGTATGATATTGGCTGTGGGTTTGTCATAGATAGCTCTTATTATTTTGAGATACGTCCCATCAATACCTAATTTATTGAGAGTGTTAGCATGAAGGGTTGTTGAATTTTGTCAAAGGCCTTTCCTGCATCTATTGAGATAATCATGTGGTTTTTGTCATTGGTTCTCTTTATATGCTGGATTACGTTTATTTATTTGCATATACTGAACCAGCCTTGCATCCCAGGGATGAAGCCCACTTGATCATGGTGGAAAGCTTTTTGATGTGCTGCTGGATTCGGTTTACCAGTATTTTATTGAGGATTTTTAACTAGTTCAACCATTGTAGAAGTCAGTGTGGCGATTCCTCAGGGATCTAGAACTAGAAATACCATTTGACCCAGCCATCCCATTACTGGGTATATACCCAAAGGATTATAAATCATGCTGCTATAAAGACACATGAACACATATGTCTATTGTGGCACTATTCACAATAGCAAAGACTTGGACATTTGGGTTGGTTCCAACAATGACAGACTGGATTAAGAAAATGTGGCACATATACACCATGGAATACTATGCAGCCATAAAAAATGATGAGTTCATGTCCTTTGTAGGGACATGGATGAAGCTGGAAACCATCATTCTCAGCAAACTATCGCAAGGACAAAAAAACAAACACCGCATGTTCTCACTCATAGGTGGGAATTGAACAATGAGAACGCATAGACACAGGAAGGGGAATATCGCACACCGGGGCCTATTGTGGGGTGGGGGTAAGGGGGAGGGATAGCATTAGGAGATATACCTAATGTTAAATGACGAATTAATGGGTGCAGCACACCAACATGGCACATGTATACATATGTAACAAACCTGCACGTTGTGCACATGTACCCTAAAACTTAAAGTATAATTTAAAAAAAAAAAGAAAACTTTGGCACTATTAAATTTGATATTTACTATCCTCTATGAATGCATCTATCCCAGCACACCCCCATAATGTCCATAGTACATATTCAAAAGTATATACACATATACAGTCAGTTATAAGCTAGCAAATACTTATTTCTATTACCTTGAATTTATTCAGTAATTTTGGCTCACCAACATGCAAACTTGCCATACAGCTTATATTAGCCTAAAATAATGAAAAGGTAGTAGACTGTTTAATAAAGGTCTATCTTAAGAAAAAATATAAATGACAGAATTATACCTCTTTACCTTCTATTAGAAATATTATAGCTAACATAAAATATACTTATCTAGAATTATACTATTTCCTCCTCTTGACCCATTTCACAGATGATAAACAAGTATGATTCTAAGTTAGTATTGATGTTGGCCTTCATTTTCACCTACCCTATTGAATTAATTTGACACACACTCATGCAATCCACAATGTGGAGAATTTACCATGTGGCTGGCACTGAAGTAGATTCCAGTGATAGTTAAATAAGAAGTGATTTCTTCTAATGACCACTGATTCTACTAGAGACAAGATATAAGTAAATCAACAACTACAATGAAGTATAATATAAAAGAGATGGAAGAAATACATGCATTTTATTGCACTAATGAAAGCACAAAGGAAAACAAAGACCCCATGCTTAAGAAGATCTTACCTTTGGGCAAGGTTTTAGCAAATATGTATGTGAAGAGAAGGGGAAGGGAGAGTAAATAATCAATGAAAGGAGAATTTCAGCCACTGAGAAAGGCATATGACTAACCACAAATCTTAGATCTTTCTGATCCCTCAGGTGATGTTTAAGGATGATTCCCAGCTTTTATATAAGCTTGACTCTAAAATAGCAAGATGTCTACAAGCAACTCCTTAACAAGGGAGAGTGATTAGGAGTTGACTAGAAAGAGATGACATTGGACTAACAGGCAAGAACCAAATAATAAAGGGTCTTGTTTAACAAGGTAAAGAGGATCTTTATCCTGACAGTAATTTGTTAAAAATCACATGACTGATTAAAGGAAAATCACGTGACTGATTAAAAGTGAACTAGAATTTAAATCTCAGTCTGACTCTCGAACTCATGCTCTTAACTATTACACTACATAGCTCAGAACAGCCTTTTAGAAAGATAGCATCAGCATGGATAGTGCTTGAAAGAGAGAGTTGGATTAGATTTTCAGAGCAAGTGTAGGCACTCACAGTGATTGATATGATGGTGTCCTAAGTGAAAAGACAATGGAGAAGGGTGAGGATTCCTGAGCCAGAGATTACAAGCCAGTTTCTGGATTTAAAGATACCAGTAAAATAGTTCCACCAAATGCAGACTTTAAGTCAGTTCTATAACATTACCTCATAACCATACTATGATAAAGAATAATGTAAATGATGAGTTAATGGGTGCAGCACACCAACATGGCACACATATACATATGTAACAAACCTGCATGTTGTGCACATGTACCCTAGAACTTAAAGTATAATAAATATATACACATATATATAAAGAATACATATGGAATCAGGTAGACCAGGGTCCACCCCCAGATCTTTGATCTCCTAACTGTATCCTTGATGAGTAATTTAATAACACTGAGCCTTTACTAGTTACCTGTAAAATGAGAGTAATAATGTTTAATCTCATAGAGATGCCATGAAAATTAAATGAGGCAAAGAATTTAATAATACCTATCGTGATGCCTAATACACACTAAGCCTTCTCTTGCTAAGGTTTTAAAAAAGGTAGGACAAATACAACTCTACACAAATAGAGTGTATCATTCCAATGCTGTTTCTCCCAAAAGACCACATAAGAAAGCGTGTTTGGCAAATACTACCTCCTTTGGAAGGTACATTGTCCGAATGTTGGAAAGTAGCTCTACATGTGAAGATACCACTGATTAGGAGATTGAAAACCTGAAATGCAAGGAGATAAACACATTTATGACCTTACTTATATGTTTGACATATAAATCTGTTTAAATAGCATGAATAAATGAATTGGAAATAATGACTTAATAGCACAGAGCAGTTGTGAAAACAATCAGTACCATGGATACGAATTCAATATATCTCTACCTATATTACAGAGACAAACATTTTTAAGTCGAAAAAGAACTTCTTAAGAGAATAATAAACATATTCAAAATATATCAGCATGACAGAAATTTGACAGATATCTACTTTTCCTAATTAGGATCCTTTTATAATTTTCAAAGACAATATAATTAACAAACTATGGAAGTCACATTCATAAAATTTTATTGTACAAAATAAGACCACTGATTACTACTTCCCTAAATCTTTCCAAATTAAACCTATGGGCAGTAACTACCCACATTAGAATCAGAGAGATGGTAAGACACACAAAATTGTAATCATGAAAAGTTTTTTTAAGTTTTAATTTCTTTATCTAAAGGTCTTTAAAAATTGACCCATGATTCATCTGAAACGCATCTTCTCCTGCATTCTGAATAAGCTAAAGAAAAAAAAATTCAACCTAGACAACTCACCAAAGGCACGTGGGTCTCAAACTTCCATGAGTCTTTGATAATATATTCACTTTTCTAATTGATAGCTGCAGTTTACATTTCTGATCCAAAGGAAATTTCTTTAAAAGCCATATATATAATGCTTTCAAAAACAGCAGGAATGATATACACTTCCAACACTAATGCTTTGTTTCTTCACTATGATAAGTTTTACATTAACCACATAAATTAACGGCACATTATAACTATTTATAAATTGATATTCTAGAAGAAAGTTATAGCTAAACATATAAGGTAAAAATTGATACGTTCTATTAGAAAATATTACCCATGCAATCAAAATGCTGTTAAGTTACTTTGTAAAATACTAATTTAGAACATCCTTTTTTTTTTTTGCACTACAAGTTAGAAATATGGTTTTCCTCCTTGGGAGAATTTTTATTATTTTATCCTTTTTTCAACCTTTGTAAATATTTTTCTCTGAGATACATGCAAACAGAAGAATGCACAAGACATGCATGTACACTTTTTTTTTTTTTTTTTGAGACAGAGTCTCACTTTGTTGCCCAGGCTGGAGTGCAGTGGCTGTCATCTCGGCTCAATGCAACCCCCACCTCCCACGTTCAAGCAATTCTCCTGCCTCAGCCTCCCAAGTAGGTGGGATTACAGGCGCCCACCACCACACCCAACTAATTTTATTTTTAGTAGACACAGGGTTTCGCCATGTTGGCAGGGCTGGTCTCAAACTCCTGACCTCAGGTGATCTGCCCGCCTCGGCTTCCCAAAGTGCTGGGATTACAGGCCTGAGCCACCATGCCCTGCCCATGCATGTACAATTTAAAAATAAAGACAACATACTTGTGGCCACCTGTAAGGCTAGGAAATAGAATCACTGTTGCACTGCATAATGCCCACTCCTGGCCATGCACAGCGGCTCACCCCTGTAATCCCAGCACTTTGGGAGGCCGAGGTGGGTGGATCGCTTGAAGTCAGGAGTTTGAGACCAGCCTGGCCAACATGGTGAAACCTCATCTCTACTAAAAATACAAAAATTAGCAATGTGTGGTGGTGTGCACCTGTAATCCCTGCTACTTGGGAGGCCAAGGCAGGAAAATTGCTTGAACCCGAGAGATCGAGGTTGCAGTGAGCAGAAACCTCACCACTGCACTCCAGCCTTGGCAATAGAACAAGACTCGGTCTCAAAAATAAATAAGTAAATAAATAAATAAATAAAGCCCACTCCTTTGTCCTATCAAATCCCAACCCCCTATTTTAGCCTAGGGTTAACCACTGTTCTGGCTTCTGAGATAAACATTTCCTTGATTTTCATGATTTTAGCACTGTTATAACTGCCTAAAACATTTAATTTCATTTTGCCTGCCTTTTTGCTTTATATAAATGGAATCTATTCTTTATGTTATTTGGAGAATTGCATAATTGCCCAACATCCTGTTAGAGAGATTCATCTATGCTATTGTGTGTAGCAACCCATCCTCAGGTTTTAGAATCTAAGGAAATCTATATCTATAGATAGATATAGCTATCTATATATAGCTATCTATCTATATATATATAGCTATATATAGATAGCTATATGGATAGCCACACTAAAGGTTATAGAGCTTTTCAAAATCGTACTCTTCTTTCAAGAAAAAATTATTCAAATCTTAGCTGAATAGATGTATTTTGTGATCACAGTGTAACTACCTCACAATCTTTCTAAATATAGGAAATTTTATGGCACAAAATCACACTCTTTTTACTCTTTTATTCTCTCAACAGCCTTTACTTGCATCTTTTAGAAAATCTAAATTTAACCCCACATCCTATAAAAAATATGTCCCTGAAAAGATTCTTTATACTTAAGTAAAATAAACACAGAGCATCAGAATTTTTCAGATATAAATCATTTTAGAAGTTTTTTTAAGTTTGTTGTTGTTGTTGTTTTGTTTTGTTTTGTTTTTAAAGACAGTGTCTCTCAGCAATTCTATGTCTTTCCCTAAGAGAAATTCTGAGGAGTAAAGTTTCAGGCTAACTTAAAAACAGAGGAAATACACAAGAAGATTCCATATTCCATTTCTTTTCTTCCATACCTTCCAGCCCTATAAATATAATAAAATTATTATCATGAACAGTGCTTTTCCTAATGTGACCATCTAGCCTTTCTCAAGTTTAAACTCCCTATTTAAAAGAACCAAGCCTGGTTGGGCGTGGTGGCTCATGCCTGTAATCCCAGTACTTTAGGAGGCCAAGGCAGGTTGAGTGGATCACCTGAGCTCAAGAGTTCGAGACCAGCCTGGCCAACATGGTGAAACTCTGTCTACTAAAAATACAAAAATTAGCTGGGCGTGGTGGCGCATACCTGTAATCCCAGCTACTCAGGAGGCTGAGGCAGGAGAACTGCTTGAACCTGGGAGGTAGAAGTTGCAGTGAGCCTAGATGGAGCCATTGCACTCCAGCCTGGGCGACAAGAACAAAACTCCATCTCTAAATAAATAAACAAAAGAACCAAGCCTGTTTCTATTCACCATGAATTCTTATTTCTTGATAAAACACAAATCCCCACCCACAGGGAGAAATGAAGCTTTAATTGCCTACTACAGGGAGCTCCACTCTTGCTCTAAGGGATTAGAGACTATATGTCTGGCCTAGTTATGTCCATCGTGGAATGTAGTTATGCCTGTCATGGTATGCATCAAAGATTCTTGCACATAAATACAATTCAAAACCTCCTGTGATACTTTTCATAGAAGAAAAATTATCGCCTGCCTCTCCGCAATTTTTATGTGTTTAGAAGACCCAGGTTCATAGTCATCACTTTCAATGTTTAGTTATTTGAAGAACAGGGCACCTATCTTTGGTCTAGCTGTCGATTCATAAGTAAGTTAGAGACATTCAAAACTGATAATCTGCACTTATTGGTCATGACCTAAACTCTTCCTTAGCCTCAATCTAATATTTTTGAATAATTTACCTGTTATTGCTTTCTGGTGCCTCATTATAAATCTATTAGTTGTAAGGACTATTCATGTATCCTAAAAACAAAAACTAGGTTTACAACAGGTTTATTAAGTATAGAAATTAAAGAAAAAAAAAGCTGCTTAAGGTTATTTTAGAAAATAATTTTAGTTTTTATAGGAAACACAGGTAACAGATGATTCCTACAATGAGGTTACATCTCAATAAACTCAAGTTGAATATATTAAGTTGAAAATGTACTTAATACACCTAAGCTATCGAACATTATAGCTTAGCTTAGCCTACCTTAAACATACTCAGAACACTTTCCTTAGCCAGCAGTTGCACAAAATCTTCTCACAACACAGCACAATGTAGAGTATCAGTTGCTTACTCTTGTGATCAAGTGGCTATCAGATCTACAGGTTTCTGCTGCTACATAGCATCATGAGAGAGTATCTTACTGCGTATTCCAGGAAAAGACAAAAATTCAAAATTTGTAGTAGAGTTTTTATTGCATGTTTATCATTTTTTTGCACCACTGTAAAGTCCAAAACTCATAAGTTGAACCACTGGAAGTCAGGAACCATCCATATTATTACTGGCAATTCACTGTTATCTAGCTATTAGTCTTAATAAGAAGTTGTCTTTTTCCTGATAGTCCCAACATTCTAGAGGTTAAGAATCCTCCCAAGATAAATACCCCTCCACCCAACATCCGTATTTGAATACTGCTTTACAATTTACTACTTTTGTGACCACTGCTAAGTTGCTTAACTTTTATAAGCTTCATTTGTCTCATCTTTAAATTATTTTCATGTTTGTATTATTTCACTTGCCTACTGTACTAGATAAAACTTCCAGTAGAATGTTAAGTAGAAGTGATGAGACTAAACATATTTAGCCTTAGTTATATAGAAAATGTCACATCAAAAAGCTTATCCACCATGATCAAGTGGGCTTCATCCCTGGGATGCAAGGCTGGTTCAATATACGCAAATCAATAAATGTAATCCAGCATATAAACAGAGCCAGGACAAAAACCACATGATTATCTCAATAGATGCAGAAAAAGCCTTTGAGAAAATTCAACAACCATTCATGCTAAAAACTCTCAATAAATTAGGTATTGATGGGACGTATTTCAAAATAATAAGAGTTATCTATGACAAACCCACAGCCAATATCATACTGAATGGGCAAAAACTGGAAGCAATCCCTTTGAAAACTGGCACAAGACAGGGATGCCCTCTCTCCCCACTCCTACTCAACATAGTGTTGGAAGTTCTGGCCAGGGCAATGGGGCAGGAGAAGGAAATAAAGGGTATTCAATTAGGAAAAGAGGAAGTCAAATTGTCCCTGTTTGCAGATGACATGATTGTATATCTAGAAAACCCCATTGTCTCAGCCCAAAATCTCCTTAAGCTGATAAGCAACTTCAGCAAAGTCTCAGGATACAAAATCAATGTACAAAAATCACAAGCATTCTTATACACCAATAACAGACAAACAGAGAGCCAAATCATGAGTGAACTCCCATTCACAACTGCTTCAAAGAGAATAAAATACCTAGGAATCCAAATTACAAGGGATGTGAAGGACCTCTTCAAGGAGAACTACAAACCACTGCTCAAGGAAATAAAAGAGGATACAAACAAATGGAAGAACATTCCATGCTCATGGGTAGGAAGAATCAATATCGTGAAAATGGCCATAATGCCCAAGGTAATTTATAGATTCAATGCCATCACCATCAAGCTACCAATGACTTTCTTCACAGAATTGGAAAAAACTACTTTAAAGTTCATATGGAACCAAAAAAGAGCCCGCATCACCAAGTCAATCCTAAGCCAAAAGAACAAAGCTGGAGGCATCACACTACCTGACTTCAAACTATACTACAAGGCTACAGTCACCAAAACAGCATGGCACTGGTACCAAAACAGAGATATAGATCAATGGAACAGAACAGAGCCCTCAGAAATAATTCCGCATATCTACAACTATCTGATCTTTGACAAACCTGAGAAAAACAAGCAATGGGGAAAGGATTCCCTATTTAATAAATGGTGCTGGGAAAACTGGCTAGCCATATGTGGAAAGCTGAAACTGGATCCTTTCCTTACACTTTATACAAAAATCAATTCAAGATGGATTAAAGACTTAAACGTTAGACCTAAAACCATAAAAACCCTAGAAGAAAACCTAGGCATCACCATTCAGGACATAGGCATGGGTAAGGACTTCATGTCCAAAACACCAAAAGCAATGGCAACAAAAGACAAAATTGACAAATGGGATCTAATTAAACTAAAGAGCTTCTGCACACCAAAATAAACTACCATCAGAGTGAACAGGCAACCTACAAAATGGGAGAAAATTTTCGCAACCTACTCATCCGACAAAGGGCTAATATCCAGAATCTACAATGAACTCAAACAAATTTACAAGAAAAAAACAAACAACCCCATCAAAAAGTGGGAGAAGGACATGAACAGACACTTCTCAAAAGAAGACATTTATGCAGCCAAAAAACACATTGAAAAATGCTCATCATCACTGGCCATCAGAGAAATGCAAATCAAAACCACAATGAGATACCATCTCACACCAGTTAGAATGGCAGTCATTAAAAAGTCAGGAAACAACAGGTGCTGGAGAGGATGTGGAGAAATAGGAACACTTTTACACTGTTGGTGGGACTGTAAACTAATTCAACCATTGTGGAAGTCAGTGTGGCGATTCCTCAGGGATCTAGAACTAGAAATACCATTTGACCCAGCCATCCCATTACTGGGTATATACCCAAAGGACTAGAAATCTTGCTGCTATAAAGACACATGCACACGTATGTTTATTGCAGCATTATTCACAATAGCAAAGACTTGGAACCAACCCAAATGTCCAACAATGATAGACTGGATTAAGAAAATGTGGCACATATACACCATGGAATACTATGCAGCCATAAAAAATGATGAGTTCATGTCCTTTGTAGGGACATGGATGAAATTGGAAATCATCATTCTCAGTAAACTATCGCAAGAACAAAAAACCAAACACCGCATATTCTCACTCATAGGTGGGAACTGAACAGTGAGATCACATGGACACAGGAAGGGGAATATCACACTCTGGGGACTGTGGTGGGGTGGGGGGAGGGGGGAGGGATAGCACTGGGAGATATACCTAATGCTAGATGACAAGTTAGTGGGTGCAGCACACCAGCATGGCACATGTATACATATGTAACTAACCTGCACAATGTGCACATGTACCCTAAAACTTAAAGTATATTTAAAAAAAATAGAGAAAAAAGAAAAAAAAAAGAAAATGTTTCATATTTAGCATTTGCTGCAGGTTTTTATGGAAGATTAGGCATACATTAAACAGAAACTCTTTCAATATCTTAAATCATTCCATTTCTCAAATGTCAAAGGTACACATATTACAATGTTGTATTTTCAACTGATATAACTATTACAATAAAATGGCACATTAAAGTTTGGTGATATTTTTAAAGTCACTTAAGAAAGCTAAAAAATACACTGATTTATTTTTGGTCAGTGAAATTATTATGTGCATCACAAGGATGATTATTCTTTCAAGAAAAGCCACATCATTTATCCCTTTCAGTTTTCAAGCATTTTAATTCCCTCTGATAATTTTACTAAAAAAAAAAATAAGATTCACAGTAATGAGACATAATCTTCTTAGTTTTTCCCTACTGGACTGCTCGAAGCTGAGAGAACTTAAAACCTTATTCTTCCTAGCTTGATTGAACCCAAGAGAAAAAAAAAATCTTCCTTCTTAATATAGCAGTACCAAGTATCACCCACAGGGGCACCAAGTTCAAGTGTGCATTTACTCTTCCTCAGTTATTAACAAAGATAAATTACTTCCTCTTATTTTTCCCCACATGACAAGCCAGCTGCACTTTGTAGGCTGCTTCAGACCCAAAAACATCTTTCAAAATTGATCTTTCAATATTGTTTTATGTATTCAACCATGCTGAACTTCGATTTATGTCGGTGACATTCTCTAAGAATAGTATATACACTAAATGAAATTTTCTGAGAGGTTCTTAAGATACCAAACCTTTTATTTAAAGACCATTAAGTATCTTGATTCTTTATGACTTATCTTGCTTAGTTCCCTAATATCAGAAATTTTCACGCTCTAATGTTCTTTTTTTAAAAAACATTAATATGTATGGGAGGGGATTGCATGTTTCTGATAAATAAAAATGGCCACCTGAATCTAAATCACTTCATACAATTTAGAAACCATACTATTCAATAAAGACTGCAAACAGAACCCTTATAATCCATGTCTACAGTGTAAGAAGACAGAACATATTGTAAAACTTAATTTGCATGTATGTAGAAAAATAAATATCTTATACCAGCAGAGCCAGCTCCAGAGTCCAGGAAGTACCGGAAAGTCAGGCAAACATGATACAAAGAATAGGAGAAAACTCTGCAGATGTTGGGGTAAAAGAAGATAAATAAAAATTACTATCATCAAAAAGAGGCCTTCCCCTTTTGGGAGGAAATACTGAGAGCAACCTGAGACCTGTTGGTTCAGAAAACTGGCTATAATGGAATTAAAAGTACGAGGCTTAAAAATGCATTGGGACAACAGTCTTAGGAGGGTACTGCTTTCTAAGAAAAAGAGGGAAAACCCAAATAAAGAGGACGTATACTTTAGATATTCCACAGAGAAGTGGAAGAGAGACACAAGCAGCAGAATTTAAAGATTCTACCAAAACAAAAGACAATCACAAAATCAGCAGACACCTTAAAAAGCCCCATATATTAAAAAATCTAAACTTCCTCACGCCAATAGAACAGGAAATGTTGAACTAAAAGACATGTAAAGACCCTCTAACTCCTTATTCCTACCTAGCCTCTGTCACCTATTACTGGTGATTCAGGAAATACGGTATTTCAGAAGAACAGAAAATGGCAGATAATATCCATATAAATTCACTGTAAAAAGAAAGAAAATGAGAAAAAATATTTTTGTAGATAAAAATTCTCCTCTCAAAATCAACCATAAAACAAAGGAAAAATGTAATACAACACTGCAACCTGAATTAAATATCATGGAACAAGCATTTGTATTTTTAAAACAAATCTTAATGCACATATTTTTAAAAAAACTATAAAAAGATGGATAAAACTGAAAGATGTGAAATTATTCATAAGACCTAAATTCAATAATCAAAAAGCAAAATTATCTCAGATTTTAAAAATGAATAATAAATTATAAGGGTAAAGAAGGTTTGACTAAAAATGTAATAAGGGTAATTGAGAAGAATAATGAAAACATTCAAAAGAATGAAACACAGAAATAGACATCAGCAATAAGAATGGAAGGTCTCAGGACTTACCATTCCCCACAGAAAATTCAAGTAGAGACCATCTACTGACAAGAACACCTTTGTGAAAACCCTAAGGCTTGGAAATGTGAACCACCTAACCTCATAAAAGCCTCATTAGAAGGGTAAGAGAAACAGTCTCACTATGGCTGTGTTACTCCTTCTCATTTCCAAGTAGGCACAGTGACACAAAAGAAGAACCCCTTGGTCCCACAGCTTCTACAGTGGGAAAACAAAATTGGAGGTGGATATCTAGCTTTCCTAGCATTTTGAGATACTTCGTAGGAAGCCCACTCCTGTCTTGGATCGCAAGGAACACTGCCGGTGACAGCAGGGCTATAGCACCAGGGGTCAGGTAGATATAAAGAAAGTGGAGCTTGAGTAACCAGCATGCAGATCTTGGTGGCAGCTATGTATTTCTGCTAGCAGTAGCATCCTATCATAGATGCCAGCCAAAGGCATAGACCCACAAAGCCAAACTTGTCACTCCCAGAGATGCAGTGGGAAGTTTAAACTTGTTTGGATCCTTGGATGGCCAGCATCTATGTCCAGCCTCAGAACCCATTCTAAGGCCCCACCCAGGCAGAGAGATAGCAGCCTCCATGTCCATAAGCAGAGCATGAGGGATAGACATTCCCAGCAAAGCCTCAGAGCCCACCTCAAGGTCCTGCTTAGGCAAGAAAATGTCCACAACGTTGAACTTCTGTGGAGTTTAGGAGATAAACCTGCCCAACCCAGGAGTCTAAACAGCAGCATGGCTAAGCCTCCAATTGCCCACTCAGGCAAAGAGATACAACCAAAACACCTTTCTATGGAGCATAGGGTTGGAGCTGCATAACCCAGGAGTCCAAACAGAAGCTATGCCCAGACTCAAAGCCCATTCCAAGGCCCCATCCAGGCAGGGAGACAAGCGTCAACCATTTATTCCTATAACTAATAGTCTCTAGACCCATATATTTTAAGCAATGACTCTGTCAGAACTCAAACTCATCCTGCAGACTTGCCCAAGTGTGAATCACAAATAGTGTTACCATTCAGCCAAGGAATATACCCTGAAATCCCGCCCAATCAGTTATGATTGTGGTTCCAAGCTAGCAGCTCTACCAGTTGAAAAGCCAAGCCAGTAGTTTTGCCAGGCAATGGAGGCCAACCAGCAGACATCTTTAACCTCAGAGCAAAGGCAGCAACCCTATTAACTAAAGAATATGACAGGAAGCCCTGCCTACGTGGGGTTCTTACCAATTCACTTGCTCAGAATCACAGGCTAAACTAAGTATTAAAGGTCTATTCCTGCCAAAAAAAACACCTGGAAAAGCTGGAAGAAGTGGCTGTTTACTTAAATACACAGAAACCAACACAAAGACATAAAGATTGTGAAGAATCAGGGAATCATGACACCTCCAAAGGAAACTAATACAGCTCCAATAATAACCCCTGAGGAAACGGAGATCTATAAAATGACTGACAGATAATTCAGAATGATTCCCTTAAAGAGTATCAATGAGCTACAAGAATATATGGATAGAAAATTAAATGAAACTTGGAAAACAATATACAAACAAACCAAAAAGGTAGAAACAGAAAAAAATAGAAATCCTAGAGATGAAGAATACAATGATTAAAAGTTTAAAATATCAATAGAAAACTTCAATAGATGACATGATCAAATCAAAGAAAAAAAGACAGTGAGCTCAAGGACAGAATATTTGAAATTATCCAGTCAGAAAACAAACAAAAACTATGAAAAAGAATAAAGAAAGCCTATGGGAATGACAGAACAACATTAACAGGACTAACATTTTTGTAATACGAATTGCAGAATGAGGAAAGAAAAAGGACCAGAAGGCATGTTTAAAGAAACAATGGCTGAAAAATTCTCAAATCTGAAGAAAGATGCAAACATCAAGGTACAAGAAGTACAGAGGTCTCCAATTTCAATCCAAAGAGGAGTTTATTAAGATACATGATAATCAAACTATCAAAAATTAAAGACAAAGAAAAAATTATGAGAGCAACAGGAGACAAGAAATACATCACATATAAGAGAATCTCAATATGGCTATCAGTAAATTCATAAGCAGAAACCATGCAGTCCAGGACAGAGTATGATGATATATTCAAGGTGCTGGAGGAGGAAAAAACAAAAACAAAAAACAAGAATGCTTTCCCCAGCAAAACTATCCTTCATAAATGAGATAGAAATAAAAACTTTCCCTAAAGAACAAAGGTGAAGGAAGTTAGTCACCACTAGGCCTACCTAAGAGGAATTATAAAAGGGAATTATTTAAACTAAAACAAAAGGCTGCTAACTAATAACATTAAGCATATAAAAGCACAATTTGTAATGGTATAAGTAAAACAAGTTCATATTAGAAATACTCTAGGACTGTAAAGCAAGTTTATCTCTAGCACAAAGACTAAAAGACAAAACTATCAAAAACAACTATAGCTAAACTGTTAAGAAATACCAAATATAAACAGACGTGAATTTTAACAACAAAAACATAGAACAGGGGTCAAAAGTGTAGAATGCTTGTATGCTATAGAAGTTAAGTTGAAAAAGAATGAAGAAAGCCTATGGGAATGATGGAACAACATTAGCTTGAAATAACCTGTTATAAAATATTTTATATAAACTTCATGATAACCACAAAATAGAAATCTATAGTAGATGCACAAAAGTATTAAAAGCATGCCAGTACAGATAAGCATCAAGTCACAAAATAAGATGGCAAGAGAGGAAGGAACAAAACATCTATAAAACAACCAGAAAGACAAAGTAAATAACGACAGTATTTTTTACCTATCAATAGCCTAGAATGTATTAAATAAATGAATTAAATAATCTAACGAAAAGACACAGTGACTGAATGGATTTTTTTTAAATATCCAAATATATTGTGCCTACAAGAGACCTGCCTCAATTTTAAGAACTCACATAGACTGAAAGTGAAGAATGAAAAAAAAATTCTACATAAGTAAAAATAAAAAGAGAACAGGATTAACTATACTTACATCAGACAAAATAGATGTTGAGACAAAAAATAAACAGTGTCAAAGAAGGTTATTATATATCGCTAATAGAAGACAACTCATCCAGACGATATAATAGTTATAAATATATATGTACCCAATATCAGAGTATCTAAACATATAAAACAAACAATCTGAGGTAGAGATAAACTGCAATACAATAATAGTAGAGAACTTCAGTATCCACTTTCAATGATGGAAAGATGATCTAGACCGAACATTGATAGGAAAACATTGGTCTTTGGCTACATTTTAGATCAAATTGACCTAAAGGACATACACAGAACATTCCATCAAACAGCAACAGAATATACCTTTTCAGGCAATGTTCTCCAAGACAGATCATGTGTTAGGCCACAAAACAAGTCTGAAAAAATTAAAATGACAAAATCTGTTATGATCAATTATCTTTTGCAATCACAATGCCATGAAGAAAAGTAAGAGGAGAAATCTTGAGAAATTCACAGATAGAATTTTAAAAATATGCTCCTGAAAAATCAATGAGTAAAGAGAAATAAAAAGATAATTAAAAATATCATGAGAAAAATAAAAATGGTAACACAACATACCAAAACTTATGGGATGCTGATATGGTTAGGTTTTCTGTTTCTGCCCAAACTCCACTTGAATTGTAATTCCTAGGTGTTGAGGAAGAGAACTGATAGGAGGTGATTGGATCATGGGGGCAGTTTCCCCCATGCTGTTCTCATGATAGTGAGTCCTCACAAGATCTGATGGTTTTATAAGTATTTGGAAGTTTCTCTTTCATTTACTCCCTCTCTCTTGCCTGCTGCCATGTAAGACATGCCTGCTTTGTTTTCTGCTATTATTGTAAGTTTCCTGAGGCTTCCTCAGCCATGTGGAACTGTGGCAATTAAACCTCTTTCCTTTATAAATTACCCAGTCTCAGGGAAGCTCTTATAGCAGTATGAGAATGGACTAATACAGATGAAACAAAAGTAGTTCTAACAGGAAAGTTTATACCCAAAACACCTCCATTTAAAAAGAAGAGAGGTCTCAAATAAACAAGCTAACATTAAGTATAAGGAACAAGAAAATGAGGAAAAATAATAGGACTAAAGTTTGTAGAAGAAAAGAAATGAAGATCAGAATAGAAATAGAGACTAGAAAAAAATATAGAAAATATTAAGAAGACTAACAGTTGGTTTTTTGAAAAGAAAAGCAAAACTGACAAACTCTTAGCTAGATTAAGAAAAAAATAATACTCAAATAAACAAACCCAGAAATGAAACAGAAGACATTAAAAATGATACTATAACAATATGAAGAATCATAAGCAATTATTGTGATTATAATTATACTCAACAAACTGAATAACCTGGAAGACATACATAAATTCCTAGGCACACACAATCTACCAAGACTGAATATAAAAGAAATACCAAATCTGAATAGTTCAATGAGTAAAGAGATTGAACGAGTAATAAAAAGTGTCTAATAAAAGAGAAGCCCAGGACCAGATGGCTTTACTACTAAATTCTACCCAACAATCCTTCTCAAACTCTTCCAATATATTGGAGATGAGGAAACACTTTCAAACTCTTTTCTATAATGCCAGAATTACCCTGATTGCAAAGCCAGATAAGGACATTACAAGAAAAAAAAATTACAGGCCAGTATTGCTGCTGAACATGTAGCCTTTTTTGCTACGGAAATTCTTAACAAAATATAAGCAAACAAAATTCAATAGCGTATTAAAAGGATCATTCACCATGATCAAGTGGGATTTATTCCTGGGGTAGAAGAATGGCTCAATATACACAAATCAATAAATGTGATACATCACATTAACACAATGAAGAAAAACCATATGATCATTTCAAAAGATTCAGTAAAGGATTTGACAAATTTCAACATCTTTTCATGATAAGTACTCTCAATCAACTAGGTACAAAAGAAATGTATCTCAACACAGTGAAGGATATATATGACAAGCCCTCAGCTGACATTAAGCACAATAGTAAAAAGTGGAAATGTTTTCCTCAAAGGAATAAGATAATTATGCCTACCCTCACTGCTTCTATTCAATATAGTATTGGAAGATCTTACCAGAGCAATTAGGTGAGGAAAACAAATAAGAGTATTCCAATTGGAAAGGATAACTAAATAGTCCCTGTTTGGAGATGACATGATCTTATATATAGAAAACCCTAAATACTCCACAAAAAATGATGACATGATAAATTAAATAAAGTTGCAGAATACGAAATCAACACACAAAAATAACTGATGTCCTATATACTAACAGCAAACTATCCAAAAAAGAAATTATGAAAACAATCTCTCATTTACAATAGCTACATAAAAAGAGGATACTTAGGAATAAATCTAACCAAGGAGATGAAAGATCTATACACTAAAATCTATAAAACATTAATGAAGGAAATTGAAGACAATAACACAAATAAATGAAAAGTTATTTCATGTTTGTTAATTGCAAGAATTAATGTGGTTGAAATGTCATTGCTACTCAAAGCATACATTTGCAGATTCAATGCAATACCTTCTAAAATTATAGTAACTGTTCACAGAAATTGAAGAAATGATCCTGCAATTCATATAGAACCACAAAAAAACCTGAACAGCCAAGCTAATCTTGAGGAAAATAACAAAGCAGAGCATCACACTACCTGATTTTAAACTATTTTACAAAGCTATAGTAATTAAACCAGTGTGGTATTGCCATAAAAATAGACACGTCAGCCAATGAAACAAATAGAGAACTCAAAAATGAACCCATGACTTTACAATTGATTTTCAACAAAGTTTCCAAAAATGCGCAATTGTGGAAGGACCGTCTCTTTAATAAATGATGTTGGAAATACTTGATACATGCAGAACAATAAAACTGGACCCTTATCTCACACCATATACAAAAATCCATGCAATATGGATTACAAACTTAAATGTAAGACCTGAAACTGTAAAACTACTAGAAAAAAATATAATGGAAAAGCTGGATAACATTTGACTAGGCAATGATTTTTTAAATGGACCCCAAAAGGTCTCCCAACAAAAGCAAAAATAGACAATGGGATTATATCAAAATAAAATACTTCTACACTGAAAAAGACACAATTAAGAGTTAACTGACAACCTACATATTTGGGAAAAATATTTGCAAACCATACAACTCATATGGGGTTAATATCTAAATTATATAAGGAACTCAAACAACTCAGTAGCAAGAAAACAACCTGATTTAAAAATGGACAAAAAACTTCAATTGGCATTTCTCAAAAGAAGATATAAAAATGGCCAACAGGTATTTGAAAACATATATCACTAATCACTAGGAAAATGCATATTAAAACTATAATGAGATACTATTTTACACTTGTCACAATAGCTATTATCAAAAAATGAAAGATAAGTGTTGGAGAAGATGAGGAAAAAAAGAAACTTTAGTACAAGGTTGATGGGAATGTGAGTTAGCACAGCCATTATGAAAACTGTATGGGAGTTTCTAAAAAAAATAAAAATAGAATTACCAAATAATTCAATAATCTCATTTCTGAGTATACATCCAAAAGATTTTACATCAGTATGTTAAAGAGATATCTGCACTTCTTGTTCATTGCAGCACCGTTCACAATAGCCAAGGTATGGAATCAACTTAAGTGTCCATCAGTGGATGACTGAATAAAGAACATGTAGTACATATACACAATGGAATACTATTCATCTTTAAATGGAAAGAATTTCTGTGACAACCTGAATGAATCTGGAAAACATTTTGCTAATTGAAAGAAGCCAGGAGCAGAAAAACAAATGTGGCATGATCTCAATTACATGTGACATAGATAACAATCAAACTCACAAAGGCTAATGGGGCATGGGGAATGTGGTGGTGTTGATCAAAGGGTACTGTGATGATTAATATTGAGTATCAACTTCATCAGATTGAAAGATGCAAATTGTTGTTCCCAGGTGTGTCTGTGAGGGTGTTGCCAAAAGAGATTAATGTTTGAGTCAGTGGACTAGGAGAGGCAGACCCATCTGCAATCTGGATGGGCACCATCTAATCATCTGCCAGTGCATCTAGGGTAAAAGCAGGCAGACGAGTGTGGAAAGGTTAGAATGACCTGAGTCTTCTGGCCTCCATCTTCCTCCTGTCCTGGATGCTTCCTGCTCTTGAACATCAGACTCCAAGTTCTTCAGCTTTTGGACTCTTGGACTTACACCAGTGATTTGTCAGGGGCTGTCAGACCTTTGGCCATAGGCTGAAGGCTGCATTACCAGATTCCCTACTTTTGAGGTTTTGGGACTCAGATTGGCTTCCTGGCTCCTCAGCTGGCAGACAGCCTTTACCTTGTGATCATGTGAGACAATTCTCCTTAATAAATTCCCCATTCATATAGTCATCTATTCTATTAGTTCTGTCCCTTTAGAGAACCCTAATACAGATTTTGGTACCAGGAGTGGTTTTAGAGGAACAGAATTTTAAGGATGGATTTCTTTAGTTGGTTTTGGAGTTTCTGGAGTTAGCTGCTTAATATATTTAAAGCCCAAAATGTTAAGGACCCTTCTTCTAATAGTATGGAAAACACTGATGGTCTTTGGCATGAACTGTTTAGAGAGTTATGCAAAATAAATGCATTTGATACTCCTTATTCACTGCTCATGAAAGGCAAGGAGTTTCGTTACTCTGTACATAATAACCTTGACCACATGTAGAGAAACAAAAAATATAATGAAGTTGGTTGGGTGCTCCTCAGTTTACTGGACAAAGTGATGAAAGAAAATGATGAGCACCGGGATTCTAACTCCCGAGTCCAGAAACACATACTGAGGCTCAAGTCTTCTAAGACTGCCCTGAGTGAGAGTCTTATTTCCTGTAGACAAAAGGCTGAAATTGTGGAAAATCAGACACAAGCTCTTATCATGTGGGTGCTGACCTGCAACAAAAGGTGCATGCACAGTCCACCAGATGTCTACTGTTAAAGTGAGGGCACTTATTGGAAAATAATGGGATCCTGCAGCTTAGAATGGGGATGTGTGGGAGGACCCTGATGAAACTGGGGACACTGAGCTTGTAAACTCCGATGAGCCCTTTTTTGCCAGAGGAAACAGCTTCCCCATCCCTAGTGGTGGCAACATCCCCTCCCCAACTCACACTGCCATCAGCCTTTTCATCTTTGTCTGAGGAGATTAACCTTGCACTGCCTCAGGCAATAGTGATGGCATCCCCGGAGGCAGTTGCCAAGAAAAAACAATGTTGATTCTCTTCAGGACCCACCCCTAACACCCCTGTTTTCTTCTAGACCTATAACTTGACTGACGTCCTGGCAGGTCCCTAGGGGTGAGGTTCAGAGGATGTCCCACAAGGTGTGCTATACTCCAAAAGAACTGCTTGAGTTTTCTAATTTATATAAGCAGAAATCTGGAGAACAGGCATAGGAATAGATATTAAGGGTGTGGGATAATGGTGGAAGGAACATAAGGATGGGTTAGGCTGAATTTATTAATATGGGCTCACTAAGCAGGGATTCTACATTTAATGTTGCAGCTCATGGAGATAAAAAAAGGTTCTAATAGTTTATTTGCTTGGTTAGCTGAAACATGGATCAAAAGATGGCCCACTGTGAGTGAGCTGGAAATGCCAGTCTCCCTTGGTTTAATGTAGAGGAATGGATCCAAAGGCTTAGGGAGATGGTAATGCTAGAGTGGATTAGTCACTTTAGACCTACTCATCCCAATTGGGAGGGCCCAGAAGTCACACCCTTCACCAATACCTTGTAAAACAGATTTGTGAGGGGAGCACCTGCTTCCTTAGAGTTCTGTGATTGCTTTTCTCTGTATGCTAGATCTTACAGTGGGAACCATAGTGGCTCAATTGGAAAACATAAATGCAATGGGAATAATTGCATCCTGAGGTAGCAGGGGCCAAGTGGTGGCACTCAACCATCAAAGGCAAGGTGGGCATACTTATTGTAATGGACATCAGAGGCAAAGCAGCAATCAGAATTGTCTGACTCACATAGAGCTCTGGCATTGGCTAATCATAGTGTTCCTAGAAGTAAAATTGATAGGAAGCCTACTACATTCTTAATTTATATAAGCAGAAAACTTCCAAGTTGAATGGACAAAAGACTAATTTGAATTACAAAAACAGAGGATCACGGCCCCTCAATCAATTTCCAGATTTGAACCAGTTTACAGACCCAGAACCCTTTGAAAGAAGGGGAGGCCGGGTACACTTGAGAAAGGACCCCACTACCCTATTGACAAGCTATGCTGTTAATCTTTCTCCCATCCTTCCCCAAGGAGACCTCTGGACTTTTACCAGGGTAACTGTGCATTTGGAAAAGGAAAATGATCAGACCTTTAGGGGACTACTAGACACTGGCTCTAAGCTGATAATTCCAGGGAACCAAAATATCATTGTGGTCCTCCAGTTAAAGTAGGGGTTTATGGAGGTCAGCTAATTAATGGAATATTAGCTCAGGTCTGGCTTACAGTGGGTCCAGTGGATCCCCAGACTCATCCTGTGGTCATTTCCCAAGTGCCAAAAGGCATAATTGTCATAGACATACTAGCAGCTGGTGGAACCCCCACATTGGCTCCATGATTGGTAGAGTGAGGGCTATTACGATGGGAGAGGCCAAATGGAAGCCATTAGAGCTGCCTGTACCTAGAAAAATAGTAAATCAAAAACAATATTGCATCCCTGGAGGGATTGCAGAGATTAGTGCCACCATCAAGGACTTGAAAGATGCAGGGGTGGTGATTCTCACCACATCTCCATTTACTTCTTCTATTTGGCCTGTGCAGAAGACAGATGGATCATGGAGAATGACAGTGGATTATTGTAAGCTTAACCAAGTTGTGACTCCAATTGCAGCTGCTGTACCAGACATGGTTTCATTGCTTGAGAAAATCAGCACATCTCCTGGTACCTGGTATGCAGCCACTGATTTGACAAATGTCTTTCACTCCATTCCTATCCATAAGGCACATCAGAAGCAATTTGCCTTCAGCTGGGAAGGCCAGCAATATCCTCAGGGGTATATCGACTCTCTGGCTTTCTGCCATAATCTTGTTTGCAAAGATCTTGATCGCTTTTCACTTCCACAAGATATCACACTGGTTCATTACATTGTTGACATTAGGCTGATTGAATCTAGTAAGCAAGAAGTAGTAAACACACTGGACTTATTGGTGAGATATTTGAATGTCAGAGGATGGGAAATAAATCCAACTAAAATTCAGGGAACTTTACCTCAGTAAAATGTCCAGTGGTGTGGGGCCTGTCAAGATATTACTTCCAGGGTGAAAACTAAGTTGCTGCATTTGATCCCTCCTACAACCAAGAAAGGGATACAATGCCTAGTGGGCTACTTGGATTTTGGAGGCAACACATTTCTCATTTGGGTGTGTTACTCTGGCCCATTTATCATGTGACCCATAAGGCTGCCAGTTTTGAGTGGGGTCCAGAACAGGAGAAGGCTCCGCAACAGGTCCAGACTGCTATGCAAGCTGCTCTGCCACTTGGGCCATATGACCCAGCAGATCCAATGGTGTTTGAGGTGTGAGTCGCAGATAGGGATGCTGTCTGGAGCCTCTGGCAGGCCCCCATAGGTTAATCACAGTAAAGGTCTCCAGGATTTTTGAGCAAGTTCCTGCCATCTTCTGCAGATAACTACTCTTCTTTTGAGAAAGAGCTCTTGGACTGTTACTAGGCTTTGGTAGAAACTGAATGTTTGACTATGGGTCAAATCACCATGCCACCTGAACTGCCTGTCATGAACTGGGTGCTTTCTGACCCAACTGGCCATAAAGTGAGGCATGCACAGCAGCATTCCATCATCAAATGGAAGTGGCATATATGTGATTGGGCTCAAGCAGGGCCTGAGGCCACAGATGAGTTACATGAGCAAGTGGCTCAAATGTCCATGATCCCCACTCCTCCCACCCTGCTTTCTCTCCCCCAGCCTGCACTGATGGCCCCTTGTGGAGTTCCTTATAATCAGTTGATAGAGGAAGAGAAGACTGGAGCCTGGTTTACAGATGCTTCTGCACGATATGCAAGCACCACCCAAATGTGGACAGCTGCAGCACTACAACCTCTTTCTAGGAAAACTTTCAAAGGCAAATCTTCCCAGTGGGCAAAACTTTGAGCAGTGCACCTGGTTGAGCACGTTGCTTAAAAGAAAAAATGGCCATATGTGCGATTATATATTGATTCATGGGCTGTAGCCAGTGGTTTGACTGGATGGTCAGGGACTTGGAGGAAGCATGATTGGAAAATCGGTGACAAAGAAATTTGGAGAAGAGGCATGTGGATGGACCTCTCTGAATGGTCAAAACCTGTTAAGATATTTGTATCTCATGAGAATGCTCACAAAAGGGTGACTTCAGCAGAGGAGGATTTTAATAATCAAGTGGATGGGATGACCCACTCAGCCTCCTTCCCCAGGCTTCTTCCCCAGCCACTCCTGTCATCATCCAATGAGCCCATGAACAAAGTGGCCATGGTGGCAGCGATGGAGGTTACACATGGATTCAGCAACATGGACTTCCACTCACCAAGGCTGACCTGGCTACAGACACTGCTGAATGCCCAATTTGCCAGCAGCAGAAACAAACACTGAGCCTTCGATATGGCACCATTCCTTGGGGTGATAAGCCAGCTACTTGGTAACAGGTTGATATATTGGTCCTCTTCCTTCATGAAAAGGGCAGTGATCTGTCTTCACCCGAATAGATGCTTACTCCGGATATGGGTTTGCCTATCCTGCAGACAATGCTTCTGCCAAGACTACCATCTGTGGATTCAGGAAATGCCTTATCCAACATCATGGTATTTCACAGAACATTGCCTCTGACCAAGGCACTCACTTTACAGCTAAGAAGTGTGGCAGTGGCCTCATGCTCATGGAATTCACTGGTCTTGCCATGTTCCCCATCATCCTGAAGCAGCTGGATTGATAGTACAGTGGAATTGCCTTTTGAAATCACAATTATAATGCCAACTAGGTGACCATCCTTTGAAGAGCCGGCACAAAGTTCTCCAGAAGGCTGTGTATGCTCTGAATGTGTCCAATATATGCTACTGTTTCTCCCATAGCCAGGATTCGTAAGCCTAGGAATCAAAGGGTGGAAATGAAAGTGGCACCACTCACCATCACCCCTAGTAACCCACTAGCAAAATTTTTGCTTCCTGTTCCCACAACATTATGTTCTGCTGGCCTAGAAGTCTTAGCTCCAGAGGGAGGAATGCTGCCACCAGGTGACAGAACAATGATTCAGTTAAACTGGAAGTTAAGATTGGCACTTCACCACTTTGGGCTCCTCCTACCTCTAAGTCAACAGACAAAGAATGGAGTTACAGTATTGGCTGGGGTGATTGACCCCAACTATCAAGATGAAATCAGTCTGCTACTCCACAGTGGAGGTAAGGAAGAGTATGCACGGAATACCAGAGATGCTTTAGGAAGTCTCTTAGTATTACCATGCCCTATGATTAAGGTCAATGGGAAACTACAGCAACCCAATCCAGATAGGACTGAAAATGGCCCAGACCCTTCAGGAATGAAGGTTTGGGTCACTTCAATAGATAAAAAAAAAAATCAAGACCTGCTGAGGTGCTTGCTGAAGGCAAAGGGAATACAGAATGGATAGTAGAAGAAGGTAGTCATCAATACCAGCTATGACCACGTGACCTGTTGCAGAAACAAGGACTATAATTGCCTTGAGTATTTCCTCCTTATTTTGTTAAGAACATGTTTATGCATGTATACACTTATACTCAGAAAATACCTTCATTTTATTTCCTTTATCATGTGACATAAGATTTATTGACTTCATACCAGCACTGAAATGTTGTTAACTTTATGTAATAGTATTCGGGTTGTGGATTGGTGCATTTCTGGTTGTATGAGGGATAGCTGTATTATGTTAGGCATAATTAAGACCTTATTATTGTCTTTATTTGAAGTTATATATTTTTCAGGAGATGTGTATGGATTCAAGTTGACAAGAGGCGGACTTGTGATGGTTAACACTGAGTGTCAACTTGATTGGATTGAAGGATGCAAAGTATTTCTCCTGGGTATGTCTGTGAGGGTGTTGCCAAAAGAGATTAACATTTGAGTCAGTGGACTTAGGAGAGGCAGACTCACCCACAATTTGGGTGGGTACCATCTAATCAGCTGCCAGTGTGGCTAGGATAAAAACAGACAGAGGAACGTTGAAAGGATAGACTAGCCTGAGTCTTCTGACCTCTGTCTTTCTCCTGTGCTGGATGCTTCCTGCCCTTGAATATCAGACCCTAAGTCCTTCAGCTTTTGGACTACTGGACTTATCCCAGTGATTTGCCAGCAGCTCTCGGGCCTTTGGCCACAGACTGAAGGCTGCATTATCAGCTTCCCTCCCTTTGAGGTTTTAGGACTGAGATTGGCTTCCTTGCTCCTCAGCTTGCAGATGGCCTATTGTGGGACTTTACCTTGTGATTGTGTGAGTCAATTCTCCTAATAATCTTCCCTTCACATATTCATTTATCCTATATTAGTTCTGTCTCTTTAGAGAACCCTGACCAATACAGGTACAAGGTGTCAGTTATATGGGAGGAATAACTTTGTATAATGTATTTCAAAATTGTTGAGAACATATTTTAAATGTTCTCACCACAACAAATGATGAGTATTTGAGGTGATGGATATGTCAGCCTAATTTAAACATTCCACATTGTATGTCTATATCATAACATCACTTTGTGCCCCATATATATAATTTATTAACTTGCAATACAATTTCAAAATTCAGCAGTAACAAAAAACATAGAAGTATCAGAGAGAAAGTTAGAGATTTAGAAGATATATGAAGAATAAACAACATATTTATAGGTGGAGTTCTAAAGAAGAAATCCAAAACAAAAATTAAGACAGTGTGGGATTGGTGGAGGGACAGATATCTAGAATGACAAAGCAAGTAGAGAACTGAGAAACAGATCCACACAACTATGACCAACTTCTTTTTGACAAATTTTCAAGAGGAAATTAGTGGAGCAAGGATAGTATTTACCATATATAGTGCCAAAGCAATTGGGCATCCATAGGCAAAAATAAAAATGTCAAAATAATCTATTCACCTTATATCAAATGGATTATATATCTAAATATAAAATAATCAAACTTTAAAAGAGAGGAAAAAATCTTTATAACCTAGGCTTTAAGTGAAGTGTTCTTAGACATGACACCCAAAGCACAATACATTAAAAGCTTGATAAATTCTATTTCATAGAAAAAAAAAAAACTTTTGCTCTGTGAAAGTTTTTGTTAAGAGGATGAAAAGGCAAGCCAAAAATTAGGACAAAATGTTTGCAAATCTTACATACAACAAAGGACTCACATCTAGAATATATAAAAAACTCTAAACTCAGCCATAAGAAATATACAGTGCAATTAGAAAATGAGCAAAGGAATTGAACAGAGACTTCACTGGACACCATGGCAAATAAGCACATGAAAGATGTTCAGCATCATTAACCATTAGAGACATAAAAATTAAAGTATTATAAAATTCCATAACACATCTATTAGAATCCCAACAATTAAAAAGTATATTAACAGTACTAAATTCTGATGTGAGTGCATAAAAACTGTCTCTCTCATGTACTGATAATGCAGGTGTAAAATAGTACAGTAATTCTGGAAATTAGTCTGTCAGGTTTTTAAAAAGTTAAACATATTAGCTTAACATATTAAGGGTCTCTAGAGAAATTATATATAGACAGTTCCCAATTTACAAAGATTCAACTTACAATTTTTTGACTGTTCTGTGCGGTGACAGTCACATGCATTCAGCATACTCCTTGACTTAGGATGGGGTGATATCTGAGAAATCAAATAAGTTGAGGAGTGCATGCGTACGTGTGTGTGTGTGTTTGTATAGAACACACAATATATATAAAGAGATTTAGTATAAAGATTTGGCGCACACAATGATGTAGGCAGACAACTCCCAAGATCTTCAGGAAGTCAACAAGCAGAAAAACTAGGAGAGCAAATGGTGCAGTTCTAGTCTGTAGACTGGCTCAAGATCCAGGAAGAGCTGACATTTCAGTTTGTGTGTGAAGGCAGGAAAATGACATCCCAGTTGAAAGGCAGTCAGGCAGGAAAAGGGTCACTCAAGAGAAAATCAGCCTTTTTGTTCTATTGAAGCCTTCAGCTGATTGGAGAAGGCCCATATACATAGGGAAGGCAATCTGTTTTACCCTCTCTACCAATTTAAACGTTAACCTCGCCCTCACAGAAACACCCAGAATAATGTGTGAGCAAATATTGGGCACGCTGCGGGAAATGGACACATAAAACGAATCATCACACCATACAATCCAGGACTCATGCTCCCTAAACATTTATGCTAGAGAAATGAAAACTTCTCATACAAACATCTGTATGTAAATTGCAGTTTCATTTATAATAGTCCCAAACTGGAACCAACCTAAACGTCCTTCAGTGAGTGAATGAAAATAGAAAAAGTGGTAACTCTATATAATGGAATACAGCAATAAAAAGGAATTATTGATACACAGAACAATATGCATGAGTTGCAAGGTCATCATGCTGTATGAAAAAGGCAATCTCAAAGCTTACCTACTGTGATTCAATTTAAATAATATTCATGCACTGATAAAATTGTAAAGATGGAGAACAAATTAGTAGTTTTCAGACTGGATTAATTGAACAGAAGTCCATGTTTCTGAGTCCATGTGCAACCCCATTCTTGCTGGCATGACTACTTTGTGCACAAGGCTGTTAGTCAAGAAAAGACATTCCTGTCAAAATAGGCTTTCTGTCACCCACAAAATGGGTTATATTATATAGCTGACCATTAAGATTATTAAGATCCTCCTCTGTTGAGATTTATCTTTGATGAGTATTCACATGAAACATAAAATTTTACAAACATTCTTTGCCCATTTAGAGCAAAATATCTACATACTTTTTTCTGCCAAAACCTCATTGTCATCAATCTTCTAATTGGTTCCTGAATACCATTCATATAATTATTTTTTGTGAAAATTTAGTAAAGATTCATATCTCTATTTTTCCCTCCAGCCAGAATAAACAACCTGGTGTGCTTTTCAAAGTTCTACCTAGTGGGATATTTTCCTACACCACTGTCCTTCAGGAAGACCGCAGAGAGAAATTATAGTTCTGCAGCTGAACCATCTATTAACCAGGCCCATGTAGCGATCGAGAGATAAGAGACAATGGAGCCAGAATGTAAGATTATGTACATTTGTGCCTTTTGCTCATGCAATTTCCTAGTGCCTTCCAGACGTGCTCAAGCCTGGTCTTGTATATATGCCACTTCTAATTAGTGATGGAAGGTTGCTATGCATGCCCAATTTATGGCTAGTTTATAATGGGATAACTTAGTGAACAATGATTATGCATTCAGCCTCTACTGAGGCTTGCAGGTGTTTCCCAAGAAGCAAACAGTTATCTGTGGAAGACAGCATAATCTGTCCAAAAGCCTATAGGTCTGGGCTGTGATTCACTTTTAGACACATGCTAGTTAATGGCTCTATAATGCATTTCTACATGTCATGAGCATTTCAAGCCCCACTGTATTTTACTGGGACACCTGTCCCAAGAGGCAAAGCAGCTATCACAGAAACCTGGACCTGTTTCAGAGTCTTTACTTATTCAAGACAGAAGACACTACTCAAAACTCTGTTTTTCAGTTACTTGGTAAAAGTCAGAGTAGCTCCCCCAAGGGAGGTATGTGTTGCCTCCAAAAGCCAAAGAGGCCTACTAGGCATTGCATCACTTTTTTAGAAGTAGGTTGGACTAAATGTAGCAACTTTTCTTCATCTTGAAAGGGATATCTCAACATAACCCTAACCACTATAACTTTAGAAATTTTATGGAGGTAATTGGCCCCCAAAATTCTGTGAGATTTTTAATTCTTAGACGTGCTTGTGTTTTTACCAAGATAGAGTAGTTGACACTTCCTGATCACCAGCTCTAATAAGCAGCATATCATCAATGTAATAGGCCACCATAGTTTCCTGTGAAAAAAATCACCCAAATTCACTGCAGCCTATAGTTTGACATAGGACTAGAGAATTTATATAGCCCTGAGATAAGACATTTGTGGTGCCATGCTGGTTCTGCCAGCTAAAAGCATTTGCTTTTAGTCTTTACTACTAGAAAAAAATAAAGATGCATTTGCCAGATATCAAATTTGTGTATTTGTACCAGGATATATATTGATTTACTATAAAAAATAATCTGAACAAGCAACTTCCATTGGAATTGTCATCTTATTAAGCTTATGATAATCCACTATTCATAAGCTCCACCTGTTTTCTGGACTGCACGTCCAAAATTTGCAGGGCAGGTCAGCAGTCTGGAGAGGCAGGGAAGATTTGCAGTTTGAATTCTAAAGGCAGTCTACTGGCAGAATTCCTTCTTGCTTGAGGAGGTCAGTCTTTGTTCCATTAAAGCCTTCAACTGATTGAATAAGATCTACCCACATTATGGAAAGTAATCTGCTTTACTGGAAGTCTGTCAATTTAAATATTAATTTCATCCAAAAACACCTTCACAGAAACACCCAGAATAATGTGTAGACAAATATTTATTTGGTCACTGTGGCACAGCCAAGTTGACACACAGAATTAACCATCACAGTTACTTCTACTGGCTTCCACCTGGCCTTGCCTAACAAAATAGCTCATTCTACGACTGTTAAAATGTCTAATGTAAGAATTTTGCCAATTGTTGAGTATATCACTTCAAATTATTCCTACTAGAACCTAGGAATAACCATAGGGTGAGTTCAGGGACACAGTGGGTGCACTAAATCTAAAACAAAACTCCACTGACCACCTGTTCTTCATAAGTCCCTACTCTCTCTGGTAGACCCAGAGAGAGTTTTATGTCACTAAGAATTTGTATTGGCACAAAGCCATTGTCCATTAAAAACTAAACAGTCTGATTATCAGCCTTTCACTAAGTATACACACTTACATGTATAACTGTCTAGGAAATTGTCACAGGTACATTTAGGAAGGCTAGTAGGAAGATTAACAGTATACATTAAGGATTCTTACTCAGAGTAGAATGACTCAGACTTTCTCTGTTAAACGGTCTTTGGTTTTATGAATTGGCTGAAGTCTGTAATTGGCTGAAAAGCCTCAACTTTATGTTTTAATGAGTCAAGTCTAACTTCTGTTAATTCTTTCCACTTACACAGAACAAGTAAGCTTTAGAACACTGCCCATCTATTTCAGTTCTTGGAACATCATCATCAACCAACCAATGCTAAAGATCATTGTGACTTACAATATTTTGTGTATTGCTTCAAATCTGCTATTACAGTATTCACTCCCACCTTGTCTTTGGTGATAAAGTGCTACCACTTGCAGAGATACAATCATGCACACAGAATTTAGTAAACTCAGATATAATAATAATGATAATTCTTACTGTAATTTTCAGACTAGAGAGAAATGCCATCTCATACCAAACACACACACACTATTAATAAATAAGAGAATATCTCTTCTTCTCTAAGACACATGAGATAATGTCCTCAAGGGCCATTGAAATTGATCTTATTTGGGGTCATAAAAAATCTCAAGAAGTTTGATAAATCAGGAATAATACAAATACTTCTCTATTCAGAACACAATGAAATCAGAAATTATAAACACAAGCCAAAAACCAAAAGGTCCTCACATCTGGAAATATCAAAACTATATTAAACAATTCTTTAAAGAAAATAGAAACTCAAAGCATTTTAAAAATATAATTGTAATGAATATACTTCATATCAGTGACCAGACAAATGTTCTTAGTGACTTCACTTATTATTTAAGCCATTTATTGGTTATTTACTATGGATAGATATTATACGAGGTACTCTACCTACACACCTCATTTCATCCTTGCAGCAATTCCATGAAGTATCATTATTCTCATTTTACAGATGAAGAAAATAAAACCCAGCATAATTCATCCAAGATCTATGGCTAATATATATGAGAGCCAGTGTTTCGGAGGAGATCCATATGATTCCCTGCTCTCTTCATTCAGCTTTATTCTCAGATAACATTTGGGTCCATGGCAGTGCCTGAAAGCATTCTTACAGTATGATTTTCATAATTATGTTTGAAGAATGTTAAAGATGTCTGAGGAATGTATTTTTCTATTGCCTATCCTAATATTTTATCCTATACTGCTAATCTCTTTAAGCCTGAGTACATGAAACTCAGTACATAGAGAAGAATCTCTAAAACAACTAAACAAGTTCATAAAACTAAAAATGCTTCATGAAAAATAAGGAATTAAAAAATCCCTAGGTGCCAAGGAGTACAGTGGCAGCCAAAATTTACTTTCATACCACCTATCTGAATTTCTGTAATTTTCAATTTTAAAAAATCCATGGAAACCATACAAATTCTTAAATATTAAATTGACCCTTTATATTAACATGCATATGATTTTCCAAATTCACCTAAATGTGAAGAGTTTCCAGCTGGTATGTCAACAGACCCACATCTGGTTGTATTGTACAATATGAGTCTGATATCCTTTCTATTCCTTACTAATGTTCCACCCTGAACACAATGATCTGTATGCAGGCCGTGTGTCAACCGTGCGTCACCACAGTGCTATAGGAATATGACTGTGGCACCCAAAGTCTGTTATTATGGAGAAGTATTGACATTTAATGTATTCAATTTATAGTATTTCAAAGTCAGTTGCAAAACCTACCTATGCTGAAATATGTAAAAGAGTTCGTGGGGGAAATAGGAGTAGGAAATGTCCAAGTGGATTTAGTCATTTCTTTCACATATTCATAGACACACCATTTTATTGCACCTCTTTAATATCATTATGTCCAGATCTCCCAATCATGCTTCTAGTAGTTCAAGTAAATTTTTTTTTGTGATTTGATAGTCCTCATGGTGGAGGCTTCTAGAAGCTTGTCTCTCAATAAAATAGAAATTGACATTTAGGCAAAGAAGATCAAGAACTTGCCTATAAATATCCATACAATTATAAAGTTAATGTAACTAAGGCCCAGCGACTTTGAGGTAATGAATCAATGTTTAGTTGAAGAACTACAGCAAAAAAAAATCTGTTCTACCATAAACTGACTGTATGACCATGGGGCAACCATTACTTACTCAAAGTCTACTGTTTCTAAACGATTATATGAAGAACAAAAATGTGTATGTTCCTTAAGGTTTGATTGGGTTCTAAAATTGTGTAATATATTTTTCTTGACAAGATGAAAAACTAGCATGGCTTACTGATTCCTTCCCCAAAATCAACTTTGGAGAAATCATAGAGTCTAAAAGGAAATATAAATTCAGGGAACTAGAAAGAGAAAGGGTGACAGAGACTGATAAACACCAGTGGAGGAAAAAAATGGTTCTTGAACAGTTTTGTAGAGAGTGAAGAAAGAAGATGGTTTAGTAGTTGCAACTTTGAAGATAAGGCCATCAGAGGAGTTGAAGAATAGATTAGAGAAAAGTAATTGAAGTTCTCTTCCTGTTTCTCCCTTGCATTACTTTGAGACAATTACTACCTAAAACATCACCACAGGCATTACTAGCAATAACTCTAAATGCTGGTTAGAGGTTTACACAGAGGTCTAATTAAGGCAAACAAAAGTTCTGAGGGGAAAAAGGGAAGTCCTACCAGCTGCCAGTCAGGTAATTGCTCATCAATTCTCATCACTTCAAACCCTAAGAACTGAAGAATAACAAACTAAGAAGATATCGTGCCCCAAGTGCTGCCTCTATCTTAGGGTTTAAAGGCAAAACCCTGAAAAGAAGAATTACTTGGCAGAGTGGAAGAAAATGGGAGCCACCAACAGTATTTTTGAAGGTTTGGAACTGTCTGTTGTAGAGCAAATAACCTCACTCTCCTTAAAGTCATGAGGACTCATACTAGATGGGGGCCAGGTCTTTGACTCTTTCATAATTCACATTACCAGAAGGAATAGCAGACATACCCGAAGAAAAATAACTACACAATTGAGGAGGACACCACTGTAAAAGGAAAACAACTCTGAAAATTTTGAAATTTGAAAAATTCACCATGAAGTAGAATTATTAGAAGAGACAGATCAGGAATTGAAATAAAAATAATGAATATATGTAAGAAGATACGGAAAGATGTTAATATATAAAAAGATTGAGATTACTAAAAATCAAGAATTATTGGGTATGGTTATATTCTGGCTATGTTCCCACCCAAATATCAGCTTGAATCATAGCTCCCATAATTCTCACATGTTGTGGGAGGGACTCAGTGGGAGATAACTGAATCATGGTAGTTCTCCCCCATACTGTTCTCATGGTAGTGAATAAGTCTGATGAGATCTGATGGTTTTATAAGGTGTTTCCCCTTTCACTTGGCTCTCATTCTCTCTTGCCTCCTGCCACGTAAAATGTGCCTTTCACCTTCCACCATGATGGTGAGGCCTCCCCATCTACGTGGACTGTGAGTCCATTAAACCTCTTTTTCTTTATAAATTACCCATTCTTGGGTATGTCTTTATCAGCAGTGTGAAAATGAACTAATACAGGTATAAAAATAATAGTTGGATGAAGAGAACATTATAGATGAAAGCAAATGGTATGATAGATACAGCTAAAGAAATTAGCTGGATGATTATATAGAGAAACTTCCCTAGAAGCAGCAGAAGGAGAATATCAAGGCAAAGGTAAGTCCTGGTAGATTCCATTGGTAAAAAAATAAAAAACAGAAAAGCCCTTTTAACATGCACACAGTTTGTTAGCTTATAAACACAATGAAAGCAGGAATGCAAGAATAGTCATATTCCCAGCTCCCTGAATTATTTATCCCATAGGATGCTACCAAATCAATAGGGCTGTATGACTGCAACACTAATGATCGGACACACTCTTGCCAAGGAGCCAATGCCATGCCACAACTAATCAGTCTGACAGAACTGTATATATTTTAGGATGGGTGAGGCAGATATTCTCACACCTTATCAGAACCAGAAAGGTGAGGAGAAACTGTCTCATGACAGCCTTCTTGGTAGATAGAGAGTTGAATAAAAAAAGGTCCTGTCAATAGTTCTTCACAAGTCTCTCTTTTTCTCATGTTCCAGGAGGATTATAAAACATTCTGACAGGACTCAGATCAGCTGTGGTTTCCTACGTGGCCTATGTAGATATGTGCACGGTTGTTAAGGGTACCATGGTGGAATCATTTCCCTAGAGAGAAATAGCATATATAAAAGAAAACAAAGCCAAGAAACATGCATGATAGAAATGGAAATGCAATTTTGGATAATAAGAGATTAAAAGACAAGGGTGAAGAGGAATTGAAAAATTAAGTAATAGAGATAAATTTTACAGAATTAAAAAATGATAAAGTAACTCAGATATATTGGGATATAATAATATGCCAATAATGAAAGAAAATGGAAAAACCACTGTGAACACGAGGATAAGAATATTAAGAATATCAAAGACAAATGGAAGATTGTAAAAAAATCTCTGAAGAGAATAAAATAATCAACAATCAAAAAGTTAGGTTTACATTTGACTTTTCAATAAAAAAGTGAAGGTACTAAGATGACAAAGTACTTTTTAAAAGCATTAAAGGCGAACAATATTTAAGTTAGAATTTTATATCAAGGGGGATGGTTAATTTTATGTGTCAATTTGGCCATGAGGTGCCAGATTAAACATTATTTCTGTAGGGTGTTTGCAGATGAGATAAACATTTTAACATGTGGATTCAGTAAAATGCTCTGCCCGTTGTGGGTAGGCCTAATTATATCCATTGAAGGTCTGAACAGAACAAAAGATGGAGGAAATAATTCATCACTTCGTTCCTGCCTCACTACTTGAACTGGGGTATCCCATATCATTTTCTCCTGCTCTCAGATCTGGATTTACACTGCTGACTCCCCTGGTTCTCAGGCCTTCAGACTCAGACTGAACTATGCCACTGGCTTTCCTGCATTTACCAAACAGCAGATTATGGGACTTTTCAGCCCCACAATTGTATGAGCCAATTCCTTATAAGATAGGTGATAGGTAGGTAGGTAGGTAGGTAAACAGACAGACAGACAGACAAAGACAAAGACAAAGACAGACTACTGGCTCTGTTTCTCTGGAGAACCCTGACTAATATATCAAGCCATTTTGACAGTCTAATATAAGGGAATAATGATATCCTTAGAAATTTCTGTCTCTAGATAGGATGGACCAGTTTTTGGCAAGCTAATTCTTCTGTTACAGCAAAGAGAAAAAAGCCAGAAAATTTACCAAAATTATATTTTAAAGATATTGACAGTTACAGAAACAAAGACTAGACATAGTAAAACTTCATAAAGGGTAGAGCTGTGTTCTGAAGTAAGCTAGTGTTTGCCAGCTGTATTTTTCCTTGAAAGCATTTGATATACTGGACTAAGGCACATTTCTCTTTTCTCCACCTTTCCTTTTCTATTCAGGCCTTTAATGGATTGGCTGATGCCCACCCATATTGGGTGAGAAACAATGTACTGAGGCAGAACTCTTCTGTTGGGGCACAATAAAAATAAGCAAAAAATTCACTTGAAGATAGAGTGACAAATTAGGAAACTGAGGGGCCTCAAATACACAACCAGCACACACACGCGCACACACACACACACACACAACATTTGCTAATTTACAGTGCTACATGTGAAACTGGAAATCTATGCCAAAAATTTCTAAAAGCTTGATTAAGATCTTACAGTGTTTGGGAAGCAAAACTCTCTGGCTAGACAGGCCCTGCCTCAGACACTTGACCATTAACCTCTTCAGCACACATGGCCAATTTTGAAGCTACATGAGGCAGAAGATTAAAGAAATAAGCTGAAAACCCCATATGTGAAAAAATGAATCATCCACAATCTTTCAGAGATGCAGAGTCTCTGTCTCTTCACTTAACAGGTTCTTGGTAGCCGATGAAAGTCACAATTTAGGAATGAATATAATCCAAAGACAGATTGAGTCTAATTAAAATTCTATTTCAACCCTAGGGCATCTCAATCTCTGATTTTCACCCCTTTGATCTATTAAGTATCAAAAAAGAGAAAAATTATCTGGTAGGAGATACAATGACCATGATTTCCTACAGCTCTTTGATAGAAAATAGTCATTGTACAAAAAAATCACACTTGTGTAGAGAGTCATAGGATTGATAATTAAGAGACAAAATAAATATTAAAGATAAACTACAATAATCCATATACTCAGGTAGACTTGAGTTGCACTTGAAGAATAACTGAACTACAAATGAAGAAGAGGAAAAGCAAATTCTTTCATACAGTAACTGCAGTCAGCATAGAATTTGAAGACTTACTGAATGTGGAAGCAGAGAAATTGGATAGGGTCAAATTATTGAAAAATGTTAAACTTGAGTGATAAGAAAAATAATAATATAATTTGACCAAATCAAATAATCTTAGTACAGGAACTAGGAGTAAAATATGATTTCACTTTGAGACATATTTAATTTTAAGTGATGGCAATTAATATATTTAGAAGACTGAAGTAAGATGCTAATGGAATACAAGGATAAGGGCAGGGCTGAAGTGATCAATTTGTGACATTGTAAGTCACATCCTTCTTTCTGAAAGTGACTAATTCAAATCAACTACTTTAGAAATTCATGTTCTCCTGGAAGCAATATTTCTTGCTATTTTAAACTTATTCAAAACGTCAAATAAGTCTGAAAAAATGCATTTTAGTTGGTCCCTTCTTGCAATCCAATTCAACAATTTCTTTGCAGAATAGGAGAAAGAAAGCTTATTTAAAAATAACTGATATTCTGAAATTTAGATTTTGGAATGAGTCACTAATGTATGAGTCACTATGGATGATTAAATATAGATTAGAATTAGTGGTTATTCATTCTGTAGAGGATGAATATCAAATGTACCCTTATTCAAAAGAAACTAAAGTTTTAGGCAAAATGAATATTTAAATACTTCTGGATATTGACGACCCTATCACTTAGCCAAGAAGAAATAAAAAATATACTATTTTGATTCCACTTATGCTGTTTTTCAGGTGCTTAAAATTAATGACTCTAAAAAGTTTTTTAAATAAATTTTTTTATTCTATGTGAAATGAAATCTATTGATACCCAATTTAGACAGCAAGATGTAATCATCTAGGTAGCTTTATTTTTTATGATGCTTTTATCTAGGTAATATTGAGAGAAATTACCTTTGAAATTTTCATGGAATACATTTATAGCAATAATAAAGAAAAAATAACAGTATTATGTTGATATTTTAAAGAAACATGTAAAAGTATTATGTGTAATAAAATAGAACATTTTCTACTACTGGTGTTCACATTGTATGAAAAATATATACATAGAAATTTTTCACATAAGTCCTAAGTAGTATTTAATAACTTTGGATAACCTAAAATTTAGCTCATGCAGAATATAACAAATTAATATGTATAAAACCAATACAACATTTTCTTTATTCTCATTTTCCTTCAAGGAAATGAATATCGCTTTACTCATTATCTTTCCCTTGAGGATCTTACTAATCATAACAGTGGTTGGTCCAATGAAAACTCATAGTCACTGGGACTGAAATGGATGAAGACAGTCTACACTTGCACGGGGACATTTCTACATTTTGTTCTTTGGCTTTGAAAATAAAGGATTTTATCAAGCAGGATAATGTTACACTAGCAGCAGCAGAAAACTTCATAAATAGTGACTTATACGTTAGTAGTTTATTTTGGCTCATATGAAAACAAAAAGTTAGGAGGTCAATACTACAGAGTGATATAGCTGCACAAGGACATTTATCTTCCTGACCTGCCAGTCTTAACTTTTAATGGTCACTTGATGGCTGCTTCATTACTAGGCACCACATTACTGTTTCAGACTTGAATAAAGGGAAAAAAACAAGATCAGTGGGTAGAGGACAGAAATCTTTCTCTGGTCTTGGGAAATAATTAGCCATAGACTGAGCACTCCTCTGGTCCAAAACAAAAACAAAAACCCATTCAAAGCAGGATCCAAAAGATCAAACTGCTTCCAAAAAATACGAATAACTGCTTCCAAATAACTGCATCTCAGGATGAAGCTCAAGAATACTTAAGGGAATACAAAAATATCCAGCCTTCAACAGGTCATATTCAAAATGTTTAGCATCCAATCAAAACCTACCAAGCATTCAAAAAAGCAGGAAAATACTACTCATAACAAGAGGAAAAGTCAGTCAACTGAAACTGACCTAGAACTCACATGGTTTTTATTATTAGGAAACAAGAACATTAAACATTATTAAAACCATGTGCCCATAAAATATATTAACAAAAAAGACCCAAATCAAACTTCTAAAGATGAATATTACAATGTGTGAGATAACATACACTTAATGAGATTAATGGCAGATTAAACATTAGAGAAAAAATATTAATGAATTTGAAAATAGCAATAGGAGCTATTCTAAATAAAGAACAGACAGAATTTAAAATATGTGAGGAGGAACACAGAGCTGTGAGACAATTATAAGAAGCTTTATAGGCATGTAACGCGTCCCTAAAAGGAGAGAAGTTGCAGAGACATGCAGAAAAAAAATTTTGAGGAAATAATGTCTGTTTTTTTCCAAATTTAATAAAAACAATAAACCCACAAATCCAAGAAGCTCAACAAAATTCAACCACAAGAAAAGTACAGCAAGGCATCTTATGATCAAAATCAGCTTAAAAGAGAAAATCTTAAAAGCAACCAGAGAGGTTACATACAGCAGTACAAAGGTAAAGATGACAGCAGATTTCTTAACAGAAAAAATATAAGTGATAAGACAGCAGAGGACCATCTTTACAGTACTGAAAGAAAAAAATGATAACCTAGAATTCTAAACCAAGCAAAAACATGTTTTTAAAATGAGGGTAACATAAATACTTTTTCAATCATACAAATTCTGAAAGAATCCAACAAGTAGATAGAAAGAAAATTATAACAGATAGAGGAATAGAACTGAGGAAAGAAGTGAAGAGCACTGAAGATATAATTATACAGGTAAATATAGAAAATATTTTTCACATTGTTTAAATATATTTAAAATATAACTATATAAACAAAAATAAAAAGAATGCCATGTGGAGGTGTAAAGTATGACAATCACAAAAAAGGTTGTAGTGGAGGAATAGAAATATACTATTATAAGATTCTTATACTGTACATGAAATTGTATAGTATAGTATCACTTGAAGGTATGCTGTGATAACTTAAAAGATATATAATTAGGTTGGGCATGGTGGCGCACACCTGTAATACCAGCATGTTGGTGAAATAATTGCATGAGGCCAGGGGTTCAAGAATGGCCTGGGTGACATAGTGAGATCCTGTCTCTATAAAAATTTTTTTTTTAAATATCAAGGAATGAATGCATGCACTGTAATCCTAGCTACTGAGAGGGCTGAGGTGGGAGGATCCCTGGAGCCCAGGAATTTGAGATTATAGTGAGCTATGATTGTGCCACTGCACTCCAGTTTGGGTGACAAAGCAAGACTCTAAAAAATAAATAAATAAATACTTTAAACCATGAAGTAGCAACTAAAACATTATTGCCATAATAAACCAGTAAAAGACATAAAATATTCAAATGATCCAAAAGAAGGCAGAAAAAGAAAAAAAGAAAAAAAAATAGAAAACAAGATGTAAGATAATAGACAAATTGTTCCATATATGCAACAACATCAAATGGAAATGATTTAAATACTTCCATCAAGAGGCAAAGATTGTCAGATCAGATTGATGAAAAAGTAAGACCCAACTACTACATGCTGCTGTATCAGTCAGGGTTCAACTATACGCAGTGGGAATATGATATATTCATATGCACAAAATATACATATATTAATACGTATATATAATTATTTAAACCCTCTCTATATATCTATGTACACATACAAACCCACACATATGCACATACACATATATATCTACATACACAAATAGCAAGAGAAAAAGAGAGAGAGAGATCTTTAATAATTACTTTACACAGTTGTAGGGGCTGGCTAAGCAAATCCAAAATCTATAGGGCAGGCATTTAGGAAAGCAACAGCACAATCAATATGAAACTCCATGGGCAAAAACCAAAACTAATGATCACAGGCAGAATTTATTTTTCTAGGGGAAGCCTCATTACTGCTTTTAAGGCCTTTCAAGCCTGAATCAAGCCTACTCAGATAATTGAGAATTACCTTCCTTAAAGTAAACTGCTTAGGAACTTTAATTACATTTGCAAAATCTCTCCACAGCAACACTCCTTAGAGTTTGATTGACTTGGAACTCTAGTCACGTTGACAATTTGTGGGATAGAGCTAAATCATTACTTATGGAGAAATTTATAAGAAGACCTCAAGTCAATTATCTCAGTTTCTAGTTTAAGAAACCAGAAAAACAAGAACAAATTAGTAAATAAATAGAAGAAAGGAAATGATAAAGATCAGAGTAGAAATCAATGAATGGAAGATAGGAAAACAATTGAGAAAAATCAATGAAACCAAAGGTGGATAGATTTAAAAGATTAGTAAGTAATAAATCAATCCAGTAATATTGATCAGGAAAAAGAGAAGACACAAGTTAATATCAGGAATAAATGATGATATCACCACAGGTTCTGTGGATGTTAGAATAATAATAAAGAAAAAGTATGCCAAACTATGCCAATTAATTTGACAATTTAGGCAAAATAGATATTTATTGAAAGAAGCAAAGTAGCAAAGCTAAGGCAAAAAGAGATGACTAGAATACTTATCTATTAAAGAAATTAAATTTGTAGTGTGAGGCCTCTCCCAAAAGAAAACACAAAAAGCAGATAGTTTCACTCATAAAGTCTACTTAACAGTTAAGGAAAAAAATAATACCTATCTACACAAACTCTTTCAAATAGACCCAAACAAAAGATTGAAATGGGAGAATAATTCTCAATTTATTCTACAAAGCCAGAGTACCCTAATACCAAAACCAGACACAAATATTACGGAAAAAGAAAACTACAGGTAACAAGCACTCACAAACCTAAATTTAAAACATTTATATAAGATTTTAAAAATTGAATTTATCAATACATAAAAAGGACAATGCATCATATCCAAATGCAGTTTATCCCAGAAAGGTGGGGTTGCCTTAACATTCAAAGTCACCAGATTTACAAAACAAACAAAAAACCCAACATCTATGTCAAATAAGAAGTCTCAGTAATATAAGAATAAAAGGAAACTTCCTCAACTTAACATAAGGTATCTACTAAAAACTTTCAGCTAAACAAACCTAATAGCAAAAACCAGAATGCCTTCCCCTGAAACCAAGAATAAGACAAGGAAGTCTGCTGTCATCACCTCTTTTCAATATTTTTCGTCCATGGAAAAGAGTGGTAAAAATAAATAAGACATCCAAATTTGAAAAGAAGAAGAAAAGGTACTTTTATTCACAATTGACATGAATTTTTCCATAAAAAACCAAATGTAATATACAAAAGAGCTACTAAAAATAATTTAATTTTAAAAAGATTTCAGAATGCAAGATCAATATAAAAAAATCAATTGCATATACAAGCAGTGTGCAATAGAAATTAAAATTAAAAGCAATGTTATTTATAATAGCAAAAAATACTTAACATAAATATTATAGAAGACATGAAAGAGTCGAATACTAAAAATTATTAAACGTAACTAAGAGAAATTAAAGTAAATGAAGATAAATGCTATGTTTGTAGTTTGAAAGACAATACCATTAAGATATCAACTTTTCTCAAGTCGATCGATTAGTTCTCAACAAATATAATCAAAATAAAAATCTTATTTCTAGAAATTGACCAAATTATTATAAAAGCCATAAAATATAATTTATGATATACAGAAGACTAAATTTGGCAAAAGAAATATGAAAACAAGAACAAAATTGAAAGACCAATACTACATGTTTTTATTACAAAGCCGTAATAATTAAGATAGTGTGTTATTAACAGGAATATAAACAAATCAGTGGTACATGATAGAGAGTGGAGAAACAGACCCAAATGTATATGGAAAACTAATTTTTTGCAAATGTACAAAGGCAATTAGTGGTGAATGAAGAGTCTTTTAATTAACTAGTACTAGCATAATTGATAGATACCCATTTGCAAAATAAAGAACCCCAATTATCAAATACAAAAGTAACTCACATACTTCTAAATGCAAAATCTAAAACCAAAAGTTTCTAGGAGAAAACATTTGCAATATTGGGTTATGTGAATATTCCTTAAATAAAAACCAATAAAAACATAATCCATATGAGAACAAGTTGATAAATTGGAATTCATCAAAACTTAAAAATACTGGCTTTCAACAGATACTATTAAGATATTGAAAAAAGTCATACGCTTGGAGAAAATATTTGCACAAGACATTTTAAAAAAAGATAAACAACATGTATCCAGAATATATAAAAAACTGATTCAGTAGTAAGAAAGTAATTCAATTTAAAAATTATGTTGTAAAAAGAAAAAAATAACACTTCACAAAAGACAATATATGGATATAAAATAAGCACCATGAAATGGTGCTCAACCTCATTAGAAACTAGGTACATGTAAATTAAAACCATATTGTGATATCGTTGTATACATATTAGAATGGCAACATTCTAATTAAAAAGACAGTTCACACCAAGTGTTGGCAAGAATTAGAAGACATAATATTCTTATATAGTGCTTGTGGGGATGTACAATAGTATAACCACTTTGGAAAAGGGCTTGTAACTTGTAAAAAGGAAGTAATTTTTTAGCTTCCTAAAAAGTTAAATACATACCCGCATATGATCCACCCATTCAATTCTAAGACAATTGAAAGTATATGTTCACACAAATACTTGTACATGAATGCTCATAATAGCTTTGTTTATAATAGCCCCAGTCTGGAAATAACCCAAATGCCCATCAAAAGGTAAATGGAAAAACACACTGGACTCATACAGTGGAATACCATTCAGCAATTAAAAGAAAGTATTAATACAACAACATGGATGAATCTCAAAACAGTTATTCTGAGTGAAAGAAACCAGATGAAAATAGTATGCACCATATGAGTTTATTTATATAAAATCTTGGAAAATACAAATTAATCAACACAGATAGAAAGTATGTCAGTGATTGCCTGGAGTCGGGGCAGGAATGCATAGGCAGGAGAGATTGCTAAGGATCAGCAAGAAACTTCTGGGGGTAATTAATGTGTTCCTTATTTGGTTATGGTGACAGTTTTGTGGTGTACCACATACATTGTAACCTACTTAACTGTATACTTTATATATTTGCAGTTTATTGTATTTCACTTAAAAAAAAGAAAAAGAAAGAAAGAACTCAATTGACACCATCAGTGGAAGCAAAGAAAAATAATTTAATAGTAGGTAGGATGTACTTAAGCTCCCTAGTATGTGCACCTAAGGTTGAAACACCTAAAATAAAGATACCATATCCCAGTTAGTACATGGATAACAGAAGGAACTGAGCATTTCTTGATTCAACCATACCGTAGGCCGGATAAACCAAAAATAACATTGAAGACACAAAGGTATCCATTTTTCTTCCCAAAGCTAATCCATCTACTTATGCTGTGCTTTCTTTCCCCTTTGTCTTCAGCAAACTTGCTCTACCAATTAATTACCCCTTGCTGTTGTGCATCTTCACATATTTGGCTATTTTGTTGTCATATGTTTAATACATACCTTACAGAATAAAACCAAAGATAAAAAAATAACAATACATAAAGTTCCCCTTATCCTTTGTCTTCTCCTGGCAATCACACTCTCCTTTGGTCGCAACTACTGGAAAGAGATATTTACAATCACTTCCTTTATTTGTTCCGCTTCCATTTCTTTACCCATTTATGTTAATCAGGCTTTTGCTCCCACCCCACATTCTACTGACATGACTGAGGCTCAGGCCAAAAATGCCTGGTTTGTTATGAAAGTCATTGAGAAGTATTCGTCTCTCTTGACCTCTCTACAGTATTTAACTCTATCAACCACATCTCTTCTAAAAAATTTTCTCCTTTCTAAACTCTTAATGCTCACTTAGTTTTTGTCCAAAGTAAGTGGTTGTGACTCCTCAGTGTCCTTTTAGAGCCCATCTTCAGCTTTGTCGTAGAACACCCCCAAATGTCTTCCCATTCTGTTTTTTAAACTTCACTATGACCCATATGTTGATATACCCATTCCAGATCATTTATCTTGCTGGTACTTAAAAGCTCAAATAAAACTCTTCGTTTTCCTTTCCTAACCTTGACTTTCCCTGGTTCAGTACATAGCAATACCAACTGCCCAGTTGCTCAAGCCAGAGAAAGCTGGGTGCTTTCTTCTCCCACTACTTATCATATTTAGTCAGTCATCTAACTGTTACTCAAGCAATAACTTTAATGTCTCTTGAAATTATTCCTTCTTTCTCTCACTGCCACTATCTTTGTTTAGCTCCCTCATTATCTCTCCTTCAGAAATCTGGTGGCCCTGCTTCTACTCTTGCTCTATTCTAATCCCTTCATTGTCACACATCTTTCAGAGTAATCTTTAAAAAATTAATTCTAAGTCTGCCCTTCACTCTCCCTGTTTAAAAGCCTCATTACCCATAGAAAATGTTCAAGTTCTTTAATTCCCTGGCTTTTGCTTACCTCTCTAGGCCCATGCACAAGTCTTCATACACTGATTCCCTTTACTCCAAGCATACTGACTGCTTTGTAAGTTCCTCAAACGTCCCTAGCAGTGTATTTTAATATTAGAATTAGATGGTCACGTTACAAATCCAAAGTAGAGTAGATGCCTTTTTCTGTATCTGCCTAGTTGGTGAGACCCTCCCCATGAGTATCTGTAGTGATATGACTTTGTCACACCAGCCAAAACTGGTTGGACCAGGAATAGGCACCTCACTTCAAATGAAGCAACCATATTTTTTTCTTCTGGGTATTTGGATCTGTGATACTTTTAACTGTTTCTTATGTCACTTGTACCATGGACACATAATTTCAGAAACTGGGGGAAATGTTTTCAGCAATATGCCTAACAAAGCAGTGAAAGTGGACTGAGGACGAGGATGGGATATACTGCAGAAAGGAGACATGAGATAGAAAGTTAGAGAAAGGAAAGAGAGGCAAAGCTCCGGTAACTCCAAATACAGAAAAATAAAGCGACAGATGATAGCTACAAGCTTAGGTTTCCAGTGGCTTTCAAGTTTCTATCTTTGTCCAAATCTTCTTTGACTCCCTGAGTCACCCCACCATGCCTCCAATTAATTTATTTTCCACCAAAATTATTTCTACAATGTATAACTAAATGAGACTTGACTATTAAAAGTAAATAAAAATAATAAAAAGTAAAACCTATATGAAGTAGAATGCTTTCATTTGTTTAAAGTTGCAATATTTTCATTTAATAGTAACATCAGGTATATAATATACACTGCCCTAAGTTTTAACAAGTTTGAGTAATTTGCAATTGTATAGAACAGTCAAAATAAAAAGACCCTCTTCAAAGTAAATAAAGAAAATCTGGCATATGATTTTATCATGAATAAAGACACCTCTAAATAGAAGAGAGACAATAAAGGGAAGGAAATGAGAATATGCACAAAGAGAATATTTCACACTGAATAACAAAAATAGTTAAACTTTCATGAAATCATATGATGCCCAAATTAGAGACTTGTTTAATGCCCAAGCTTTTCCAGGAAAAAGCTTCTGACCTACATTTATATGGTTCCAGATGATAGATTCACAAACATGATACCACTCCCATCACAACTGAGTGTTCCAGAATCAATCAAACAAAAACAAGGACATTCACAGTATTTCTTTCATACTCACCTGAACAACAGAAAAATGAATAACTGAACCAATTGAAGGCAAAAGTTATTTTCCCTGTGAATTTGAAGCTATATCTGTGAGATTTAAATCAGTCTATACCATTATGGCTGGACATATGTAAATACAGAAACATTGGGAGCCTTTTCCAAATAAATATTTCAGGGGTGGGGAGTGAGGAGAAAGTCAGTCTGCAAGGAGAAAGAAAGCAATGAAATAGATATTTACAGAAAGGCATAAATCAGAGAAATCAATGAAACTCCTACCAGAAGCAAAAATACACAACTCTTCTCTGTATTCCATGAGATTCTCCAATGATCTTATTATAAATTCCCCAGTTTTTAAAGGCAGTTGCAAGTGAGTTGCTGTTTCTCAAAACTAGGGTATATGAATATATATAATATAATAATACCTTACATATAATAGATGTTTAATCAATATTTGTGGAAATAGAAATCTTTTTAAAACAAAAAATTTAAATAAAGCTTATTTGCATGACCCCTATTACACAAGAATCATATACCAGAGAAGAGAGGGACTTTACAGACATATGGATTAGTCCTTAAATAAAAAATATATAATAAAACTAACAAATTTAAGCACTTCCTTTTCATTGCTTTATTCCACAGAAGAAGAAGAAGAAAGAGGATGTATACTTTAAGATAAAATAAGCATTCAACAAAAAAGTCAACTAAAATTCAAACTACTATTACCTTTGTCTGAAATCCTAGCAAAATTCATTTTATATGTGTAAATTCATTAACTATACACATTTAACACCTTCTCAAGAAATGAAATGTTTTAGCTTGGGATTGAAAGGAGCTACTGACAAAATTGGCTTTTGAAGGCTAAGAAATAAAATTTTACCAATAGAAATTGCTTTTTCCATGCTGCAGTGAGCATCTCACTTAATTTCAACTCATCTGGCTTGGTGTTTAGAATAGGAGAAAAAAGAAACAGAATCTTTTTGTTCTAAATTATTCTCTAAGGATATATATCCTAAATTATCCTTAAAGTATTCCTTTAGATGTGAAATTTTTTAAAGAAAACTTATTTTCAAATGAATGCCTTTGTACTGTAACTAGATTTTTAGAACAAGAAGTAAAATAATCTGATCTTGAATTCACTGTCTGACACAAAATAACGTCATCCATATTTGTATCTAATATCATCTAGAGCATACAGTAGAAGTGAAAACAGGGTTCCAATACAGGGATCCCAGTGATTCCCACACATCCTAGTATCTGCACCTCACATTGCACCAGCATTGATCTTTGTAACCAATAGAATATGACAGAAGTGATGAATGTTACTTCCAAGATTATATAATAACAATCACGGTACCTTTTGTTTGGGGTGCATCCTCTTTCGTTTCAATCATTTCATCTGGGAAAGGGCAACTGTGATGTCACGAGCAGCTCCACATAATGAGAAACTGGTGTCTCTTATGAATAGCTACTCAGTTGCATGAGTGAGCTTGGAACTGGATCCTCTAGCCCAGTAAACCATTCAGATTACTGCAGCCCTAGCTAATATCTTGACTACAACCCTATGAGAGATCTTAAGCCAGAACCACATAGCCAGGCTTCGACTGGATTCTTCACCCTCAGAAACTGTAGGAGATACTAAACGGTTGTTGTTTAAGCTGCTATGGTTGGTGGTAATTTTTTTATGAAGCAATAGGTAACTAAAATAGTAGATGACTAATAAATATTTGCTGATAAAATAAATAAATATTTTAGAAGTCTAATTCTCCATGCTTGATTAATTTTTTAAAAATCCAAATAATGCTAGAGCCACTAAAATCCCTAATTCAGGCTTACACATTTTCAGATAAGACAGAAAAACTAAAGTATGCTAGTACTTCTATTTTAATTCAAATCAATCATTTTCTAAAATATTATATTTCTTCTTTTCTTATATCTATAAAGGTACTTTTACTTTTTACAGGTTATCAGCATTTGAATCACCACCTGCTTCACATCAGAATTTGTATTCTAATAAAGAGAGAATAATTTCTGAATGCAAATTTCAACACTTGTTTGCATTTCTGGTTGCAAAAAAAACTTCCAAATAAATAAAAAAGTGGGCAGAGATTACATAAGCTAAAGACCAAATTTAGAACACTTTCCCCATTGTCAGCATGTTCCAACTTAAAAATAAGCATTTCTTTATATTTAACCAATTATTTTCTTGGAAATTTGGAATCTGTTTATTGAAACACATATAAGTTTACTTATCCCAAAAGTAACACCGTATGCTATTTATAAGGTGCATTGACTCTTCCTTAAAAACAAAGAAAAACCTAGACCTCAAAAACTTTCCTATTAATGTGGTATAGAAACTTTCAAGCAAGTCAAATAATTGTATTTTAAAACAGTTCTTCATTATAGCAATGCCACAAGACACAATCAATTTCTAAACTGTGATCCACTTCCAATTTAAAACATTTTTCTATTACATGCATACTTGGTAGCACTCTTTTTCAAAGCTTTGAGAAAAATTACAGAGAGAAAAGATAGAAAGCAAGCAAAGATTAATTGGATCCAACCTCAATGGCCTGATACTTTCTCAGTTGCTAAAATAAATCAACAAATACGCCAGGAAAGCTACTATCTCATCTTAAAAGCATCAGCCATAGAGCGTATTGGGATTTATGCATATTAAAGTAGCAGGCTACAAATGCCAGTAGATAGCACACTGTTATTTAAGAGGAACAAAAAGCAGCACCACTAACCACTATACAATACAAATTAAATGGAAAATCACAGCTATTTAAAGGGCTTGCCTAAAAGTATAATAAATTTAACTTTAGTAGAATTGTAATCCTTGATTTTTCACTAGAGTTAATATATTCATGCAAAGCCATTACTTTAATAACATATAAGTGTAGAATTCACTCACCAGCAGTGACAAATGTGCTTATTTGTAGCCTAATTTTTTTTCTCATGGTAAAATCCATCCATTACAATGCCTCTAGGCATGTGTAAATAAAATTAAAGAAAGGCCTATATTTTCCCAAAAGACAAAAATTAAAATGAAGGCTAGATTGGATACCAAACTCATTTCAAAGTCAGATCAATTTAATTGCAATGTGGAATTTGATCTCTTCAATTCACTTCAGCATATCTAAAATGGCCACAACTTCCCAGAGGGATTGGGAAGTGGGAATTACATAGCCTGTAAAACACAACCCAAAAGCAGTTTAAATACTGAGGAAAAAAGAATGAAACTTTCAATTCAGTGCTTCAGATGAAAATAAGAAAACTTTGTCTTTGACATCTTTCTGCATATATTTGAGCATCTTCCTTTCTCATCAGAAAGAAGCATAGCTCTCAAGTTTCCTTTTGCCTCCTTAAATTCCACTTCAGATTCTTTACGTACTTCGGATTGCACATAAATTCTGAGTGATACTTCTTTTCTTCCCATAGGCTGACCTCCCAAAACTTTCACCTCTTTTGTTTTACAAGGTGTTAAGAAACACACACATATTATCAATTTTTATAAATATGTAAATTTGTCAAAGCCTTATTATCTCAAACTTTGAGAGGATTTACCATTCGAAGCAGGGTTCCTAAATTTACATTTCTTCCAAAAAATGTGCTGCTTAATGGGACCACAGGATCACCTGCAATCACTAGGTCTTTATTGTAACCTAAATATAGTGAAAATCCTTCCCAAAACATTCCATTTAAATCTAGGCTAAGATACTAATTTGGCCTTTTTTCTTTGCTAAAATTAATTAAAAGAGCTGTTAAAGACACAGAGTTGTGGCAAAATTGTATGTTCACAGAAGGCAGGAGAAGTATTCTTAAATGTCTGCCTTATGGCTTAGCATCATGAAAATTTGATCTCTGTCTTGAAGTTTATTTTTCATCTGTCTGGAGACAACACACAAAGAAACCTTGTATTAACTGCCTACTCATGATATGACATTTAGTTGTTATTACAACTTTGTAAGGTATGTATTATTATATTAATTTCATATAAAACGGAACTGTGGCTCAGAAAGATTAAGTAACCTACCTAAAGTCACATAATTAGTAAAGGACAAAACAGATTCATAGCACTTATTTCAGTCTAAATACTCTTTCCACTGCAGTATGTCTTCTTTGTGCCCATTAAAATATAGACTCAAATGGCTTTTAAATTACCAATTTAAATAAATCATCATAAGCCCATAATTGTATAATTCTGTTACATTAGAACAACATGACTCCTTAATGCACTAGAAACTGCCCTATGCATTCTATGATAGACTAGTTACCCGTCTTCAGTTGTTCAAAACATACTGTGACTCACCCTACTTCCCAGAGAAATAAGTGCTTTTGTAAATGATAAATTTACAAAGAACCCAGAGAGATTATTTAACAGTTACATAGCTTCAACTCTATAGAAATATAGCAATCTATCCATGTGTTCTTTTTCAATCTTTTGGTATAATGTATTTCTGAAAAATATGAATTATCATAAGTGTCCATTGTAAAATAGTACTATCTTAGTTAAATTGATTCATCTGCCTGTTAAATCTAATTTCTACTGAGTATTTGATGTTTCCTTTAATAGCATCAAGGACAATTTATGAAACATAAGAAAGTATTTAATATCAATGGTGCAAATCAAGTTTAAGCTCTGAATTTGGAAAATAATTCAACCAAAGTAGGAGAGAAAATTAAAGGTGAATTAGTATAAAGAAAGCCATAATAAGACAAAAATTTAGAGTAGCAATTGATGATCCAGAAATAGAGGTAATTTTATTTTAAAAACAAGTTTAGAGCAAAGAAAATTGAATCATAATCTATTGAGAAAGATGAATATATTATATAGAATATGGAATAACTAAATAAACCACCTTTTTAGCACTTAAATATTTAAAAATAAAAGTAATAGTCATCTCATCCACTGTAATAAAGTGGCAAACATATTACTGAGAAAAATAAATCACAACTACATATAGCATCTTGGCTTTTCATTACATTCTATGGAACATTAAATTTAAAAATTAGAAATAAAAAGTCATTATCAACAATATTTAATAAAAATTTTAAAATATATCATCTTTAATACAATCTCTATAAAAACATGCACTTTATTCATTTATATGAAATCTAAATGGAAACACAAATAAAATATATTTAAGTGATTGATAAAAGGCTATGATTATTTCCACATGTGGTTTCTACACTTTATAGGAATTTCAACTTTTATTGCTCAATTGGCTAGTCTGCATAGGTCCAAATTTGACATAATTTGTATTTCTAATTAATTTCTGGATCAGTGCCCATAATGGAGCAATGAAAGTGACAGTTTGGCCAATTTAGAACTGTGCAGGCTTGTATAGTTAATCATTAGAATCATAGCTTTTGGTTTCAGTTTAATTTTGTGGTTGAATATATACATTAAGCTTTTCGTAATTACCCTGAAATAAGAAGTGAGGGAGAGACTGGAAGGATTTTTGGCTCTCAAAAGTATTAAGTGAAATTATTTACAGATTGTCACTTTTAGTAAAGGTATTGTCACGTTTATTGACTGTCCAAAGGAGGATGTTGAAAGCAGTATCATGTCATGATGCTTCTATAGTCTGGATCAGAAGAAAAGGCAATAAAACTCAAGGATGGGCAAGTCAGGTAAGGGTTGTCTTTCATAAATGTTTTGACATGCCATCCTGAGTTTTATAATTTTGAAATTGATATTCTCCAAAAATTAAGCAAATGTAGCTCTTTTTATTCCTTTATGTTACATAAAATTTGGTGGTGTCCTTTACTCCTTTAAAAATCAAATACATAGTATCCATTTCTCTTTTATGGAGAGGGCAATATTTTGAAACAAGTGGTTAGCAATTCATTATTCAAGAATTCCAGGAGTTAATTTCTTAAAGATAGCAGACACAAGTATCTCTGAGCCCCACTAAGAACACATATCAAGTCCAGAATTCTTTTAACAACAGAGACTCAAGTTTCCCCTACAAAAATAGTGATCTGATTTTTTTTTCTTTCAACTTTTCTCTTGAGAAAGAATACCTGGGCTATAACTACTTGTATTCAAAGATAAAACCAGAAAAGAAAATGAAATAGAATACATGTCTACTCTGCACTTTTTAAAGAGTCATTTTTATTAGTTTTTAAACAAAAACCTGGAATGCAATCCTGTATTTTCTATAGCTTAATCAAAATAAATTCATGATATATACTTTGAATCCTTCTTTGAGGCCCTCTCTGAGTCAGAGTAGTTTATATAAAGAGAAATATGCTGGGTGTTGGCGTGGCGGGGCTGCCATTTAGATGTTCAACATCTAATCTTATTACAGCCCTTATACCATACCTATATGTGATCCTTGAAGAAATGTATGGGTTAAACAGGGGAATTAACCTTATTTAAGGAGTCCATTGGCCGCCACTGTGATTTCTAGTTGATAAGTTGTATATGGAGAAACACTGTTGGGAATAAGTACTAAGTGCTTCTAAAATAAAGCCTGCACTGAGACTAACCACTCTGCCCAAACTTACCTACTGCTTCTTTTTGTTCCTTATCTAGAATACATAGCATTTATCAGGTACAGTAGAAAAAAATTAAAAAGCCTCTTCTAAATTATTTTATACCACACTAAATTATATCATATTCAAACCAGTACATAGATAGGAGTCCTCAGAAATCTTTCCCAAATGCACTTTTGTATTTTTTTAAGTTAGCAGTTATTACCATCAAATGAATATTTTGAGAGTTATATCTTTGATGTGTACTCATGATTTACCTTAGTGCTATGAAAATCTGGATGATAGCTTTGTTCCCTGGATTCTCATTCTGTATAGTTGCCTAATTTCTGTTATATTTGCACTGCAAATTTCACCATCATGTAATGAAAAGGCATTATACAAATTCCCTCTAGAAATTAAATAGGAAAGCCATGCTTCCACAAACTTGGCATATTTCTTGCAATTGATGTCTACTAACACAGTGCATTTTAAGCCAATTACTCTAACAGTTCTCAAAGAATGTGTTTGAATATCATCACTCTGCATTATTCTCAAGAGCCAGTCTTTATGTACAGAGACTACATACACTCTTAAACAACAGATGACTTAGGTGGAAGACGAGCCTGTCATAAAGTGTCTGCCACCTGCTTTTGCCCATCATTATTCCCTTAATAGCTTACTACCTGTGGGCATATTGAGCCACCAAAGAGAAGCGTCATTCCCAAAAGTATCACCACAAACACAATACTTATGAGGCCGGCATAAGAAAGCCAGCTGAACAGCATTTCCCAGTACACTGCTGCAATATGTCATTTTTGAAAATGCCATGTTAGTGGATGTGACTTTGGGAATTGACTTAATAATAACAATAAAAATGGATGGCACTTAGCAAGGAAAGTGTCTTTCATCCCAAAGGGCCCACAAGTGCTTCAGACTCAGAAATGCGGTCAACTCTAAGAAGGGCAATGGCACTCAGCACAGTAACGAAAGCTCAGGAAATGTTCACCAAGGAGAGCTATATAAGCTTTCAACTAAAAGAGATATCATAAGCTTTTTATTTTCCACGTAGAGTGATATAACCTTGGATTTTCATCCTTTCAGAAGGGTGCCCAAATATCAAAAATAGGCTTTTGTGTCTCACTCTAGACAGAAACTATTGACTGGTAAGGAAGATTGACCCTGCAGCTCTGGAGCTCAGGCTTAGAAGGTATCAAAATGGATCCAAACCACCTTGGCATACTTTTTACTACCCAGGATCTCAATGGAGCCACCCTATTAGAGATGTACTGTTAAAATGTAAGCCAAGTGGGTTTCTACTTGAAAGAGAGGTAATGAAGGTTGAATTGCTGAGTAAATCTGACCCTCGCAGACCTTGTTTCACAGAAAAGGTTTCAATCATGCTGGCTAATGGCTTTCTGATCTTGCTGAATGAAACTTCCACAGTTGGGACTGGTGGACTTCTTAGGTTCATTTATTACATGCATGTATAATGCTGGTTATGAGAATATATTCTCTGATTCATACCAAGAAATATTTGTGCACAAGTGATTGTAAAGAGTATTTTTTTTCTTGAACCATGAATACTTTTTTTTCTCTTTAATATAAGCATGCTGTTAGAATTGATGTTTGGCCAATTTTATCTGAAATTACTGTGATTTAGTACAGACTCCCTTAGTACCAGAATGACTTTGCCATTTTCCCCTCTGGCTCTGTTGATAACCACAAACTACCCACATTTAGTAAATTCCTTTGTTAAGGCTTGACTTCTCCCAACTGATTTTAAGATATCAGGATTATTCCATTATTTCAGCAAAATAATAACTTATTTTTCTTCCCTGCCCAGTTCCTATCTCATAAAATTTTAAAAAGTCCATCCAATGCCTTTTCTCCCATGATAAATTTTCTTTATGAAAATTTGACTATTGGTAATAGAACGGGCATTTCAAATGGTTTGCCTCCTAGAGTAACACATATATGATGCCCATACAACGGTTATTTTTTTTTCTGTCTTCTGACACTTCACAGGAATTTTCCCTCTAAAATTGACAAAAGCTAACACATGGGAATAAAATCCCCATGACCCAGAAGCCTCAAGTTTTATGTGCTAGTATAGCTCCAAACTTAGCTGGTCCTGGATCTCATCCAAGACCTACTGAATGAATATCTCTGGAACAAGGGACCTTTATTTTCAACATTCTCCATAAGGTGTGTTGCATCAGTTAAAATTCTTATGTGAATGCTAGCAATAAAAACTCGAAATAACTGAGGCTCAAACACAATAAAGATTTGCAGTCTTCCATTTTTCTTTTAGAAGTTGTGAAGTAGGAAATCCCAAATTGGTATAGAAATTCTAAAAACTCAGTGGAGCCCAGTTTCCTTCTTTCTGCTCTACCATCTTTAATCATGGCTTCCATCTTCAATGTTGCTTCATGCTCCAAATTAGCCGCTTGATACTTTTTTCTTTTGCGGCAAGAAACAGGAGAAAATTAGATGAAGAAAAAAATGAAGCACTCTCAAGTTGAGGGATTGCCCTTGAAGCAGCCTTCTCAGCATCCCAGAAAATACTTATGCAAACATCTCCTAACCCAGAGTTTATATAAGATACTTCACCCAAGATACATTGCCTCATTCTTGGATGCCTTCCTACCCCAAATAAAATTGGGTCCTATTTCTAGGGAAGATAGAGGGAGCGGACACTAATATGTATCTCTAGATTGGCAACTGATAATCACTGCTCCAAATTCTCAACAGATTTGAAAATTAGTGCTCTAGCCAACTTAGCCAACAATGATTAATGAATTTTCTACCATAAATTGTTACGTAGTTGAATCAAATAATATGAAGACTAATACTAACTAGTACTAATTGAACACTTATGATTTTTCAGGTAGTGGCCTAAAAGCTTTGCATGACTAATGTAATTTAATCCTCACCCAAACACTATGAAGTAGGTTTTATTATTAGCCTCATTTACCTGAGAAGAAAACAGGCACAGAGAGGCTTAATAGCTTGTCCAAGATTACACAGCTACTAATTTGTAGAAGTCAGAGCCTCAGATAGCCATCAGTCTACACAGCCTTACTTAGTCCCAAATTACACACATTTTTCTTATGATAAGCACTGCAAAAGTTTTGAGCATTTTTTATATAGTTATAACTAAGGCAGAGCAAGTTTATTGCTTTTCTAGGCACCAGCTATTTGCTGCCTTTGCAACCTTCATTTTGCAACCTCAAAAGAGACAAAATTGTAATTTATCTTGGTAGAAAAAAATTCCCCTAAGAAAAACTGACAACCTTATAGAGTTATTAAGATATTTCCATGTCAAAATACTTTTTATCCCACAGAAACTGCTTTTTGTAGCAAAATCCCTAAGGTGAATCTGCCAAATTTACTTAGGTTTGTAATGCATGCTTTCTTACCACTTCCATATTTGTGAAATCTTTTTTCACAGCATATGAAGATGGACCTGAATATAGCAGAATTGGATGTTACTGAAAAACTCAATGGATTCAGTCCACTGTGGCTATTAAATGAGTTTTATAAGAGAACATAGGAAAGTGCAATTCCATTATCACTCACATGGAAGCCTTCACAATTGCAGTAGATGGAACCCAATAAATATTTTTGTTACATCAAGTGTGTATGACTCATTACATGTAACATAAGAAAAGTTTTCAATCTTGGATATGTTTCTCTGTCACTAAAATCTTTGTGTGATCTTGGGGAAACTGTGTAACTTCTTGAGCCTCAGGATAATCATTTATACAATGTAGATTTTGGTTAATTAGCTCCAAGTTTTCTTCAATTTCCATAATTCTGTGTTTCAGTGACCTTCCCTTAAGTAATTTTATATTCTACAATGATCTATACACTGTCTTAGAGTAGTGAGGGCTCAGTGCTTATTGGACTGTTGGAGGGGTGGATGTTTGGGAGAATAAATGAATAGAGATGGATGGAGACATTAATATGTATGTGAGCAAAGTAGTTTTTCCACCCCAGAAAAAAATTATATTAACCTGTAGCCTTTAAATTTTATCCCTTAACAAGTAACATCCTTACAAATCAGCTTTATATCTTAAATTTTTTATTATGGAAACTATTAAACACAGGAAAAAAATAAAACAATAGTACAATAAATATCAACATACCCATCACCCAACCAACAGAATTAACTTGCTGCCATCCTTTATTTATACCTACCAACATTTCTGCATTAAAATAAAGCAAATCTCGGGTATATCGTTCACTCATAAATAAAAATTAAAATAAGCCATTTTGATGATAAAGTCTGCTTTCTAAGTCTACTATAGAAACTGAAATATTTTACCCAATTAAATTGCTGATAGTTCACCTAATATTTTGTGTTTATTTTTGCATGTACTTAGAATCTTAATGTTTAAAAAAATCCTTGAAAACCAAAACTTTTATACAGCATTTGATTTTTTCAGATGGTTATTAGACGGGTAAGAATATTTAGCCTCTAAATGGCATCAGGCCTGTAGATAGGCCATTCAGTTACAGCATAAGCAGAAGGACAGACTGATAATGATTTAGGAGAGGAAAGGGGAACAAATCCCTGAATCAAATCTCTATGACTTTTTTTACTTGATTTAAATTCCAGGCCCTAACCATAGCTATATACAATTAAGTTCCACATCCAACTTATATGCATGCACACACACACAAAAACCCCTTTGAGCTGACTATAAATAATTCAAATTTGTCTACTTTTTGCAATTGACCATATTTCAGCTCCTATTTATCACCAAGGAAAATAAAAAAATTAACTAAACTTTCTATGTCTACAAGTTTTTTTCCTTCTCAGCTCGTCTGTATCCTTCTCCATCTATCCTTTGTTAGGATGCTTTTACTTGCAGTCCCAAATTTTGGATCATATTAGCTAACCATTAAAAGCATGTCTATGTCCCCAATAAATTCAATCATTTTTAATTGATTTATAAACAGTTTTTTTTAAATTTACTCCTTTATTTCTCCCTGAACATATGAGGATTAGCACAATTTATATAAAATTAAATGGACTTTAATTTACATATTATTGTAGGTCAAACTTCCTGATCCACCCCATATTATATTCCCACTCCTAAGCAGACTATCTTCAACATTTCTTCAAGAAATGCTTCTCAAAAAATGCTAGTTTTCTTTAGCAACCTGTTAAATGAATGAGGAGAAGGAGAAGGAAAGTTTCATTTGAAATGGATTAATTCCAGCTGTATCGAAAGTAGAATCAAATGAGAAGGTCAAAATTATAAAGTATTTAGCAGATAATACAGGATAGTATCTCCATGACATCACTGTAGAATTTTTAGATAAGATCCCAAGTTATGAACCATAAACAAAAAGATTAATAAATTTGCCAAATGAAAATTAAGAACCGTTCATCAATAGACCATTAAAACACAGGTAACACAATGGAAGAAGACGGTTGCTAGACTAGTTCTAAGACTTAGTATTCAGAAAAAAACAAAAATACGTCATTAGTAAAACCAATCCAAGCACCCCAAAAGAAAGATGGGCCAAAGACATACACAAGAACACTTAAAAAGTGGAATTCTACATGACTTAACACTTGAACTAGGATTCAATCTCACTACTAATCAGGGAAATAATAATTTTGTTTACAAACTGGAACTCTGATAAACTGCTGGTAGGAGTGTAAACTGGTAACTCCAGTTTGGAAGACAGTTCAGTACATATAGTAATAATGTTAAAGATAAGCATTTTCTATGACCCTTCAATTTCATTCCTAAGCATTTGCCTTAGAGACATTTGTATATGTGTGTGCTAGGATACACATATATATGTATACTTATAGGCTGTGTAAATGTTCAGAGCAACATTTATGTTTTTAGTTCAAACCAGAAACAATCTAAATGTCTACTAACAGGTGCATGGATAAACCTACATGGTGATGAAAATGAAATAACTATCTCTAAATGCGACATCATAGATAATCTTACAAACACAATACTGAACTAATACAACAACATACAAAAGAATATATATATTACATATACTATACATATGTAGTATAATTTCATACATTATACACATATAGTATAATTATACAAATATAGTATCATTTCATTTATATAAAGTTCAAAAATAGGAAAATGGCCCACTTTGGGTTTAGCTGCTATAATATTCCATTTCTTGACCTGGAGTGGTGATTATCTAATTTACTTAATAACTACTTGCTAAACTGTGTATTTGTTTTATGCTCTCTTTAGTTTGCATGTCTTATTTACAGTAGAAATTGTAAGTTGACCTGAGATTCTCCAAAATATGCTATTCCTTAAGTAGTGATATCCACATGAGGTCATGAGTCTTAACATTTTTAATTTAAAACCTTAAATATTGTTTTCTTTCTTACTATATTAACATACAGAATGGCACAAAGGAGACAAGATTAAACAATCTTAAATACTTTGTTATATTTTCTTCAGATTGATCCATTTAAAAAAGAAATATCATAAATGCAGCTAAAGTTACTCTCATCCATTTATCTTTGCTCCCTTATCCGAAGAAACTATTTTTTTAATGGAAGAACATAATTAGCCTGTATTTTATTTAATATGTACACACATGTATTTGTAACTATGAATATTTAAAACTTTTCTTAAAATGCATATAAACTGTAACATATAGTTACGTTTTGCAACTAACTTGATCATTTCAAAATTATCTTTTTATTTCTTATGTATTTTAATGAATGTTCTAGGTTATTTTTTCCTTTTTGACTATAATACTATACATTCTATTGTATTAATAGAATACAGTGTATTAATCCATTCCCTTATTGAGGAACAATTTGTTTTATTCTACTTGTTTGCTATGACAAAGAATGAAGCATCAAAAATTTCCTGTGTATGTCTGTTTGCATACCTGGATGAGAATATGTTGAGTAGAATATTTTTTTTAAAAATAGACATTAAAATAAAATTTAAATAATTCATAACTTTACCAATAGAAATAATTGCTTTAACTATCTTTATATATCTCACTCTTTTCCTACAGACGCAATGAAATTGAAAAACCGTGTAGCACATATACACCTATGGTGGGGTTTTATGTCCTGCTTTTTACTTATGATGAATAGCTTCACATACCATAGAATATCCTTCAAAAACATGTTCACCAATGGCTACATGGTGTTCTCTTGTACAAATGGACCATAATTTATACAACCATTTCTCATTGTTGTATGTATCTGTTTTCAGTTATTCTGTTCTCCCTCCAGTTTCTGATACTCTAGCCAATCTAGTTTTCTTTCAGTTATTTACACATACCTACTACTCATTTCATGCATCACTGCCTGCAATGAACTTAATGTTTGTGTCTCCCCAAAATCCATATGTTGAAACCTAATTCTCAGTGTGATGGTATTAGATGGTGGGGCCTTTGAGAAGTGACTAGCTCATGAGGGTGGGGTCCTCATGAATGGGATTAGTGCCCTTACAAAGGAGACTGCAGAAAGCTGCCTAACCCCTTCCACCATGTGAATACACAGCAAGAAAAAGGACAGAAGCCTACCTTTGAGGAAGCAGGTTTTCTCCAGACACTGAAATCTGCTGGCGCCTTGATTTTGTACTTCCCAGGCTCCCAAACTATGAGAAAATAAATGCTGATTACTTACAATTCATACACCTATGGTGTTTTGGTTATAGCAGCACAAATGGACTAAGACACAGCCTCTGCACACGTAGTTCACTCTGCTCTTTCCTACAGTTTTTATGTGGCAGATTTTCTTCTCATTACTGAGATCTCAATGTTACTATCCCTTGACCAAGGAGGCATTCTCTGTTAGCTCCTTCTAAATTATTTTCTTTTTCATGCACTTATCTGACCAAATAATATCTATCAGACAGTGTAACTATTTTTTATACATCTTTATCTCTCCATGACAGCAAGGATATGGTTGTTCTTCATCACCTTCAGTGTTGAAAAAGTTAGGTACCACACAATTATAAGAAGTAAATTCACATTGTAGTCATAGATTTGTATATTTATTACAACAATGTTCCAGCAGATGGCCATAAAGTATCTTGAAAAAGAGGATTCCTTTTTAAATTTCAGTCAGTGTTAGCTTTGGGCTACTCAAAAATTATTAAATGAATGAATGAACTCATTATAACTTATTGATTATCTCCAACACCAATGTTTTTTGTTTTCTATTCTAGAATTCCTCATGTTGCCCTGGTGTTTACCACACCAGATGAGTCCAGGGAGTACAAGCATAGGTCCTTTGTGACACTTGATTTGAGGGCAGTAATTTGACATCTACAGAGAATGAATGAAACATCATGTATTTTTGACACTGAAAAATTTAAATCCTAAACAACCATAAACATTTAAATAACTTTGTACAAATAATTTAAATAAACAGGTGAGTAACATGTGGTAAAATAATCTTAAGAATTCTGTATTGTTTTCAAAAGACTGAGAGTACACTGTGCTTTTTTGAAGGGATTATTTTCATACTAATTATCTAAAAATTAAGCTTTATATTTTACCAAAAAAATTGAAGATTAGTTACCATTGAAATCACAAATGCTTCTAGTTCCGAGACTACTATGCCCTGACACTTTTGTAGACCACAAGAATCTACTCCATTTTCATTAAAGCAAACATCATATTATGCTTGTAAAGTCAAGAATAATGAAAGTATATTTGGCACACTAAAATAAGCCTCCTCTATGTCTGACAGTATGAAAAAATAAACCTTGGCAGCTGCATTTCAGCTATGATAGAAACTTTCTGACAGGTTTCCTCTCTGTTGCTCATAAGAAGATGACTTAAATGAATTAATGTCAGGTGGATTAGTAAGATTCTGTTCAAACTGACAGAAGATCATGTCTGTACAGCTACTTTAAAATCTTAACATCAGTTTGAAGAGCAGAAGAATTTCACATATTTGAGACTGAATTTTTGAACACCAAATATATTTTTTAGAAAAATTCATTACCTTTAATTTAGGGAGAGGAGGTTTCAATTCAGTCAAATATAGCGCTAGGGCTATCTGATAAAATTGGATTGTAGGTTATGTACTTATGCAGTTGCACTCTTACCTTATAGTCTCAATTTATTTGGACCAAATGAAATGAAATAGCAGCAGTCCGTGTCTAATAAAAAATTTGGTTACCTGAAGTCATATAGCTAGTTTATTTTAGGGTCAGAAGCATAAAATTTGCCTATGTACTAGTACAAAATTTTATTTATTTCAGAGCATTTACAATGGCCAATGGGCACCAAAGGACAAATAATATACCAGTAGATATGGAATAATTATAGTTATTAATTTTGAAATAATTATATTTAACAATTTGTGTGATGCTATTTACATCCAATCTTTAGGATTTCTATATGACATTTAACTTAAGCAGTTTTAGAAAGTCATGTGACATGATTAGAGCTACATATGATATATTGAGCTACAGTGCATATAATAAATTAGAATGAGAGCAGATGGAAAATGGGAAGCCAATTTGGAGGCTATTATAATAGTCCAAGATAAGATAATTGGGGAAAAATTATAGCGAATAAGAATAGGAATTGATAAATCACTGATATAGCAAATAATAAATAATGTTCAAATCAAAGGGTTTCCCAGAGTATTAGGAACAGAAACCATGAGGTACTAGGTTAAAGAGTGGATAGGATGTGGGAAAATTAAATTGGTGACTCTGAAATATTGTCCAAGACTTTCAAAAAATTAAATGACAGTGAAAAATAGGAAAATATATGAAAGGTAGAGGAAAGTTTGTGTAAATTTTTATATGAAATGATTGTTGGCAGGTTAGTAGAACAAGAACTTGACAAGACAAGAAAAGTGGATAGATGATAGTGCACGTCATTTGGAAAAAAAACGGTTATTCCCTTCTATCGAAGCTATAAAAATGACAATGAAAAAAATAAACAAGATAAATACTAGTGGAACTAATATGGAGAGAAAGTAGCTCAGATGATCCAAAGGCTAATGTCTTCCGCCTTCTCTGAGAAAGAAAAGGAAGGTAACCGTGAAGTAACAAAACATAGAAATAGAAAAGAGGAATTGAAGAGAGCAAAAATAATTTAAAACATCAATACACATTAGGCGCTTCCTTCTCAACTTGATGTAGTATATCACACCATAATCAGTAACATTTTCTGTAGATACAGCTCCTCATATATGAAGAACAATGACTGTGGAAGAGACTCAAAGCCTCCAATAATGCTCCACTCTTGGTATTCACACTCTGTATAATACTCTCCCCTTTGTGAGTAGGCAGGACTTGTGACTTGTTTCTAATGAATGTAACTAAGGTGATGAGATAGCTCTTCCATGATTATGTTACATAAGACTTCCATCATTCTAATAATCTCTCTCTCCTGCTGACATTAATGAAGCAAGCTGCCATGCAGTAAGGCTGCCCTACGGAGAAGTATACTTGTTCAAAAACTAAGGATGGCTTATCTCTCTTAGCTCATCAATTATGTCTTTAAGTATTACTTTAGTGGTTATTCTAAACTTCACCATAGACATTTTTAACTAATCTTAGTCCACCTTCAAATAACACTGCTCTGTTCGATGTGTATTGCAGGTACCTTACAGAGTATCTCAATTCCTCCCTTTCATCTCTTCTGATGTTGTCGTTCATTTCACTTATTCATATACGATAATCACCCAATACAGTGTTACTATTATCACTTTTAGTAAGTTGTTTTTAGATCAATTAGGAATAAAATTTTCATCTTTCTTTCTTTCCTGATGCCTTCCTTCTTTATGTAGATTTGAGCTTTTGATATATCATTTTCCTTCTCCCTGATGAACCTCTTAACATTTCTCCCAATGCAGTTCTGTTGGAGATGAATTCATTTAGTTTATGACCCTCCGAAAGGTCTTTATTCCTCCTTCCATGCTAAAGGATAATTTCAGAAGACACAGTATTCTAGGTTGGTAATATTTTTTTCTTTCAACACATTAAATATTTTACTCCACTCTGCTCTTGTTTGTGTGATTTCTGAAAAGTAGTCTAATATAATTCTTATTCTTTTAAAAAAAACTTGTATTTTAGAATTGGGGGTATACATGCAGGTTTGTTACAAAGGTATATTGCATGTGGAGCAATATACTGAGGTGTGGAGTCCAGATGAATCCATTATTCAGGCAGTAAGCATAATACTCAATAAGTAGTTTTTCAGCCTTTGCCTACCTCCCTCTCACCACCTTGTGTATTCCTCAATGTCTATTGTTCCCATCTTTATGTCCATGTGTACCCAATGTTCAGCTCCCACTTATAAGAACATGTATTTGATTTTGTTTCTGCCTTAGTTTGCATGGAATAACAGCTTCTAGCTGCATCCATATTGCTACAAAGACATGATTTCATTTGGGCATGGCTATGTAATATTTCGTGGTGTATATATACCACATTTTCTTTGTTTAATCCACCATTGATAGGCAACTGGGTTGATTCCATGTTTTTGCTAGTGTGAATAGTGCTGCAATGAACATGAAGGTACATGTGTCTTTTTGGTAGAATGGTTTATTTTCCTTTGGGTATATGCCTAGTAATGGGATTGCAGGTCAAATGGTAGTTCAACTCTTAGCTCTTTGAGGAATCTCCAAACTTCTCTAGACAGTGGCTAAATTAACGTACATTCCTCTCAATGGTGGGAATGTAACGTGATCCATTTTCTCTGCAGCCTTGCCAATATGTCTTCGTTTTCACTTTTTAACAAAAGTCATCCTATTCAGACTGGCGTGAAATGGTATCTCATTGTGGTTTTGATTTGTATTTCCCTTTGATTAGTGATAATGAGCATATTTTGGTATGTTTGTTGGCCACTTGTATGTCTTCTTTTAAGAACTGTCTGTTCATGTCCTTTGTCCACCTTTTAATGGAATTATTTGGTTTTTGCTTGTTAATTTAAGTACTTTATAGATTCTGGACATTAGACCTTTGTCACTGCATAGTTTTGTGAATATTTTGCCCATTCTGTAGGTTTTCTGTTTACTCTCTTGATAGTTTCTCTTGTTGTGCAGAAGACCTTTAGTTTAATTAAGACCCACTTGTCAATTTGTATTTTTGTTGTAATTGTTTTTGAGGACTTAGCCACGAATTATTTGCAAAGGCCAATATTGAGAAAGGCATTTCCTAGATGTTCTTCTAGGATTTTTATAGTTTGAGGTCTTACATTTAAGTCTTTAATTAACCCTGAGTTAATTTCTGTTTATGGTGATAGACAGGGTACCAGTTTCACTCTTCTACATATGGATAGCCAGTTAGCCCAGCATCATGTATTGAATAGGAATTCTTCCCTATGTGATCATCTCAACAGACACAGAAAAAGCTTTCAATAAAATCCAACATCCTTTCATGTTAAAAACCCTCAACAAAGTAGGCATCAAAGGAATATACCTCAAAATAGTAACAGTCATCTATGACAAACCCACAGCCAACATCACACTGGCCAGGCAAAGGCTGAAAGCATAAGCATTTCTTTTGAGAACTGGAACCAAAAAGGATGCCCACTCTCACCACTCCTACTCAACATAGTACTGGAAGTCCTAGCCAGAGAAATTAGGCAAGAGATAGAAATAAAAGGCATAAAAATGGAGAAAGAAGTCAAAGTGTATTATTCTATTTTCATGCAGCTGATAAAGACATACCTGAGACTGGGCAATTTACAAAAGAAAGAGGTTTAATTGACTTACAGTTCCATGTGGTTGGGGAAGCCTCGCAATCATGACAGAAGGTGAACAGCATGTCTCACATGGCAGCAGACAAGAGAAGAGAGCTTGGACAGAGCAACTCCCCTTTTTAAAACCATCAGATCTCATGAAACTTACTCCCTATCACAAGAACAGCATGGAAAAGACCTGCCCCCATGATTGAATTACCTCCCACTGGGTCCGTCCCACAACACTTGGGAATTCAAGAAGAGATTTGGGTGGGGACACAGCCAAACCATATCATTCTGCCCCTGGCCCCTCTCAAAGCTCATGTTCTCACATTTCAAAACCAATCATGCCTTCCCAATAGTCCTCCAAAGTCTTAACTCATTTCAGCATTAACTCAAAAGTTCACAGAGCATCTGAGACAAGGCAAGTCCCTTCTGCCTATGAGCCTGTAAAATCAAAAGCAAGTTAATTACTCCCTAGATATAATGGGAGTACAGGCATTGGGTAAATACAGCCATTCCAAATGGGAGAAATTGGCCAAAACAAAGGGATTACAGGTCCCACGCAACTCTGAAATCCAGTGAGGCAATCAAATCTTAAGGCTCCATAATGATCTATTTTGACTCCATGTCTCACATAAAGGTCATGCTGATGCAAAAGGTGGGCTCCCATGGCCTTAGGCAGCTCTATCCCTGTGGCTTTGCATATTAGCCCCCATCCTGGATGCCTTCATAAGCTGGTGTTGAGTGTCTGAGGCTTTTCCAGGTGCACAGTGCAAGTTGTCAGGGGATCCACCATTCTGGGGTCTGGAAGACGGTGGCCCTCTTCTCACAGCTCCACTAGGCAGTGCCCCTGTAGTAACTCTGTGTGGGGGCAACAACCCCACATTCCCCTTCTACACTGCCCTAGCAGAGGTTCTCCATGAGGGCCCTGCTGCTGCAGCAAAATTCTGCCTGGGCATCCAGTCATTTCCACACATCCTCTGAAATCTAGGCGGAGGTTCATAAAACCCAACTATTGACTTTTGTGCACTCACAGGCTCAACACCATGTGGAAGATACCAAGGCTTGAGGCTTGCACCCTCTGAAGCCACGGCCTGAGCTCTACATTGGCCCCTTCAAGCCATGGCTAGAGCAGCCAGGAAACAGGGCACCAAGTCTCTAGGTTGCATACAGCACGAGGACCCTGGGCCCAGTCCACAAAACCACCTTTTCCTCCTAGGTCTCCGGGTCTGTGATGGGAAGAGTTGCCATGAAGACCTCTGACATGCCTTGGAGATATTTTCTCCATTGCCTTGAGTATTAACATTCAGCTCCTTGTTATTTTTACAAATTTCTGCAGCTGGCTTGAATTTCTCCTCAGAAAATGGGATTTTCTTTTCTATTGCATTGTCAGGCTGCAAATTTTCCAAACTTTATGCTCTGCTTCCCTTAAAAAACTGAATGCCTTTAACAACACCCAAGTTACCTCTTGAATGCTTAGAAATTTCTTCCACCAGACACCCTAAATCATCTCTCTCAAGTTCAAAGTTCAACACATCTCTAGGGCAGAGATATATTCCACCAGTCTCTTTGCTAAAACATAACAAGAGTCACCTTTGCTTCAGTTCCCAACAAGTTCTTCATCTCCATCTGCAATCAGTTCAGCCTGGATTTCATTGTCCATATCATTACAGAATTTTGCTCAAAGTCATTCAACAAATCTCTATGGAGTTCTAAACTTTCCCACATTTTCCTGTCTTCTTCTGAGCCCTCCAAGTTGGTTCAACCTCTTAACCAGTTCCAAAGTTGTTTCCACTTTTTGGGGTATTTTATCAGCAATACCCCACTCCTGGTACCAACTTACTGTATTAGTCCATTTTCATGCTGCTGATAAAGACATACCTAAGATTGGACAATTTACAAAAGAAAGAGGTTTAACCAACTTACAGTTCCACATGGCTCAGGAGGTGAAAGGCATGCCTCACATGGTAGCAGACAAGAGAAGAGAGCTTGTGCAGGGTTTTTTAAATTCCCCTTTTTAAAACCCTCGAATTTTGTGAGACTTATTGACTGTCACAAGAACAGCACAGGAAAGACCTGCCCCCATAATTAAATTACCTCCAACTTGGTCCCTCCTACAACAAGTGGGAATTTGAGATGAGATTTGGGTGGGGACAGAGACAAATCATATCACAAACTATCTCCCCTTGCTGATGATATGATTCTATACCTAGAAAACCCTAAAGACTCACCAAAAGGTTTCTAAATCTGATAGAAAACTTTAGTAAGGTTTCAGGATACAAAACCAATGTACAAAAATCAGTAGAATTTATGTACACCAATAATGTTCAAGCTGAGACCCAAGTCAAGAATGCAATCCCATTTACAATAGCCACAAAAAGAATAAAATACCTAGTAATTTTTATCCTTGTTCTTTTAAGGTGTCTTTTTCTCTGGCTGCTTTCAGGATCTTCTTGTTTATCTTTAGTTTATTGGAATTTTGTATGATATGCCTAAGTGTAATTTTTGTTATTAGTTCTTTGGTTTGTTTGTGGGGGGCATGTATGCTTTTTGATGATCTCTAAACTTTTTGGATCAGTGATTTAATGTCTGTCATTAACTTTTAAAAGTTTCTAGACTTTATTTTTTTGAGACACTGTCTGATTTTGTTGCCTAGGTTGGATGCAGTGGCATGATCACAACTCACTATAGCCACGACATCCCTGGGCTCATGTGATCCTCCCACCTCAGCCCCCTGAGTGGTGGGACTACAGGCATATACCACCATGCCTGGCTAATTTTTTTGGTGGTGGTGGTGGTAAGTTTTTTTTTTTTTTTTTTTTTTGTGTGTGCCTTGGCAAAGATGGGGTTTTCCCATGTTGCTCAGGCTGCTCAGGAACTCTTGGGCTCAAAGCAATCCTCCTGCCCTGCCTCCCAATGTGCTGGGATTACAGGCATGAGTTACCTTTCAGACATTTTTACCTGAAAAATTTCACTGCTCCTTTGTTCTCTGCCTGTTATACTAATTATGCATATGTTACACCTTTTGAAGTTTTCTCACGGTTCTAGAATATTTGCTTTTTAATTTTTTAAATTTATTTGCATATTTCAGTTTGGGGAAATATCTATATACTTAATTTTAAGCTCACTGTATCCTCTGCTATGTCAAATCTTCTAATGAACTCAAAGGCATTTTTTATTTCATCTATATATGTATTTTTAATATATATATATATATTCCTAGCATTTCCTTTTAATCCTTTCTTGGAATTCCTATCTAATTGCATTACAATGTCTATTTGTTCTTTATTTTTTTCTACCATTTCCATTATATCCATTAATATAGTAATCATATTTCAAAAAATATTCTGTCTGTTACTTTCAACATCTGTGTCACCTGAGCCTGATTCTGATACTTGCTTGGTTTCTTCTGACTTCGTGTTTTCTTGCCTTTCAGATGTCTTGTGATTTTTTGTCAAAAGCCAGACATGTTGCATTGGTAGGAAGTGAAGTGAGGATTTATGTTAATCTAGCTAGTAGTCAGGCTTTGTTTAATGTTTGCTGTAGCTATATGTGGCAGAAGTTAGTGTTTTTGTTTTTGTTTCCCCTCTTGACTTTGGACTTCCGTAAGTATTCCTTCCTCAGATACACTCTTTGTCTTTCTCAGATCTTTCAAATATAATCCACGATTATGCTGGAGCCCATGTATGTCGGTATGATCTTGGTAAAATGTGAATAGAGGGGCATTCTATAATTTTCCAAGTAGATCTATTTTGGGGGGCATGTGTCCCTGGCCAGGGACTTCCACAAGCATTTCTTCTTATATAGCTTCCTATTCCTTAAATGAGACAGGAAAGGTAAAGGGGGCTAACATGAGATGAATGTCCTTCCTCCACATCTCTGAGATACATCTCTGGTAAAGCTTTTCATGCTGGAGAGTAGCCCTCTGTTGTGGAGATGTCTCTGGCTGTACAAGTTGACCATCTCAAATTCCAAATCCAAAATGCTCTAAAATCTAAAACATTTTGAGAGCTGACATGACGCACAAAGGAAATGCTCACTAGAGCTTTTCAGATTTCAGATTTTCAAATTTGGGATAAAAATCTGAAAATGAAAAACTTCTTGTCCAAAGTGTTTCAGATGAGGAACATTCACCCTGTATTTCACAAGAATATTCTTTCTCCTAGCCAGAGCTACAAGGGGATCTTCCTCGCAAGTTCTCCAACAAATCCAAGAAAAGTTGCTGACTTTATTTTGTTCAGCTTTTTCTTGTTGTAAAGATTGGAGTGACAATTTCCAAGCTCTTTATATATTAGAGCTGAAACAGGAAGTCAAGGTGTGCTGCTTTAAGTCAATAAGTTTGTGGTGATTTGTTACACAGCAGTACATAACTAATACAATAACACAGGATTAGATAACTAATACAATAACATAGCAAAAAATAAATAAGACATCACAAACCATATTATTTCATTCAATCACTGTAAAATGCTACATAAGCTTTTAGACATAACAAAAGATCACATGGTGTGACTCTCTGAACTGTTATGTATTTTCAATGACAAGTCAGAAATGTTATACATATTATCTTCTAGTGCTAGCTCTTCATCTGAAAAATCTTCAAGTTTAAATTCAACTTGTAAAGCTGTCATTGAGACAGAATCTCTCGTATGCTGGTAATTTAAGGCTAGATAGAGATACAGTTTTATCATACACTTTCTAATCCAAAGGCTCTTTGATGGTTTTTATTCCCCTTTTACTATTAGATATGTTGCTCCCTTCTTGAAATACTCAGTTTTCTTGGCTTATCTGCCACTTTTATCGTAATTCTTCTCCATACATTTTAAATTCTTATTTCAATTGCATATTTTCCAGCTTTCAGTGCTATGAATAGGCTACCTCTACTATTTTGTGAAACTTCAAAGTCAATATAAAATATCACCTTTAGAACCAAAAACAGACTCAAATCTTATTAACTTTTAGGTCAGAGGTCTCTAATCTTTTGGCTTCCCTGGGCCACATTGGAAGAAGAATTATTATCTTGGCCTACACATAAAATACAGTAACATTCACGACAGCTAATGAGCTTTAAAAAAAAAAATCACAAAAAAAACCTCATAATGTTTTAAGAAAGTTTACGAATTTCTGTTGGCCTGCATTCAAAGCAGGCCATTCCTGGGCCATGTGTGACCAGCAGGCCGTGGGTTGGACAAGCTTGTCCTAGATGCTTTGTCATTTTAGCTTACTTTTCCAAAAGTAAATACATTTTGAGCTTACTTCTCAAAAGATAGAAACTTTCTATATAATACGTTATCTATTTAGTATATTTTCAATAGAGTTGCACATTTTTCCAAGAGGCTTAATCACGTACTCGATTACAAAATTAGCATTAATCTTAAAAACGCTCCTAAGAAGTATATAAATCTAAATTCAAATAAGATTCTTTCCAAGGTTTACCTCCACTGAGAGGTCAAGGCAGGCAGTTTATTATTAGGAGCAAAACTTACTAACATAAGTCACTACAGAAATCCAGGAATTCTGGAAGCATTTAATTGGTAATCACTAATCCAACTCTCATTTCAACAAAGAATTATTTTTTCATTATTAATCTGCCTAAAATTACCCAACCACACACTTTTATGAATCCTATATAGCAGACTTGAGGTTTAAACATGATTTTTGAACTAGTACTTCTTTCTTACTTTACCTAGCTACTCTTTTTATCTCATTTATAGATAACCAATATTTCTTTTTGTTAGGTTCTAACTCCTATGTTAATGATTTTCTATCACTCAAAGTTTAACCATGTTTGACAAAAATATTCTAGCCAGACATGTTGGAGTGAACTGTGTTTTTATTTAGATGATTTCCTTTACTAGGCATTATTCCCCCATCCTTCAGAAATAGTACACTCAGTGAGACTTCTGGCTACCAATAAGTAGGAGAACTGCAAGTTCTTTACCCAAAAAAGCACTATAAATCTGGAAAAAAAAAAGATTTTAAAAAAGTATGTAAGAAAATCTGTCCCATGAAAACTAACCAAAGGAATATAATGATTTGAGAAGCATTTGTGCTTGGATTATTGAAATTCAGTTAAGAACAGTGAAAATATGTGGCATTCTCGCTCAGAGATGCTTTCATCCACCCCTCCCCAAGCTTGGTCAGAGTGATGCTTGGCTCTGCCCTACTACCTTTGTGGTACTGATTGGATGAAACATTATGCTGGATGTGGCTAGATACATGCACAGCTGTATCAAAGAGGCCCCAAGCTAGTCACACATTCCTGGCCAACTATGAGGCTGTAAATATGCAGAGAGAGACTTGAAATAGCCATGCAGAAAGCAAAGCCCAGGGTAGATTTGAAAACAGTTAGAACTGTTAATGTGTTCTACCAACTCGCAGGTTCATCATCAGATAATGGAAACCTCACTGTCAGAAAGGAAATGGCATTTGTAGGTAAAAATGGTAGAAATTCACAGGAATAACTGAAGTGTACCAGAAATTGTAACTATGTGGGTTAAAAGACTCTATGAATATTTGTTTTCATTTCTTCCCACCAAGAAAAAACATAAGATTGTACAAAACAATAGTTACAATTATAACGCCAGGTTGATAACAAATATAAATGTAATATATATGAAATAATGGCACAAAGGGGAAAGAAAGGAGCAAAGTTTCAAAATTTACTGAAATTAACTTAGTATTAATCTGAAGTAAATTGTGATAAGATGCATATGGTATTCCACAGAGCAAGTACTAAAAAAAAAGGATAAAAAAGAAAATCCTACCCATGAGCATGGAATGTTCTTCCATTTGTTTGTATCCTCTTTTATTTCATTGAGCAGTGGTTTGTAGTTCTCCTTGAAGAGGTCCTTCATGTCCCTTGTAAGTTGGATTCCTAGGTATTTTATTCTCTTTGAAGCCATTGTGAATGGGAGTTCACTCATGATTTGGCTCTCTGTTTGTCTGTTATTGGTGTATAAGAATGCTTGTGATTCTTGTACATTGATTTTGTATCCTGAGACTTTGCTGAAGTTGCTTATCAGCTTAAGGAGATTTTGGGCTGAGACAATGGGGTTTTCTAGATATACAATTATGTCATCTGCAAACAGGGACAATTTGACTTCCTCTTTTCCTAATCGAATACCCTTTATTTCCTTCTCCTGCCTCATCGCCCTGGCCAGAACTTCCAACACTATGTTGAATAGGAGTGGTGAGAGAGGGCATCCCTGTCTTGTGCCAGTTTTCAAAGGGAATGCTTCCAGTTTTTGCCCATTCAGTATGATATTGGCTGTGGGTTTGTCATAGATAGCTCTTATTATTTTGAGATACGTCCCATCAATACCTAATTTCTTGAGAGTTTTTAGCATGAAGCGTTGTTGAATTTTGTCAAAGGCCTTTTCTGCATCTATTGAGATAATCATGTGGTTTTTGTCTTTGGTTCTGTTTATATGCTGGATTACATTTATTGATTTGCGTATATTGAACCAGTCTTGCATCCCAGGGATGAAGCCCACTTGATCATGGTGGATAAGCTTTTTGATGTGCTGATGGATTCAGTTTGCCAGTATTTTATTGAGGATTTTTGCATCAATGTTCATCAAGGATATTGGTTTAAAATTCTCTTTTTTTGTTGTGTCTCTGCCTGGCTTTGGTATCAGGATGATGCTGGCCTCATAAAATGAGTTAGGGAAGATTCCCTCTTTTTCTACTGATTGGAATAGTTTCAGAAGGAATGGTACCAGTTCCTCCTTGTACCTCTGGTAGAATTCGGCTATGAATCCATCTGGTCCTGGACTCTTTTTGTAGGAAGAATCAATATCATGAAAATGGCCATACTGCCCAAGGTAATTTATAGATTCAATGTCATCCCCCTCAAGCTACCAATGACTTTCTTCACAGAATTGGAAAAAACTACTTTAAAGTTCATATGGAACCAAAAAAGAGCCCACATCGCCAAGTCAATCCTAAGCCAAAAGAACAAAGCTGGAGGCATCACACTACCTGACTTCAAACTATACTACAAGGCTACAGTAACCAAAACAGCATGGTACTGTTACCAAAACAGAGATATAGATCAATGGAACAGAACAGAGCCCTCAGAAATAATGCCGCATATCTACAACTATCTGATCTTTGACAAACCTGACAAAAACAAGCAATGGGGAAAGGATTCCCTATTTAATAAATGGTGCTGGGAAAACTGGCTAGCCATATGTACAAAGCTGAAACTGGATCCCTTCCTTACACATTATACAAAAATTAATTCAAGATGGATTAAAGACTTAAACATTAGACCTAAAACCATAAAAACCCTAGAAGAAAACCTAGGCATTACCATTCAGGACATAGGCATGGGCAAGGACTTCATGTCTAAAACACCAAAAGCAATGGCAACGAAAGCCAAAATTGACAAATGGGATCTAATTAAACTAAAGAGCTTCTGCACAGCAAAAGAAACTACCATCAGAGTGAACAGGCAACCTACAGAATGAGAGAAAATTTTCACAACCTACTCATCTGACAAACGGCTAATATCCAGAATCTACAATGAACTCAAACAAATTTACAAGAAAAAAACAAACAACCCCATCAAAAAGTGGGCAAAGGATATGAACAGACACTTCTCAAAAGAAGACATTTATGCAGCCAAAAGACACATGAAAAAATGCTCACCATCACTGGCCATCAGAGAAATGCAAATCAAAACCACAATGAGATACCATCTCATACCAGTTAGAATGGCAATCATTAAAAAGTCAGCAAACAACAGGTGCTGGAGAGGATGTGGAGAAAAAAGAACACTTTTACACTGTTGGTGGGACTGTAAACCAGTTCAACCATTGTGGAAGTCAGTGTGGCGATTCCTCAGGGATCTAGAACTAGAAATACCATTTGACCCAGCCATCCCATTACTGGGTATATACCCAAAGGAATATAAATCATGCTGCTATAAAGACACATGCACACGTATGTTTATTGCAGCACTATTCACGATAGCAAAGACTTGGAACCAACCCAAATATCCAACAATGATAGACTGGATTAAGAAAATGTGGCACATATACACCATGGAATACTATGCAGCCATAAAAAATGATGAGTTCATGTCCTTTGTGGGGACATGGATGAAATTGGAAATCATCATTCTCAGTAAACTGTAGCAAGAACAAAAAACCAAACACGGCACGTTCTCACTCACAGGTGGGAATTGAACAAAGAGAACACATGGACACAGGAAGGGGAACATGACACTCTGGGGACTGTTACGGGGTGGGGGGAGGGGGGAGGGATAGCTTTAGGAGATATACCTAATGCTAAATGACGAGTTAATGGGTGCAGCACACCAGCATGGCACATGTATACATATGTAACTAACCTGCACATTGTGCACATGTACCCTAAAACTTAAAGTATAATAATAAAATAAAAAAATAAAATAAAATTTAAAATTTTAATACAAAATTAGGCTTTAGTTATTTGCAAAATACACTGTATTTTCAATGTGAAAAACAAAGGGTTATTGTATCAATAAAGTTATATAGTTTCTCATAAAAATAAAAAAATAAAAATAAATAAAATCAACAAAGAATTAACATGGTATACTAGAAAAGATTATTTAATACGAAAGAGAGTAGACAAGAAGGATCACAGTTACACAAAAGAAATAAGATATATTGAAAACAAATAGCAAAAAGGCAAATACAAATCTAGAAATATCAGTAACATTACATTAACTAATTAACACATTATGTTAATATTAATTAATTTAAATAATATTAAAGATATGTGATCTAAACATCCCAATGAAAAAGCAGAGACTGTCAAACTGGATCACAAAAGTGTATTGGTCAGAGTTCTCTAGAGGGACGGAACTAATGGAATAGATGTATATATAAAGGGGAGTTTATTAAGTATTGACTCACACAGTTGCAAGGTCCCATAATAGGCCATCTGCAGGCTCAAGAGCAAGGAGAGCCAGTCCAAGTTCCAAAACTGAAGAACTGAAGAACTTGAAGTCTGATGTTCGAGGGCAGAAAGCAACCAGCATGGGAGAAAGATGTAGGCTGGGAAGCTAGACCAGTCTCTCTTTTCACATTTTTCTGCCTGCTTATACTCTAGCCGAGCTGGCAGCTGATTAGATGGTGCCCACCCAGATTAAAGGTGGGTCTGCCTTTCCCAGCCCACTGACTCAAATGTTAATCTCCTTTGGCAACACCCTTAGAGACACAGCCAGGATCAATATTTTGTATCGTTCAATCCAATCAAGTTGACACTCAGTATTAACCATCACAAAAAGCAATATCCAATTATATACTGTCTACAAGAGAACCACTTCAGATTTAAAAAACAAGTTGAAATCAAAAAATCAAAAGGAAGGGGGAAAATACTATAGGAAAATACAAAAGGAAGGGGGAAAATACTTAAATAGTAACAACAAGAAAGATGAAATGACTAGAGTAATATAAGACAAAAATAGAATGTAAAGCAAAAAAATATTATTAGAGACAAAGCAGAGTATTTCATGACATAACGGGCAATATATCAGGAAAAAATTACAACCATAAAAAGATACTCAACTAATAACAGAGACCTACACGGAGCAAAAACTGATGAAACAATTCAAAATTTTGGTTTGAGATTTCAATACCCCACTGTCAATAATTAATAAAACAACTAAGAGGACATTCACAAATATATAGAATATCAGAACACTATCAACTAACTCATCTTAACTGCAGAATGCTCACTCTTTTAAAGTACACATTGAATATTCCACAGGATTAGACATGTTAGGCCATAAAACAAGCCTGTTAATTTAAAAGGATTGATATTATGCAAAGAATGTTCTCCAACCACAACAAAATACAATTAGAAATTAACAACAAAAATAAATGTGGGAAATCAATAAACACTTAAAAATTAACCATATGCCTCTTCATGACCCAAGAATCAAAGGAGAAATCATAAAGAAAATTAGAAAATATTTCAGACTGAATAATCCAAAATACAACATATAAATGTATTGACTTCAACAAAAGCAGTGCTTAGAGAAAATTTATAGCGTTTAATACTGACATCAGAAAAAGAAAATCTCAAATCGACAACTTATGTTTTCACCTAAAATAGTTGAAAAAAGATAAAATTAGATTTAAAATATGTAGAAGAAAGGAAATAAAGATTAAAGAAAAAATGAATAGAGAAAACATGAAGATAATAGAGAATGAACAATGAAACCAAAAGTTCTCTCTTTGAAATGACAAAAAAATGATAAACCTTTAGCTAGACAATTCAAATAAAAAAGTGAGAAGCAACAAATTACTAAAATTAGCAAGGAAAGAGGGGACCTTAGTACTGACTCCAAAAATACTTTTAGAAAATTTTTAATAACTTTATTCCAAGAAATTAGATAAGTTACATAAAATGGACCAGTTTCATGAAAGACAAAAGCCACCAAAACTAACTTAAAAAGAACTAGAAATATAAATAGATTATAAGCAGTAAATAAATTGAATTAGAAATTATAAAACTTTCTATAGATTCTATAAAAATGCCCAGATGACTTTATTGATAAATTCTATTAAATATTTAAAACAGAACTAATATCAAATTTTCACAAATTCTTTCACAAAACATAGAAGGGAACATTTTGAAAATCATTTCAATAGGCCAGTATTACTTCAATATGAAAGCCAGATACAGAAATTACAAGAAAACTATAATATTCCTCATCAACGTAGATGCAAAAATTTTAAACAAATTATTAACAAATAAAATCCAACAACACTAAAATTGTACAAGATAATCAAGTGGGATTTATACCCTAAAAGCAAGTTAGTTTAACCTCTTGAAAATCAACTAACGTAATACAGTCTGTTAACAGAGTAAAGGGCAAAAATTGCATGGTGATAGCAAAACATGTAAAATTTTAAGAAAACCATTTGACAAAATTCAATGTCCATTCTGGAAAACACTCTTAAAAGACAAGGAATAGACAAAAATATTCTAATATTCTAAAACTGATAAAAGCTTTTTTTTTTTTTTTTTTTTTTTTTTTTGGAAACAGAGTCTTGCTCTGTCGCCCAGGCTGGAGTGCAGTGGTGCGATCTCAGCTCACTGCAACGTCCATCTCCCAGGTTCAAGCAATTCTCCTGTCTCAGCCTCCCAAGTAGCTGGGACTACAGGCACGTGCCACCATGCCCGGCTAATTTTTTTGTATTTTGGTAGAGACGGGGTTTCACCGTGTTGCCCAGTGTGGTCACAAACTCCTGAGCTCAGGCAATCCACCCACCTTAGCCTCCCAAAGAAAAGCCTTCTTTTAAAAGGAAAAAGGAAACACAACTAATATATTTTATTGTGAAAGATTGAATTCCTTCCCTTATAAGATCAAATATAAAGCATGTTATTAATGTTTAATAGAAAGTTAAAAGCTAGTGCAATACAACAAAAGTGTTGGGAAGAAGTAAGTAAAATTGTCTTTATTCACAGTTGGCATGATCATCTACACAGAAAATTCCAAGGAATCCACAAAATGTTACTGTAACAAATAAATGAGTTTAATAGATCTCAGGGTTCAAGAACACTACACAAAAGTTAATTGTGCTTTTACATTGTAGCAACAACAACAATAAAAAAACTAAAACTAAAATTAAGAAAGCAATTGCACTCACAGTAACATCAAAAATTTACTTAGGAATTATATTTTTAAATAAGTACAAGATTTGAACGCCGAAAATGATAAAATATTGCTGCAAAGACACATATGTTCATAAATTGAAGGCCTCATATAGTCAAAATGCCAATTCTCCCAGAATTGGTCCACAAAAGAAAAATCAATGTAATCACTATCAAAATACTATGTTATTTTGCAGAAATTGACAAGCTGATCCTAAAATTTATGTAGAAATGCAAAATACACAGAATAGTCCAAAACAATATTGAAAAAAATTATAAAGTTGCAGAACTTAAATTATCCAATTTCAAAATATACAATAAAGCCAAAATAATCAAGACAGTGTGGTATTGGCACAAAAACAGACCTATGGATTAACAGAACACAAATGAGGGCATAAAAATGAGAGTCCAAAAATAAAGCTTTATACTTACAATCAACTGATTTTCAACCAAGATGCAAAGTCAGTGGGATAAATGATAATCTTTTCAAGAAATATTTCTGAGACAACCAGATGTGATATGCACATGCAAAAAATAAACTTAGATGCTAATATATCACACAATATACACAAATTAACTCAAAATGGATAATTACCTAAAATTAAGAACTGAAACAAAGTATTTCTAGAAGAAAATATAAAAGAAGACAACTGTAAACTTTGAGAAAAAGTTCTTAGATAAAACATCAAAAGCACAATGCATAAGAGAAAATTTTAAAAATTGAATTTTATAAAAATTCAAAACTTCACTTCAAAATTCTCCATTAAGAAAATTAAAAGACAGGACAAAGAGTGGGAGATAAAACTCACAAATCATATACTTGATCAAGTATTTGTATCAAAAAATTCATAAAAAATTATTACAACTCAATTATAAGAAAACCTAATTTTTAAAATGGGAAAATGATTTGAATAGATATCTCACCAAAGGAGATAAATGAATGGCTGATATGCACATGAAAAGATGCTCGTCATCATTAAGTCATTAGAGAAATGCAAATAAAAACCACATAGAAATACCACTACACAGCCACAATAGTGCCTAAAATAAAAACGCAGACAATACCAAGTATTGGAGATGATATAGAAAATCTGAAACCCTTGTTCATTCCTGGTAGAATTGTAAAATATTAGGAATATAGAATGGTTCAGCTACTTTGGAAATCAGAATAGAAGTATCTTATATAGTTAAAAAAATACACTTCTATGACCTAGTAATTTCACTCTTAGTAATCTACCCAAGACAAAGAAAAATATGTCTCCATACAAAGACATGTACATATTTATAGTGGCATTATTTGTAATAATCTCAAATTGTAACAATGTAAATGTCCATCAACAGGTGAACAGATAAATAAAATACTATTCAGCAATATTAAACAACAAAATACTAATACATCCTACAACACAGATGAATGGTAAACCATTTAAGGATGACGAGTTCAAGAGACTATGTATTATATGATTGCTGTTATCTGAAGTATCTTGAAAAGACAGGTCTATAAAGACAGAAAGCTGAAAGTTGTGGTCCACTGTATATTTTTATGTAATAGCAATGATCAAGATTCTTTAAAACTTTATTTAATGTTATATGACAGAAATAGCCACTTTACCTGTATAAAGTTGTTATTCATCATTTTACTTGCAACCCTCATTAACATTGTAAATTGGTATCACATTACAAAATAAGTCAATATGCTTAGATAATTTCCCCAAAATATAAAATATGTATTTAAAAGACATTGGTTTTAGGTTTAAAATAGTATTTGTCACATTACTAATTTTTATTATTAAAAATTTTTATTGGAAATACTTTTTATAAAGTCCCCTGTAATATTATTACTCCCAAAAAATTCTTTCCTTCCATTTTTCCATGGGTTTTAAATAAAACTTGGTAATAGATAACTAGAATTAAATCCTGCTGTGTTTATATCAATGTCATATTGTAAGCATTTATCTATGCTTTTAAACATGCTTCAACCTTACTTTAATACTTGTAAAATAACAGCACTCTAATTTCATTAAGACATATGCCTAAATATGGGATTTATATTTCAAAGAGTATAAATATTTGCAGTTTTTCATACATATGGTCACCTTCCTATATAATATAAAAATAGAAACATTATAAAAATTTATATTCCCACCAGGAATGAATTATTTCTCTTTAATATTATGTATTTTTAAAAATCTTTGACAATGTAATAAGGAAAAGTTATTCTCTTTGTTCTTATTAGCGTTTTTTAAATTATCATACGGTGGAATTTTCATAATCTATATAAAGTATTTCTTTGATGACAATTCTGAAAACTTTCCATAGCTGTCCTTCCAGTCACAGTTAAATTGTCACTTTCTTCTTGAAAGTTATTGAAGCAAATTATTTCATTTCATATATTCCAAAAAAAGTCTGTTCCTTTGTTGTTAGCTTCATTTTATCCAAAAAACTTATGCAGAGAAATGCTATGAATTACAAGAAATGCATATAATTGATATGTTTTTTAAAAACTACCTTCCCACTAAATCATTTCTCACAAAAAGATGCATTGAATTTTTGTACAGCCTGCTGATCCAATTAATAAATGCATTTAAGTCAAGGTTACATACCTGATGAAAATACAAAAGTGAATGGTTAACACATGCCCTAACATATGCAGAAATAAAAACCCATAGCTAATTCAAAAGGCCACAGATCCATGAACAAGGAAAACTACTTCACAAATAGGATGATATAGGTTTTACATGTTTCTTAAATTAATTAACCTTTTACCTTCTTACCAGTTGAGTCAAACTCGTAGTAGAATACAAGAGTTAATGTATTTTTCAAAGTACACTATTTTCCAACAGGAATTTTCCATTACCAAACCCCATTTTTTAAATAAGGGTTAGTAAGGTACTATGACAAAGTTTTGTTGGAGGCCAAAAGATTGAAGTCGTGATCAACTCAGTATACCACTGGAGGCTATATGAGTAAGCAGCAAACTGTTTCTCATAAATGCAGAATGTTGGCAAACTGACAAACTGTGTCTGCCACCCAGATGGACTGCTGAAGGCAGTCATGACCCAGGCACAAGTGTTTCTTATGATTGGGCATAATTGAAGCCTCTTAGTAATATGAGAACCTGCGATCAATTAAGCAGCTGACCAATTGTTACCTCCTCCTCCCTGCTCATTCTACCCAATAAATAAGAAGGGCTGTGGAAGCTCGAGGGGCCTTTGCTCACTAGAAGCACTGAGCCCTCTTCTTCCCCTGCTCCTTCCTTTAAAATAGTTCTTTTGTTTTTTGTTATCATTTCTATGTTCGTCCTCCTTCATTCAGTCTTCTAATGACAGTCTCAGGCAGTATCAGTAGTAACTGCTGTAATGATGGTCTCAAGTAGTAGCAGTGGCAGTCAGCCACAAAGTTTTATTTCAATTTTTTCATGCAAACTTATTAAATGTCACAAACTGTCTAAAACATTAAATGCAAAGTAAGACGTAGTTCCAGCTATTGGGAAATGTATAGTCTAAAAGTTTGACATTCATATTAGCAAAATTTCTGTTGACTTCAAGAGGATGTTGTCTTGCACAAAAGTTTTTTTCTTACTGTTTTAGTCTATTTTCTGTTATTACTGAATACCACAGACTGAGTGATTTATAAAGAATAGAAGTTTATTTAGCTGATAGCTCTGTAGTTTGGGAAATCTAAGGTCAACAGGCTGGCATCTAGTGAGGGCCTTATTGCATCATAACATGGCAGAGAAGATCACATGGCAAGAGAGCAAGAGTATGCAAAAGTGGCATGGATAGTGAGCTGAGCTCGCTTTCAAACAACCCACTATTGTATAAACTAACTCACTCCCATCAGAACTAAGTCATTCTGACAATAATGATATTGAACCACTCAAAAGGGCTCTGCCCTCATACCCCCATCACGTCTAAAAGGTCCCATATTACATTGGCAATTAACTTTCCAACTTATAAACTTTTGGGGGAAATATTAAAACCATAATATTACACATTTGGCCCCCAAAATTTATGTCCCTCTCACAGTGCAAAATACACTTACTCCATCTCAATAGCCCCAAAAGTCTTAACTTGCTCCACTGCCAGCTCAAAAGTGCAGTCCCCTCTGAGACTGAAGGAACAATTCGTCCTGAGGTAAATTTATTCCAGCTGTGAGCCTTTGAAATTAAAACAAGTTATCTATGACCAAAATGACAAGACTGGCCTAGGACAAACACTCCCATTTAAGAAGCAGGGGATAGACAAAAAGAAAAAAGTAACTGCCCCCAGGTAAGTCCACAACCCAATGAGAAAAACAACATTAGGTCTTAAAGTTCCGGAATAATTTTGCTTGATTCCATGTCCTGCTTCCTGCATACTTTAAAGTGGGGCTTGGGCCCCCATGCCTCAGGTATTCTTATTTCTATGGCTCCTATGGCTTTGCTGGGCTTATCTCATGCTTCAGCTCTCCTGTGCTGGCATTGCATACTGGAAACTTTACAGTTATGGTGCCTCCGTGATGGTTCTACACCCACAGCTCCACTAGGCATTGTTCTAGTAGAGGTTCTCTGTGGTGGCTCCATCCCTGCAACGTCCTGCCTCAGCTTCCAAGCTGTTCACTACATCTCTTGAACTTTAAGTGGTGGAAGCAATGGCACCACAGTTCATGCATTCTGTGAGCCTGCAGAATTAGCACCACATGTATGCTTTTAAGGTTCATAATTTGTACCTTCTGCAGTGGCAGGTTGAGCTGCACCTGGGCCCATGTGAGCCATGGATGGGATGGCTGAGGAGGACTGCATTGGAATTCGGGAACAGAGTCCAAAGAGGGCCCTGGGCAGTGAGCCTGTGGAGATCACCCAGGGCCTGTCACCTGACACTATTCTGCCCTCTTAGATCTCTGAGCCTGCCATGAGATGGGCAGCCTCAAAAATGTCTGAAATGCTTTTGGGATCTTATTCTCCCATTGTCCTGATGAATAGCACCTAGCTCCCTTCTATTCATACTAATACTCCCTCCAAAGGGTCACTTGGCCACACTGTTACATATTTTTTTGTTCTTTACATGGCTGGGCTGCAAATTTTTAAAATCTCTTTGAATTGCTTTAATTATAAATTCTGTTTTAATATAATTTCTTTCCTCTAGCATCTTACTATTAGGAATTAAAAGTAGCCAGGCAGAACCTGAATGCTTTATTGTTTAGATGTTTCTTCTGGGAGGTATCCTAGTTTATCAACCATGAAGGCCTTTGGTGCAAAAACAGTTCAGTCAAGTTCTTTGCTACTTTATAGCAAGGATGGCCTTTACTTCAGTTTTCAGTATGATATTCCTCATTTCTGTCTAAGACCTAATCAGAATGGCCTTTACTGTTCATTTTCTATCAACACTCTGATTACAAGCACTTAAGTCATCTCTAAAAATGTCTAGACTTTCCCTAGCCTTTTCTTCTGAGTTTTTCACCAGAATTGGCCATAATGCTGCATTCATGGCAAGACAGGCTTTTGTAGCCTAGGCCTCCAAATTCTTCAAGCCTCTGCCCATTACCCAGTTCCAAGACCCCTTCCACATTTTCAGATGTCATAACAATGGCTTCCCTTCACAGGACCAAGTTTTTCTCTTAGTCTGTACTATGCTTGATGTAGTTTGGATATCTGTCCCCACCTAAATCTCATGTTGAATTGTAATCTCCAATGTTGGAGGTGGGGCCAGATGGGAGGTATTTGAATCATGGGGGCAAATCCTTCATATATTGCTTGGGCCATCCCTTTGGTGATAAGTGAGCTCTCACTCAGTTCACATGAGATCTGGTCATTGAAAAGTGTGTGGCACCTTCTAACTCACTCTCTCATGCTCCTGGTCTTGCCATGTGATATGCTTGCTTCCCCTTTGCCTTCTACCATGAATGGAAGCCTCCTGAGGCCTCCCCAGGAGCAGATGCTGCTTTTATTCCTGAATAGCTTCAGAACTGTGAGCCAATAAAACCTCTTTTCTTATAAATTACTCAGTGCCAGGTATTTTTTTATAGCAGTGCAAGAATTGCCTAATATAGAAAATTGATACTGATGAGTAAGGCATTGCTATAAAGATACCTAACAATGTGGAAGCCACTTTGGAATTGGGTAATGGGGAGAGGTTGGAAGAGTTTGGAGGGCTTAGAAGAAGACAGGAAGATGAGAGAGAGTTGGGAATTTCCTAGAGACTGCTCAAATGATTGTGATCAAAATGCTAATAGTGATAGGAACAGTGAAGTCCAGGCTGCCAAGGTCTCAGATGGAAATGAGGATCTTATTGGGAAATGGAGCAAATGTCATACATGTTATACCTTAGCAAAGAGCTTGGCTGCATTCTGTTCATGCCCTAGGGATCTGTGGAAGTTTGAACCTCATAGAGAAGATTTATGGTATCTGGTGGAAAAAAATGTCTAAGCAGCAAAGTGTTCCAGATGTGGCCTGTTTCTAACAGCCCGTGCTCAGATGCAGAAGCAAAGGAATTACTTAAAGTTGGAACATATGCTTAAGAAGGAAGCAGAGCATAAAAGTTTGAAAAGTTTGCAGACCGGCCATGTGACAAGAAAATAAAAAGCTACTTCTGGAGATGAATTCAAACAGGCTGTGGAGCAGCCACTTGTTAGAGATATTTGCATAACTAAAGGGAGCCAAGTGCTGACAGCCAAGACAATATGATAAAGACCTGAAGTATATTTCAAAGACCTTTGTGGCAGACCCTCCCATTACAAGCCTGGAGGCCAAGGAGGGAAGAATGATTTCATGAGCCAGACCGAGGGCCCTGCTGCTCTGTGCAGCCTTGGGATACTGGTTACCACATCCTGGCTGCTCCAGCTCTAGCTGGGGCTTAAAGGGGTCCAGATACAGCTCAGGCTGTCACTTTGGAGAATGCAAACCATAATCTTTGGTGGTTTCCAGGTGGCTTTAAGTCTGTAGGTGCACAGAATGCAAGAGTGAAGAATGCTTTGCAGCCTCAGCTTATATTTCAGAGAATGTATGGAAAAGCCTGTGTGCCTAGGCAGATGCCTGATGCAGACAGAGGTAGAGCCCCCACAGAGAACCTCTATTAGGGAAGTTTAGTGGGGAAATGTGGGGTTGGAGCCCCTACACAGAGTCCCCAGTGGGGCACTGCCTAGTGGAGTTCTGAGAAAGGAGCCACCGCCCCCCAGACCCAAGAATTATAGATCTACTAGTGGTGTGCGCCCTGCACTTGGAAAAGCTACAGGCACTCAAGAACCTATGGGAGCAGTCTCAGGGGCCAAACCCTGCAATGCCCTAGGCAGGGAGATGCACAAGGCCTTGGGAGCCCACCCCTTACACCAGTGTGTCCTGAGTGTAGGACATGGAGTTATAAAATAATATTTTTGAGGTTTAAGATTTAATGACTGCCCTCCTGGGTTTCAAACTTGCATGGAGCTTTTGTTACCCAATGCCTACACCACAACTTTATCTTAGAAGTAACTAACTTATTTTTTCATTTTACAGTCTCATAGGTGGAAGGGATTTGCCTTGTCTCAGATGGGACTTTGAACCCTGGAATTTTGAGTTAATGCTAGAATGAGTTAAGACTTTGGGGGATTATTGGGAAGCCATGATTGTATTTTGCCATGTGAGAAGGACATGAGATTTGGGAGAGGCAAGGGGCAACATGATTCAGTTTCAGTATTTGTGCCCATCCAAATCTCACGTTGAATTACAATCACCAGTGTTGGAGGTGGGGCCTGGTGGAAGGTGCTTGGATTATGGGGGCCAATCCCTCATGAATGGCTTGGGCCATCTACTTGGTGATAAGTGAGCTCTACCTCTGTGTTCACATGAGATCTGGTCATTTAAAAGTGTGTGGCACCTCCCTCTCTCTTGTTTCTTCTTTCTCCATATGATGTACTTGTTACCCCTTTGCCTTCTGCCATGATTGGAAGCTTCCTAAGGCCTCCCCATAAACAGATGCCACTATGCTTCCTTTAGCCTTCAGAACCATGAGCCAATAAAACCTCTCTTCTTATAATTTACCTAATCTCAGGTATTTCTTATAGCAGTACAAGAACAGTCTATTTCACTGCTACTGTAACAGAATATCACATGCTGGGTAATTTTAAAAGAAGAGAAATTTATTTCTTACCATTCTAGAGCCTGGGATGTTCAAGGTACACCAGATATGGTGAGGATCTTTTTACTAGATCAAAACATGGTAAGAGGGCAAGAATGTGTAAAAGGGACTGCAATAGCAAGCCAAACTAACTTTTATAACAACCTGTTCCTGTGTGAACTAATTAATTCCCATGAGAACTAACTCGCTCCCAAGAGGACTAAATCACTCCTGCAAGAACTAACTTTCAGGATAACAGCATTAATCCATTTTTGAGGACTCTGTTCTCATGATACTTACCACAAGGGCACCACTTCTTAACACTGTTACTTTGACAATTCAGTTTCCAACACATGAACTTCTGGGAGACATATTCACACCACAGCAAGTGCCAACTCTTGCCATTCTATTCAACATAGACTCTAGAAGTCTCAGCCAGAGAAAATTAAGCAAGTAAAGGAAATAGAAGTCATCCAAATTGGAAAGAAAGAAGTAAAGTTGTCTCTGATTACAAAAGATTTTCTTATATCTAGGAAATTTTGCAGACTTTACCAAAAAGCTTTGAGAACTAATAAGTAATTTACTTAAGTGATGGGATACTAAATCCAAATACTAAAATCAGTTGCATTTCTATGTGATAATAGTGAAATATCCAAAAAATTAGATTAAGAAAGCAATCTCATTCACAATAGAATCCAAAAACATAAAATGCTTAGGAATAAATTTAACCAAGGACATGAAAGATCTATTCACAAAAGCTATAAGACATTGATGTTGGAAATTTTAAAAAACACAAAGAAATTTAATGATATTCCATATTTATAGGCCAAAAGTATCAATGCTAAAACGTCCATATTACCTAATGCAATATACAAATTTAACACAATCTCTACTAAAATTTCAATCGCATATTTCATAGATACAGAAAAAAGTTCTAAAATGTGTATCTTGAGCAAAAAAATAAAAAATTAAAAAAAAACAAAGCTGGAAGCATCACACTTGCTAATTTTAAATTATATTACAAAGCTATAGTAATTCAAACAGTATGGTATTGGCATAAAAACAGACACATAGACCAATTAAATAGAATGTAAGGACCAGAAAATATACTTATTCAGATACAGTCAACTAATCTTCAACAAAGGTGTCAAGAATATAACAAGAACACAAAATGAAAGAACAGTCTTTTCAATAAACTGGGAAAACTGGAAATCTACAGGTAAAAAGTAAAATAGAATTAGATCCTTACCTTAACACCATGCACAAAATGAACTCAAAATGGACTAAAGACTTAAAAATAAGACTTAAAATTGTAAAGCTCCTAGAAGAAAACATAGACAAAGAGCTCCATGACTTTGGTCTTTGCAGTGTTTTTTGGGTTGTTTTTTTTTTGTGGATATGACACCAAAATTCTAGGCAACAAGAGCAAAAACAAACAAGTGAAACTACATCAAACTAAGAAGTTTCTGCACATAAAATAAAATGCTCAACAAAATGACAAGACAACCTACAGAATGAGAGAAAATGTTTGCAAACCACACATCTGAGAAGCAGTTAACATCCAAAAAAATAAGTAACTCACACAACTTAATTGTAAAAGGATGACCTGATTTTAAAATGGGTGATATCCTGAATAAATATTTTTCAAATAAGACATACAAATGACCAACAAGTATACAAAAAGAAGCTCAACGGCACTAATCATCAGGGAAATAAAAATGTAAACAGTGAGTTATCACCTCACACCTCTTAAGATCACTATTATTAAAAAGTCAAAAGATTACACATGTTGGTGAAGATATGAAGAAAAAGGAACCTGTATTCATTGTTGATAGGAATGTAAATTGATGCTATAGGCATTATGAAAAATATGGAATTTTCTCAAAAAATTGAAAATCAAATTATATTAAATCATCAATCCCACTTATGGGTATTTATCCAGAGAATAAAATAATTATCTTGAAAAGATATCTGCACTCCCATGTTCATTGTAGCATTATTCATCATACCCAAAATTTGGAAACAATCTGTGTCCATTGATGGATGAATGATCTTTTAAAATGTGATATACACACACACACATACATTGAAATACTATTCAGCCTTCAGAAGAAGGAAATCCTGCTATTTGCAACAACATGTCTGCCCCTGGAAGACATTATGCTAAGTAAAATAAGCCAGACACAGAGAGACAAATACTGTATGATCTTGTTTATATATGAAATCTACAGAAGTCAAATGCACAGAAACAGAAAGTAGAAGAATGCTTGCTAGGGTTAGGCCATGGGGAAAATGGAGAGATGTCGGTTAAAATGTACAAACTTTCAGTTATACAATGAGTAAGTTCTGGAGACATAATGATCAGTACGGTGTCTATAGTTAATAACAATGTTTTAGATAATTGAAATTTGCTAATGGAATACATCTTCAATGAGGTCACCATAAAAAATGGTAACTATGTGAAATGACAATTATGTTAATTAGCTCAATAGTGCTCATTCTTTCACAATATATACATATATCAAATCATCATAGTGCATACCTTAAATATATATGTATATATAACTTTCATCAATTATCACTCAAAAATAAAAGAGTACTGAGCAGGAAAAATGCTATTCAGATTTTTAATGTTTTATTTTATTATTGTTATTATTATTATTTAAGACATGGTCTCATTCAGTCACTCAGGCTGAAGTTCAGTGGCACAATCATGACTCACTTCAGCCTCAACCTTCTCAGGCTTAGGTGATCCTCCCACCTCAGCCTCCCAAGAAGCTGGGACTACAGGCACATGCTACCATGCCTGGCTAATTTTTGTATTTTTTTGTAGAGATGAGGTTTCACCATGTTGCCCAGGCTGGTCTCAAACTTCTGGGCTCAAGCAATCCTCCTGCCTTGGCCTCCTAAAGCGCTGGGATTATGGGCGTGAGCCACCACACCCAGCTATTCAAAGTTTTTTTTTTTTTTTTTAATGAAAATGTTACTTTAATTGGATTGCACGTTTAGATAAACAGTAAAATATATAATTCTAAAATATGAATGTATAACCTGAATATAAAAACGGTTACTTTATGAGTTCAGACAAAAGCAGTTAAAGTTTAAAAGGAATTAGTAGAGAAAACTGGAATTTTAAATTTTAAATTTTAAATAATTTAGATTATTGTTTATACATTTTCCTTTAAATGACATAACCATTGAATTTCGCTTTTGATATCCAATATACAACTAGACTGTAATGGAAAAGAGCATTAGCTGTAGAATAGTCTGAGTTCAACCAGCTGGGTGAAATGTAAAAGGCCCTCAAATTCTCTGTCTTAGCCTGTTTGGGCTGCTGTAACAAAATTCAATCAATTGGGTATCTTACGAACAACAGAAATTTATTGTCATAGTTCTGAAGCCTGGGAATTCCAAGATCAAGGCAGACTCAATGTCTGTTGAGGCCCTGCTTTCTACCTTCTAAAGGGCACCTTCTGGCTGCATCTTCAAGATGGTGAAGGAACAAGGCAACTCTCTGGGGTCTCTTTTATAAGAGCATTAATTCTGTTTATGAGAGCTGCTTCCTCACGACCTAATCACCTCACAAAGGCTCTACCTGCTAATACCATCACACAGGTGATCAGGTTTCAATATATGAATTTTGAAGGGACACAAACATTCATACAATAGCTCTATGCTTTGGTGTCCTTCCCCTTAACATTAAATGATAAGTGGTAACCAGTACTATGACCTACCTCATTGATTTGTGGTAAAGATGAAATATGTTACTTCATGTAAGATATTTAGATTAGTGCCTGAGCACTCAGTGAGTACACAATGAAAATAGTTATATATACAGACATACATACATATACATACACAAGTAATATAGTAAAAAGAACAGAAAATACTCTCTTTGGATTAGGAAGTATATTCATTAATGTATATGTAACTATTATAGTGCCTGGCATAATTATAAGTACTCAACAAATATTCAATAAATACTCAATAAATACAAGTACTCAATAAATATTCACTAATCATCAGGAAATATAATCAAAATCACAATGAGATATCACCTCACTCCAGTTAAATATCCATTATGAGAATGGCAACTGATAACAAGTGTTGATGAGGATGTAGAGATTAAGGATTTCTTATGAGATGGGAGAGTTCCCTTGGCCCTTTCACAGGTGGGAATTTGAGTGCACCAGCTCCGGGTCCACCTGCCCTCTTTGGGGCTGGCAGGCACAAACTTCACTCGCTCAAACCTGATGGGCTCAACCCTTCACACAGGCAAGTGGGTGCCAGGGCTTTGGAAAGTGCTTCTGGGCTCATGCCCCATGGCTGCATCTAGGAGTGCATTACAATTAATGCTTTTTTTTAGCAGTTGACACCCACAGATGGCTAAGTGTTAAACAGCTCAGTGGAGAGTCAGGGTGACAACCTTTTACACGCTCCCTCTTAGTACCCAGGTTCTTGTCCAGCATCCAGGAAGAATCAGGTCACATGGACTTGAAGGATCGTGAATGTGGAGATTTTATTAAGCAGTGGAAGTGGCTCTCAGCAGAAGGGGAGCTGGAAAGGGGATGGTGTGGGAAGAAGGTGATCTTTCCCTGAAGTCCAGCCATCTCCATCTGGGTTCCTCTCTGAAGTCATGCAGTCTGAAGTTAAGCCACATCTATCCATAGTCTCTGATGCACAGTTACTTCTCTTGACATTGAGCTACTTGTCTCTTTGCCAGGTGAAGTCTGGGGTATCTGTGGGCACAGGATGGGGGGCAGGACAGGCCAAAAAAGGCAACATTTTGGTAGAAAACAGAGAAAACTGTTCTCACTTAGGGCTGTGGTTTCCAGGCTTGAGAGTGGGGCCTTTGCTGAGGAACCACCCTCTTCTACCCAGTATTTCCCTGCCTCCTGTCTGTATCACTTACATACTGTCAGTGGGCATATAAATTAGTATGGCCATTATGTACAACAGTATGGAGATAAAAATTACAAATAGAACTACCATATGATCCAGCAATACCATTACTGGGTATATAGCCAAAGGAAATGAAATCAGTATTTTAAGAGATATCAGTATTCCCATGTTTATTCCAGCACTGTTCAAAATAGGCAAGATATGAAAACCACCTAAGTGTCCATTAATTTATGAATGGATAAAGAAAATCTATTATCTATATATAATGGAATACTATTTGGCCATAAAAAATGAAATTCCATCATTAAAGACATCATAGATGAACCTAAAGGATATGTTAAGTGAGATAGACACAGTAAGACACATACTGCATAATCTCACTCATATGTGGAATATAAAAAAGTTGATCACATAGAAGTAGAACAGTGGTTACCAGAGGCTAGGGAGGGGTAGGGAGTGGGGAGATGGGCCGAGGTTGGTCAAAGAGTACAAACCAACAGTTAGACAGAATAAGTTCTGGTGTTCTGTTGTACAGTAGGGTGACTATAGTTAACAATTATGTATTGTATATTTCAAAACAGCTGAAAGAGAATTTTGAATCTTATCACCAAAAGGAAATGATAAGTGTTTGAGGTGACAGATTTACTAATTACTCTAATTTTATCATTATATAATGTATAAATGTTTTGAAACATCACAATGTACCCCATAAATATGTACAAATATTATGTCAATTAAAATTTTTTAACTTAAAGAACATTATTTGTATCTGTTTCTCAGAATCTTACCCAATTCTGCTTTTAAATTTTAGTTTTAAAATTTTATTTAAAAATGCTAAGCTTACTTCTCTGTTGGATCATCCTTTTAAAGCTCATAAAAATGATGCTTACATGGTTTTTTAAGTATTTGACTTTTCACTAGACATTATCTCCATAAAAAGACCCAAAATACACTTGTACCAGAATAATTGTACTTACACAAGATAAATACTATCATATTATCTTGTGGCATTGTGGCATCTCCTATATAGGGCATTTCTTTAATAATATAGATATAAGTAAAATTCAAAATCTTCAAAGCACAAAAATGCTATAAATATTTCATGACAGATTCAGGCTATTAAATCACACTTACGGAGAATTCAGCAATTCACAGACTAGACAGAGGTAATGACACTTGGCATCAAAGTGTCAAAAGATTCACCTGGTAAGAAAAAAATAACCCCATTTTATTTAAGCAGGGGGTCAATGTTCAGCAAGCATTTCTTCCTTGGAAGGGCAATGATTTCAATGCAATTACCCCTCGGCTATCTGAATCCAAAGGTCAGGTTTGACCATTTTCTATTTTTAAATGCACTTACTGGGCCTACCAGCTAAACTGAAATTTGCAATAACTACACAAGTAATTTTGAGTGTTACTTGGAAAGAAGTGAATTATGTGAAACAAAAACTGTAAGTTAACCTGTGAAACGGATAGTCAATAGTAAATATAATGTAGTTGGTGGCTTTGAAATATTAAAGTTTAGAAAATAGTTATCTCTAGTTATTGAGAAGACAAACAGCTTTCATTCTATCAAATCTACCAGAGAACCAGAAAAAAAAAAATACCTTCTCCAAAGTATTCTAAACTTTAAAACAATTCAGGCTGGGCGGAGTGGCTCACACCTGTAATCCCAGCACTTTGGGAGGCCGAGGAGGGCGGATCACAAGTTCAGGAGATGGAGACCATCCTGGCTAACACGGTGAAACCCTGTCTCTACTAAAAATACAAAAAATTAGCTGGCCTGGTGCTGGGCGCCTGTGGTCCCAGCTACTCGGGAGGCTGAGGCAGGAAAATGGTGTGAACCCGGGAGGCAGAGCTTGCAGTGAGCCGAGGTCGTGCCACTGCACTCCAGCCTGGGCAACACAGTGAGACTCTGTCTCAAAAAAAAAAAAAAAAAAAAAAATTCAAAGAACTTTTTGTTTTTCTCTTTGTCTCTCTCTATAATCTTAAACAGATTGCTTAATCATTCTCACAGTTAATTTCTCAGTGCACTCTGTAAATAAATATTTTACAAAGTGCCTATAGTATTAATTCTATAAGATACTTTGGCTACTAGCTTACCTCCATTTTTTGCAACCAATGATTTCATAGGTCCCTCTACTTCAAGTTACAATATAATTAGGCTTCCCAGTGAAACACAAACATCTAACCCAAACTTTTACTTTCCTACAGCTAAAGTTGTCAAGGCTTTTAAATATATATTTTTGGCTGGATTTATTTAAGATTAAATAATACATTATATTAAAATAAATTAATTAAAAACTTAATTTCACTTTATTGAGGTATAATTTATGTTATATTAAATGCAATCATTATAGGTGTATAGGTTGATGGCTTTGGAAAATCGTATACAGTCATCACCAGCAAGATACAGAACTATTTCACCAGCCAGATACAGAAGTGTTTGATTACTCTAAAACATTTCCTCTTTCCCATTTAGTCAAAGAAAGACTCTGGCCAAATGATAGGGGTTTACTAAAGGGTAAAATGGCAGTTCTGCTCTAATGTTTGGCTATTCTGCTATTGCACTTTACATTTATCCTTCTTACGGTGCTTAGGTCAGTGACACTGCTAATGTTGTCTCTCTCTCTCCTCTGAATATCTACTGATGTTGCTATTGCTCAGTTTCTTTACTGCTGGTTTATGTGTGATTAGTCCTTGAGTTTCTTTGGACTGACTGTCCAATGGGTGAAGTGAAGAGGAGGAGAGCTAAGTGGCAACGTCTGACTTTACCATTAACTGATTCCACTACACTCTTGAATATTTCTATACATCTGTTCCATGGTTCACTACTCATCACCAGCCAGCCAGTCTTCTTTGTACTTCTGTATCTTGCTAATTAAATAGTTCTCTATCTTGATGGTGATAATGGTTACATGACTGTAAACAATTCTCCAAATCCATCAACCTATACACTTATAATGAGTGCTAATTCCAGAGGGAAAATAGACTTAGTGATTTAATTAAATATTTCCCACACTATTTGAAAGAACAGCAATTTTAGTTAGCTTAGGTAATATTCTTAAATATTTTCTACCATGTTTTTCTGATAATGATTCTAAGAACTACTTTTTTCCTTCATATCTGAGGCTCCCTATTAATATCATATATCAGGAACATGTCAAAGCAGGCTACCTCAAAAATTACCGTACGGTGTATGGTCTTCCTTTAAGGTAAACTGTCTATTCCCAGTCCGTCCACTGCCCAATTATAGTGTAGGACTGCGTCTCTCAGAAGAGACAGTGTCATGAGCAAAAGTTACTAAATATGTGGACATATTTAACATAATAAATATCCATATGTGCACGCACATACACACACAAACACCATCACCACAGAATGGAGACTGATAGAATTTTGCCTGCTTATTTTAATGCATGGAGAAATGTTCTAAGTGAATGTAGAAACCTAACCTACTGTCCATGACTCAGTTACCTAAGCTAAACATTTTTAACCTTGATATATCTACTCCAAATGGTGAAAATAATGCCTCAAAGAACTAAACCATGTTATATATTCAGTAGTAACATACAATAACCCATCAAAACCTAACTTTGTGCAACTCTGGTAAGAGGATTTGTGGTATGGTTAGAACTCACTAGTGGTCTTGAATATCAATTTTTAATTCCAAGATCTGTAGATTCTTGTCTGAAAATCTTTCAGAGAACCATTCTCAGAAATACAGTTTGAGTAAAGATGGAGTGGGCCCCTGTGTTCTGTTTGTAAAAGTTTTCTAAGTGACTCAAATGTGTAGCCATTTTTGGACTGGCTTAGAAATCATTGTGGTTAGTACGACTCATTTCATTCACTTTTCACCTGATTTGTACTTCCCAAATGGAGCTTACTAAGTCTGGGCATTGTAAATAACAATCACCATAAGTTTAAATAACATAATGAATAAACTACATTTGTCTATTTACTAAAAATTATTAACCTGTCATTTGCTTAATGGTTTTTTACATTATTCTAGGCACTTTATTAAGAGCTTTACTTATATTAGCTGATTTAATTTTTACATAACCCTATGAAAATAAATATTCATTATCTTTAGCTACAGACTGAGAACTGAGGAATAAGAGGTAAAATAATTTCCCTAAGGTCACATAGCTAGGGTAAGGCAGGGCCAGGCAGTCTGACTCTAGGGCTCATACTCATGAGAAGCTGCTGCCTCTATTTTATACATACTCATTACCAATGTTACATATCAAACAATTAACTTAGGCACAGAGGCAATTAATTGTACTATATACAATTCAGAAGCAGTCTTGTTTAATCACAAAGCAAATCCCTCCTCACTGAAGGATTAATAAACACATCTAGTCAGTGTGGTTAGAAGTGAAGTTTCTGTCCAAGGTTCTGGACCTTTCCATTTCTTTTCCTTCTGTGACTTGTATCGTCTGCTTATTGGGCCACATGATAACTTTTGATGTCAACAGGAGCTTTCAGATCTCCTGCTTACCACCAGATTATTAGAGGGTAATATTTATAATCCTTAAATAAAAGTTTCTACCACTATAGCAATTACTGTTTTATTGCCTGCAAGGTTATTTTTGATTAGGATCTGTAGGTAAAGCACTAAAAAAATCACCCTTCTGTGGTCAGTCCTACTAACCATAAAGACTTCCCAGGCCAGCACTATGCAAAAATGCCCACAAATATGAGTCTCTTAAAAAAACTTTTAAAATTGAGCAGGAAAATTGCTGAATTTTCCTGAAAAACTGATAAAAATAAAATATCAACTTTGTTATTAAGCAACTTTAATAGCAAAAATGATCTCTGAAGGCCGGGTGCGGTGGCTCATGCCTGTAATCCCAGCACTTTGGGAGGCCGAGGCGGGCAGATCACAAGGTCAGGAGTTCCGGACTAGCCTGGCCAATATGGTGAAACCCTGTCTCTATTAAAAATACAAAAATTAGCCAAGCGTGGTGGCGGGCGCCTGTAGTCCCAGCTACTTGGGAGGCTGAGGCAGGAGAATTGCTTGATACCAGAAGGCAGAGTTTGCAGTGAGCCGAGATCACGCCACTGCACTCCAGCCTGGGCAACAAGAGCAAAACTCCGTCTCAAAAAAAAAATAAAATTCTCTGAATGGTAGACTATGTATAAAATGTATGAACTATAAATACTTTTAGAAAGCCGGAACTTAAGGCATGTCCTGATCATCATAATTAGGCATGCCACCTGTCACATGCCTTCTACACCCAGTCTGTATCTGATCTAGAGAACTTCCTGACCCTGAAGGCATTGGAGTTTGTAGCAATTCCTAGTAATCGTCCATCTATGGGAGGGATTTTATTATTTGACCTAAGATTACAGACAGGCTTATTGGAGCACTCCATCAAAATTAGACCCCAAGGGGAATATTTTTTAAAAGAAGAAAACTTTCTTTCCCTTTTAGACATGATTTGTTATATCTAATGGCTTCATTATCTTGCACTATGAATTTATAGCCTAAACTGGAATGGCTTATAATGGCAAGGAAAGGTACAAATGATCATACTAAGAAATTTAAATTGTAGCGTTTCAGAGTTTTTTCAACTTATTTTTATAAACCCTAGAATTCAGTTACCTTTAATAAAGTTTCTTGTTCTCATAGTGAACTCTCAAGGTAAATCCAGAATAAAATATCAAAACAAACTTTGCTCAATTTCACCAAACACAGGTAATAAATTGAAGATAATAAGTCTAGGACTAGGACTGCTGACTTCAGCAAAATTATATTGAGTAGATACAGTTTACTCTGACTTATGAAAACAGCATTTTAAAGGAAAGAAGTCACAAAAAGCACCCTGCTATTTAGAGAACACTGTTGCTTCATAGTGTAAAAAAAAGTCAGATCTGTTCATTCTTACAGTTGGTCTAATTCTATCACTTTGTATATTCACCTAGCCTTAGAAAAGTGTGAAACTATTTGCCTTAGAAATATAATTCAAATTACTAAACAGAATATTTCCCTTTAGCATAAATTAGCTCAATATATGAACTCCATTTTAATAAGTAAATTTGCTCAATATGTAGATCAAACTCCAATGTTAATTAAACTCTTTCTAGAGAACCATTAATAATAAAATTCAAACAGAGTTTAAATTATAATTTATATGAAATTTGATTTCTATTTTAAGAAATTATTTTCTCATAGTAACTTGCATTTTAATTGGAAGGGTAATGATTCTATGTAACCAAAATTTTTAGTTGTGGAATATTCCACTAGGATATATGATCCACTAAAACTTGTAAGTGACAAGTGTAAGTACTCTTAAGTTGAATCAACTAAGAGAGGAGAAGAACAGCCAAAAGTAAAATGAACCAGAGAGGACAGTAGGTTGCCTATTTGTGGAACTCAGAGGGAGAAAAAGAATTAAACTCTTCCTGACCATGAGACACCCTTTAATCAGAGTCAAGAGAATCATTAAATTGCCTAAGGCTGTGGGACATCTTAGTTCCATCCAGAATCTGGGAACAAGTATACCAGTGAAAAATAGAGAAGGAATTATATAAGAATAAGAGAAAGTTGAATGACTCCAGCTTAAACCACAACCTACTTCAGTGACTACTTGTCTAGAAACAGTATTGAAAATGTAAAGGCAAGAGATTTCATTTTAGGGACATTAGTGTTGGGGTGGATGTCAATGTGCTAAATGCATCCTTTAGACAGTTGTCTGGAATACCAAGAAGAGTGGCCCTAAACTGAGGCAATGGCTAGAGGCTAAGAAGGCACATTGGGGAAACAATAAGAGTTTTACTCAGTAGGTCTGAGAGTAGGCCTGGAATTCTGCACATCTAACAAACTCTCAGGTTACCCCACTGTTATCTGTTCATGGAACATATTTTGAATAATAAGGAATTAGAGAATTGGAACAATTACTAGAAATAAAAGTAAAAACTTCTTGGTATTTGATATGGAGTAATACAAAACAGAGAACAATATATAAACTATATTGTGTTAAAACACAGCAAGATCACAGCCCAACAATTTGGTGCAACACAGTTCCGATCACCATAACCTTGTTAGCAATTTCTAGTAGTGTGGAACCCTACACCCAACAAATGCAACACTAGTACAGTAAAAACATCTGCATACATTTTTCCACAAAGTAAACCATTATTGGATAATATATTTCCACACTAAAATTATTTTAATTAATATTAAATCTTTATGGGATTTTGTTAAATTTTTAATTTACCCTGAATATTATCTTTTAACTCCAATAAGAAATATTGCAGACCCTAGATATCTTTGTGAGTTGTTAGGAATATAAATTACAAACTAATATAAAAAGACATTTCAAAGTGAAGGATGTTTTTTCCATTAACCTTCTAAGTAACTTAGGTATGACATGAGATCAATGCATAATGACTAGAGAAGAGATTAGAAGAAAGAAAGGAGCATGAGATTCAATTTCATAATATCTAGCTCAGCCAGATATGTGGTGTAGCAAGAGTATGGATTGAAAAAGAGTGAAGAAATATGGTGACCCAAAAGTAGACAAGTCAGGAGTCTGTGGCATTCATGTATAAATGACAGCCTCATCTATATATTGATAGTTTGCTACATAATATAATGCAGAAAGTGTAATAGCACAAAGAACTAGGAAATGAAGGATGTTCTACAAGTTCTATTATTGCCGCTGTACATAAAAGACTTAACATATCCTTTCAAAGGCCTGCTTGAAAAATTGGTCCATGGCTGGCCTCTGAGAACTTGGATTACGTGAAGAAAGTTTCTTCCCCTTGCTAAAACTGATGACTCACTCACTGTGCCTGAACTCTGTTAAGACAATGTTTATGGTGAACACTAGCAGTTTGGAAATTTGGTAGAGGTTAGGGAGAGGATACATAATCATCAGCTCCTAATAAAAACTTTGAGCACTGACTCTCCTATGAGCTGCCCTTGTAGACAATATTTTACATGTGTCATCGAAACTCATTTATGAATAATTAAATGCATTTTCTGTTATTCTACTGGAGGGAGACTATTTAGAAGCTTATACCTTATTTCCTTAGGACTTTTCCTCATACCCCTTTTCCCTTTGATGATTTAGCCTTGAATCTTTTTGCTGTAAACGATCATATCCATAACAACGACTGTTGCTGAGTTCTGTGAATCCTCCCAAAAAATCACTAAGCCAGGAAATAGTATTGGGGACTCCCAGCATTCATTCATGTCATAAGGCAGAAAATAACTATGGAGAAAAGCCAGGCACTGACTTTGATTCATGCAAATATCCTTCAACATTGCAACTGAAGAAGCACTATTATGCATTTATGTTTAACATGCTTAGAGCTTTTTGACAATCTTCACTTTTCTTATTACAAATATCTGCTTCATTTTCAAAAAGCAGAGCAACCATCTCTTCTATGTACCTGTCCAGTCTTTCTAGCTTCTTTTTTTTCCACCAGTAAGATGATTCATCTACCATTTCAGCAGCAGCAGCAGATTCCACACTGAAACCACTGCCTACCTTTTTACCATCTTACACCATGAACATCTCATTTCTAAGTCACTCAAATCTCATTCCGTAAATCTCAGCTAGTTGGTCTTTTCACTGTCTGCTACTTCTGTCCTCATTGCTTCCTGAAATACTCAGATTTGTTCTTTAAGTAAATCCTTATTAGACACATGCCATATGCTAATGAGATAAAGGCTAAAACCTTAACATGACCTATATTGACCTTCTTTCTATTGCTAAGATGCATCTAATTGCTCCTGTCACAAGATCAATGCACTTTTTTCTCCCTGAAATGTCTTCTCCCCATTTTAATATTTAAATTTATTTCTTCCATATCACAGGTCAATAGGAAGCCTGCCTTGTTATTTGCTGTCAGTACAATGGACATTCTTCTACATGGAGCTCATTACACTTGTGACTGGCATTAATTATATATATATATAGAGAGAGAGTATATAATAATATATATAATGAATATATATTATATATATAAAATTAATAATATACATCTCTATGGGGATAATAAAAACCCTACACAGGCAGAACCTTGTCTGATTATTTGGCATGTATCGCCACAGCATGTTGAATAGTACCTGGAACATATAAACTACTATTTTTGAGTAAAAAAAAAAAATGAATTAATGTAGTCACTGCCCTAAATAATTTAGCAGATAAAGAAGTAAATAAAATATAGTCTTTCCATAAGGAAATTCTACCTAAGAGATGAAATAAGTAATTACGCCACTGAAACACAAAGCAGACAGTTATGTATCAATGGAGATAGAAAAAAGTCACCTTTTACAAAACTGACTAATGGAAAGAAATAAAACAATTTAAATGACCACTTTTATAGTTCTTCTCACAGCAACTTTCCTATCCAAAGTTACAGACATCTTAAGCCAATAGTCAAGTATCTTCACTAACCTTCTAGCTTCCATTCTTGCCTTGCACCTCTGCAAAATTTTCACCCAAAGTTTAGTAAAGAAAATTGTAATAAAATATAATTCTAATGTGTTACCTTCTTGCTTAAAACAACAGCTTTGTGAGACAGGAAATAAGTTTGTGTGCCTACTCTGAGTAGGTGAGAATGAAGATGGATAACACAGTCTCACATTCATGCATTGTTACATGCTCATCTCCACAGATGCTGGCATTCTGTCAATAACAAGGACAAGAGCAACAAGAGCAGAATTTATGGCCCCTTTCAAGTTTTGTTGTACCAGGAGAGTTTCTGTACTCCAACAATTCTTAACTAGCTCTTAAAATAAATAAAATGTCCTAGAGGTAAATGCTGACTCTATTCTCATGGTGCTTGCAACACAAACTACCTCCAACACAAACTACATTTTTATGAGGACGAATACAATGTAATATAGTCTAAAGAATAATGGAGTAAACAAAGCTGAGCTTCCAAGTAGTAAGAAGCAGTATGGATGAAGAATATATTAATGCCTTAGCGAATCTGAACCACAGTACTGGGCCACAGTGTCCCAAAACAACAGCTGCTTCTCTGCCCAATAAATCAATGTACCTGCCCCTGAGTGGCACCTCTGTCTTTACTGCAACCTGCCGCTTCCAGTAGTAACTGTTGGAAGACTGGAGAGAGGAGTTAAGTCATCGTGCCTGCTAGCAAGAAGATGACAATGTAGAAGTGACCTGCAAGCCTCTCTTTACTCTTAGGATAAAATATAAGGTATGATTATTACCTATAGGACCTGAGTTATCTGACCATATAGGAATTCACCAGTCCCATGACTCACCACTCACTGGTCATTGTATGCTAGCCTCACTGACTGTTTTCAGCTCCTCCAGAACCATGTTCCTCTCTTACTTAGGGCTTTTTCTCTCACAGAAAACTGTGCCTTCTGCTTAGAAAGCTCCCCCTCCCACCTTCATTTTGTCCATCTAATTTATACCACTGCTTAAGGACTCCAATATAATTCCCCAGAAAAATGCAGCCCAAAGTCTAGAAAAGAGCTGCAGAGTAAAAACACATAAGATACACTGTGCTTCCTTGGTATAGCTGCTAACACAAGCATGATTAATATTTTGTGATTTTTCTTCAATTTTTATCTCTTGCCCTTAATTATAAATTTCATAATATGGTGGACCCTAAAATGTCCATCCTATATTCCTATCAACAAAAATGGTGTCTGGTCCACATTAGACACTTAATAAGTATTTGCTGAAAAAAAATAATTTTGGAGACTCAAAGCATTCTATGTAACAGAGGTAATATAAGCAAAGTTGAGGAAATATACATATGGGTATTTTATGGTGTATATTAAGGGGCATAATAGGAGATAAATTCATAAGGTCATTTAGGGATAAATTGAGGAAGAACTAAACTTTCTTACTAAATACACAGATAGAGTAATCAGTAAAAAATATGTAAATGATTAACTGAAGTCATGTATCAAATGTGGAAGACTGGTTAAAAAGATATAGTCACAGAAGTTTGGGGGAATGAAGATCTCAGGATGGTGGTAATGATCACAGAAATCATTGAATAAACATAAAGAGTGTTGAGAAAGAATAAATAAAGGCTGTTGTGGTTTAGGGAACCTGAAGATAAGGAAAAAGTTAAGAAGAATTTGATGTTTCAAGACTGAATGAACTGAGAAATTTTTGTTTTTGGCTATGATGAAATAATTAGTACCAGAATAGCCCTCCTACAAACTACCATAAAATTAGAAAAATACATACAACTCTTTTCAGGCATCGGACAATAATCAGTGCCATCATATGATCCTTGAGAGACACAAAATGCATGAAGTGAGCCCTATAAATTGCTCCATCTTTCTATTTAGTCAATAGCATGCTGCAGGAGGTATATGATGCTTATGCGGTTTGCATAGTCATTTAGGGACCCAGGAACCTTCCATTCAGTGGTTGAACCATCTTCTAAGGGTCACTTTTTATAAATGTATTATATTTCTTTATTATATGTAATATTATATGTATTTATTACATGTATTATATTTCTTTCTATGATTCCCTAAAGCCCTCGGATTCCAATTCTATTCCATACAAAGTATTGATTGCATTTTTCTGAAAAAGAAAAATCACTAAATCTAAGTAAATCAGAAAAATGTTAACAAGAAAAATTTTTACAGAGTAACTTCTCAACATGCAAATATGGTAAACATGGGCATAAGCACAAAAAACTACAGTTCAAATTTTAATAGTATTCACCTTTAAACCATAAAAGATACAGAGCTGCAATCTATAGTACAAAAACTTGTACACGTTGTAGGAGCAGAGCAATATTTTATTTTACCATATTACAGAGGCTAAAAAGAATCAATTTTATAAAACATAATCACTTTCTTAATGTCTCAAATGTTCTAACTATAAATCCTACAAGGCTAGTAAGATCTGCTACACTAATATAAATGTCCAGATAGCACAGCAATACTTTAACTCACATGGTCCCTTTAATATGAGGTATGATGTCTGTGAACAGAAGGCCAATTAAAGATGAAAAGTTAGGAAGCATTTTTCCAACCTCATGAACTAGGACAGGCCTAGTATACTCTATTGCCAGTTGGTACATAAAGCTACCAGAGACCTTATAAAACAAATGTAATTTTTCTGACTTAATTCATAGGAAACTATTCCTATAGGAGGGCTCAATATTTCTCACTAGGTTTTTGTTTTTTATAGTAGTTATTTCAAGCAGCTTTTTCCTAGCTATAGGAGATAATCCAAAATTTATGAGGTTCATTTGGCAAACTAAGCCACAGTTTTCTAATTAATCAGAAATTTTTAATCTTTCTGAGTGTTGGTCATAATCAAATGGGATGATACCAACCACTGTATCCAAATTCTCTTTCACCTGCCTATTCTTATCCCTGGCTCTTGGAGAGGATACCGAGTAGACATTCCTGGCAAATGAACATCTAACAGGTCATTAAATACAAGTCCTTCTGCTTTGATTTCAATTGAGGCAAAAATATGATGCATATCAAATATGGAAACGAATGTGAGACAGATGCTCACATGTAAAATTCAGTAAGAAAATGCCACAGCAATAATTCTTGAACTCCTCAAGCAAATCAAAGATAATAAACTAGGTCAAGGTGTGGAGAGAATGAATTCGTGGAGAGTTGCTGGCATGCTGGAAATCCCCTTCTCCCAAGGAGGAAGGGACGGGAGTGGGAGGTGCTTTCTCTTCCACCTAAAGTCTTATAATGAGCATTTCCATTGTAGTACTCTCAGATCTTAGAATGTCAATTCTGTAAAGCTTGAAGTTACAAAGAATGCCTCAGTGTCTTAAAGTGGCTTGCAACAGCAGAATAAATGTGGCTGTGTTAACACTGGCCTTTATATCCAGAGACTTCAGGCCCAAGATACTGAGCTATACTGGACAGACAGAAAGCAAGGCTGGAGCTATTTTAAGTCCAAGTGAACCTCCTGGAAAAGACAGCAAACACCAATAGCTTCTTCATGGTGTTGATTACTGGAGAAAAAACAGAAGCTAAAAGAAGAGCAGTAAATTGGGTAATGGATTGTACTGCACATACCATGATATATTGAGAGATAGAGCTGGATAAGTCCTCAATTACAGAAATCTTAAAACAAAGCCACACCCAAACACACTCAAGCAACCAGGAGGAAAAAATTCAGCCTGGAACACTTAACCAGGCCCAGAAAGCATGAAGTCAGCTTATGAGGGTACCAGACATCTCCCAAGGAAGACATTTCTCTGTCTTATGTCATTTCCTCTTTTGTCCCCACCCATTTTCATTTGATGAAGATAGTGAGTGATAGAAGTGAAGCAGGAAGAGGGATGTTCTTAGTCTATTCAGTCTACTATAACAAAACACTATAGACTAGACAGCTTACAAACAAAGGAAATTTATTTCTTACAGGTTGCTGGAGGCTGGAATGTCCAAGATTAAAGCACAGGCAGATTCAGTGTTTTGTAAGGGCCTACTTCTGGTTCATAGAACAGCACATTCTCACTGTGTCTCCACAGAGTGGAAGGAGTTGAAGGTCTTTCTGAGGCATCTTTTACAAGGCACCAATTCCATTCATGAGAGCTTTGCCCTCCTGGCCTTATCACCTCCCAAAGGCCCTACCTCCTGATAGCATCATCTTGGGGGTTCAGGTTTCAACATATGAATTTTGAGGGGACATGAATATTCAGACTACAGGGAGGAAAAACAGCGAAGAAGCTGAGCATATCATCTTCCTCTTACAAAAGTTCTCATCTGCTAAAGGTCTTAGCTAAGGAAAAGAAAAGCTGTCAACAACTGACTTCCTGTAGAGAGGAAAAGAGTCATAATCTTCATTGCAGATTAAAATATTGAATATTTTATGGACTGAGATATTTACTTAAAGAATTTACACTGTATTTGTGACTTAAAAGGACCTGAGCCATAAGATTGTTGTTACCAGAGAAGAACAAGAAATTTCTTGGGCCTGCCAGGATTTCCTACCCCTCTGTATAAGTTTTCATTGACATGGAAGATAAAAATAAGATTGTGCTTTGACTACATGAATCACATAGTTAACCATCCAAACAAAAGACAATATTTATGGTTAAAAAGAACCTGACCCCAAATGAATCTGGGGACCCCATAGTTCTGACAAGTGAATAAACCACCTATAAATCATAGAGCTTCTTCTTCTTGTTAAAAGCTGGCCAAAGCCACCAAGTCCTTAAACCTGCAATACTCTTTGATTATCAATATTCCATCTTCCTAATGGATATAACATATCAAGGACTAAAAACAGCTTCTACCAAAATCATAAAGCTTCTGATCTGTTTTTCAAATCCAACCATTTCCAGAGCACGTGGGAAATATTTGCAATGCCTTCATTCCCAGGAAATATTCACAAGATGGTCTTATTGAAACAATTAATTGAAAAATAATGTTCCAAAGAAATAAGTCATAGAACCACCAAATGGTCACCAACTGGATGAAACAAATTTTAATCTCTTCCAGCATTTAACAAAAAGCTTAACTCCTAATACTGTTAATCAATAATATTCATGACCTTAATTCATAATGGCACTCCTCTCAAGGTTTACAGTGAAAGTGGTGTGGGATGAATTCCCTTAAAAGGTATTTAAATAACATATGTCTTCTAAACCATTGCTTAGCAGAAGAGATAAGCACTTCAACAGCAACTAGATGTGGCCTATGTCTCCATTTCACTAAATTAAATAAACAGCAACACATTAGATTTTATTAAAATCAGGTAGAAGTTCAAGAGAGCTCAAAACCTGAAATTGAAAGTAAATATAGGGATCTTTATTACATACAACTTTCCTCCAAAGGCTTCTTTGTCATTTATGTCTTATATGTAAATGTATTTTTTTTTTTTTTTTGTAGAGACAGGGGTCTCATTCTATCCCCCATGCTGGTCTCAAACTCCTGGCCTCAAGCAATCTTCCTACCTTGGCTTCCCAAAGCACTGGATTACAGGTGTGAGCCTCCACACCTGGCCATTAAATGTAAATTCTTAAGAGTACAAGGAGCCATCAATTTTATTTATTTTTATTTATCAATTTTATTTATTTTTTAAATAAAATTAATGGTCCCTTGTAGTATTGGGTAATTTATTTTCTAATAAATTACTCCTTGTATTCCTGACTTATTTATTTTCTAATACCTGGTCCAAAATTCAAAAAGCAATGAGCTTAAGAAACTGGTTTTGAACACAAAGTCTTCATGGCTACAGACAATGTCCCAGCATTTTTGCAGTTCTGAGAACATCTCTCCTAATTATTCTGAACAGTGAGACAGCCAATTCCAAGCAAGTAGATTCACTAAGTTAACCGAAGCATGCAAGAAGAACAGATAACTCTACTGTCATTATGAGATTGTACATTTCTTAGAACCAGAAATTCATTGTGACATGATGTCAAATAAGTTTGGAATTCTCCCCATTTAATAACCCTCCCCGACCACCCCCAGCCCCTTAACCCCCCTTCCCCTGCCAATATAGGAAGTTAGTCTCTGATTTGTAGACACTATGATATCAAATATAAGGAAGAGAATACTTTAAAGGTATGATAAATAATCACTAATAACCCAGTGCCTGAAATTAAAGAAAATAAGGGTCAAGGCCACTGAGGAATTTCACGCAAATAGAAAATACCATTGTAAACTTTGTTGCCATCACCCATCAGACTGATTAGACAATGCCATTTCATTGGTTCTAGTCTCATAAATTATAACCTGTAAGGATTTCTGGTCTATAAATATCTTCTTTACCCATCTGCTAACTCTCTAGAATTAGACTCTTAAGGATCCATAGTTTGGCTTAAGAAAGTGTTACTTAGCCCAGGCTGTACATTAGGATCACCCAAGGAGCTTAAATAAATATATCACCTAAATATTCTCCAAACTGTATTCTCAAGTTAATGATTGAATTGATTTAGGGTAGAGCCCAGGCAAGGTTTTTGGGTTTGTTTTTTTTTTCATTGCTTTTTTTGTTTGTTTTTTAAGACTTGAGATGGGGCTGATTTGGGCACATGGAGTTCTTATGTAGGAAGGTGAAATTGCATCTGGTCCCCTGTATGTTAGAGCAGATAAAGGTTATATTGATAGGCACGTTCTAGATGTATGGAGGAGAAAGGCACAGAAAGAACAAGACAGAAATTTAAATTACTCACTGCAGTATTTTGTTGAGAATCAATTCGGATTGGTCATCATGGCTTAATGAGAGTGCAAAAGCCTGATGAAGAGTAGATGGACTTGGAAAAATTTGATCCAAGGTGAATTTTAGAAACTAGCCCTGAAATGCTCTCATGGATAACAACCACAAACATGTCTGACAAGCATTGTCTTTACCATAATTCTTAGCTCGGTAGGTAATTTCTCTGCTTGAGATGGAGGAAAGTTTTCACCAAGACAGTAATTAATTTCACAAAAGTCACTCAGCATTCACTCTTACTCCAACTGGGAAAATAATAAGTTAAATTTAAGTAATGCCTTCTTTTCAAAAAGAACACATATATCCATGTGGAGAAAGATGACAAGAATCACTTCTCTCTCGTAGGCTGATATTGTCACTTACACACAAATTTGACAAAATGAGAAAGAGTTTATAGCAGATCCCACTTCTACATCTCAATTTCAAAAGTTATGGAACTACTAAATGAGATTTAAAACCTTTTCAGAGTGCTATAAATGTTTGAGGAGTAATGACTTATTTTTAAAATGTAGCAAAACTAACTGCTCTCACAACAAAAAGAAAATAATACAGGCTTTCTAAAATACTACAATCAGGTTTGTTCAAAAACAGGACCATTTGAGTAATAAATTCTAAAATAAAAGAATTTTTTAAATCCAAATGCAAATCTTTTACTCCTCTGTAATTTATTTTATTGGGATGCCAGTAAAATATCATGTGTTATTTGCAATTTGCAAGCAGGAATTCTTCACTCACCAGAGCATATCAGTGTTGTCTGGGCACTTAAAGCAACCAGGTATGTTTTATGGCATTGCACCAACGCCAGGAGATTATGACGGTAACAAGTTACAAATTAAACAGCTCTGATATAAACATTTTATTTAATTTTTCTTTTTTACAGAAATTAGTTAAGAGAGTTAAATTACTTAGCAACCAAATGGAAAATAAGCAAAAATATAAGATCACGTAACTTTGAGATAATGTTGTTAACAGCCAAGCCTAATGGCTGGGACACACATATTACTGCCCCAAGGTGAGCTGTGAGTCCATCTGCTGCTTCCTATTTGATTTCTTGAAGTGATGCTAACTGCTAATTAACCGTGAAAAGTTGTGCTGTGAACCTTTCACCTGAAGTTCTTCTGAAAGAGTAAAAGTTCTTAAGGTGCATTCAGAGCAATGTATATAGAATCAATTGCCGGTTCAGCAGTGACCTGCTGTCCTGCAGAACAGAGCATCAAGCTGTGATTGTTCAGCTCTTGGGAAAGAAACTTTTTTCACTTTTTACTGCCTGACACAAACACATCCACTGAACTGTTTTGTGTGATTTGGTTTGCTTTTCTAATAGGCCTTAGCTCGTTAGATGATTTGACCCAGGAGCAGAGCAACCTGACTTCTTCTACCCTACATGCAGACAGTGTTAGAGATAGTATATCTTATAACGCAGATCCCAGGCCCCAGAGTCAAAATTTCTTGCTGCTTTTTTTAGCTTCACAAAATAGAAAACTGATTCTCAGCTTTGGCTGCACATTGGAATCACCTGGGGAGCTTTTAAAAATGCTGATGTTTGGGGCCCACCCCAAGAAATTATGATTTAATTGGTATGGGCATTGCCTGGGCATTGGGGAGTTCTGGAAGTTCCCCCTGCTGATTCTAAACAGCCAAGAGTGAGAACTACTGACTTAGGAGGTCCTCATTAGTTCTGATTATCCCTTCCTGAACTCTAACAAGACTGGTTCCTAGCCCCTGGATGCCATCGGGAACTACCAGAGCAACTACCAGAGCACTATGACTCTAAGACCCTCTGAACTGTGATCCCTGTGCTACAGTTCCATACAATCCCTTGTCTGACACATTTTCCCACTCCTCTCATCCCCACATACTCTCTTTACCCTAGGAAATTCCCAGTCTGTCATCAGCAAAATCACCTGAGTCGTCAACAACGCTTGACTATTCTCTCACCTGTTTGCTCTGAAACCTGATTCTCATAAGAAAACCCACTTTTCTTTGGACCTTACTATTTTCTCTCCCACACCCCAAGTACCACTGGTGTAAAAGTCGGGTAGGGTAACGTCACACCAAGTGTCAGGTTCCAGCCCATGCGGAGGACCGAGGGGAGTGGGTGGACAGGTGGCAGATAGCTGAAAGAACACTCGATGGGGCGTGGGCAGGTGAAATATGGCTTTTATTGTGCGCTCTCTCTGTCAGCTTTTGTCTTGGCTGCCTGCTCCAGCTGCAGCCCCTCTTAGCAACCGGCTCTGCGGCTCCTGCCACTCCCACATTTACAGCTGCACTCCCCGGCGCTCTTGCTAGTTCCTGACTCCCGCTGCCTGCCTTCAAGGCAACTGGCTCTCCCTTACAGGGTCGGCAGCTTCATTCTTTCTGGGTGCGAGCCTTGTGCACAGCATTAGCAGGGCAGTTATTACCTTTTTACAGGCAATGGTGGCTCAGATTCAAGTATGAACTTACACAAACAGGTTATATAACAAGTGGAGTTGTGTGCCAGCACTCCAAACGCACTGAGTCACGCTGACCCGGATGTCTGCCTTGGCCTATTCTTCACCAAAACACATCCATTTTCCTTACAGGTAACTTTTGCTTGTCATTGTTTGCACGCTATTGTTGCAGACTTTTCCCTGAAAGTCTCTGGATCCTTGTGAGATTCCTCCTTATTTTAGACATCTAAAAGCTCCAAGACATTCCCTCTCCTTCCTGAAGCTATGGCCCCTATTACTCTTTATATTAATACTCCTAAAATAGTTCTTGAAGATTTCAGCATACTCTTATTTCCTTTAGCTTTTACCTTACTGTGTTAGTCCATTCTTCCACTGCTATAAAAACATACCTAAAACTGGGTAATTTATAAAGTTGTTTAATTGACTCACAGTTCTGCAGGCTTAGGAAGCATAACAGGGAGGTCTCAGGAAACTTACAATTATGGTGGAAGGTGAAGGAAAAGCGCACACGTCTTAACAATGGAGGAGCAGGAGAGAGAGGGAGGGAAAGCCATACTCTTTTAAACCATCAAATCTCGTGAGAACTTACTATCACGAGAACAGCAACGGGGAAACCACCCCCATGATCCAATCACCTTCTACAAGGTCCCTCCCTCCACATGTGGGGATTATAATCCCAGCTGAGGTTTCAGTAGGGACACCGAGTCAAACCATCTCACTTATCAAACAAAATTGCTTATCTGACATCTCACTTATACTACATGCTCCCATGATCATATATTGGAACAGTTTTCAAAGTACAGCCAGAATCATAACCACCTAGTTAAAAATATAGGTTGCTGGATCCACCCCCGAAGTTTAGGAATCAGTAAGTCCAGAGTAGGGCCTGAGAATGTGCATTTCTTAAGTTCCCTGGTGATGCCAATACTGCTGGTTCAGTGACTACACTTTGAGAGCCATCATATTAGAGTCTAGTAACTACAAATCATTATTGTCAATAACTACACTCACTCCACAGTCTGAGTTTCTAATATTCCACTCTCCAAAACTAGGATATTGTTAGATTATCTTTATTGCAACTCCAACAATTTTTTTGCAAACTGACTGAGACCTAGGGTTTATTGACATTTCTCTTTCCTCCATCATCTCTCCCATAATATTTTTTGTATTCTTACCCTCTTTAGACTTCATAGTCCATCATTAGCCTCACTTTCTCTGATAAAAATCAAAATCCACATTTTAATTACTTTTTTGCTCCTAAAATACTTCCTTTATTTGGCTATCGGGATACTTTCTCTCTCTCTCTCTTTCTCTCTCTCCACTCCTACTTACTGTCTGCAACATTTCCACATCTTCTTGAATTTGCATTTTCTCCATACTTCTTTTATGTATCTGCACACACTGTCCATTAATATTATCCAGTTCCGTGGCTTTCAGTATGATCTTTCCCCTGGGACCTAGTCTCTATTTTCAACTGCTAACTTGACATCTGCACTTAAATATCTAACAAAAACTTCATACTTACTGTACTCTAAACAGAAGTCTTGATCTAATTTCATCCCCAAACATGCTCATTTTCATTATTATCTGTCTAATCTCTTGCCTACACTATTGAACTTCTTCTTAGCAGGCTCTCACTTCCACTATTGCCTACTACTCAATATGAATGACAATTTTAAAATGTAAATCAGAACGTGTCTCTGCTATGCTCAAAATCTTCTAGAGGCTTCCATCCCATTCAGAATCAGTGTCTTCACCAATGCCTAAAGAGATGTCACAGAATATCCCTTTCCTGTGCTTTCCTCATCCTTGGTTCCCTCTTGGATTTTTTTCCTATAACTCTCACGCCAAATAAGGCCTTTCCAACAAAATCGATCTTTCTGTCTGAAGAAAATTACTTTTTCACAACCATTGCATTTATTTTATTCCTTCTATCTAGAATGTTATTTCCACAAATATCATCCTGGATCTCTCCCTGTTTTTGTTCAGACTGAAATAGCAAATAATCAGACAGGTCTCCCTCAATTATACCTAAATTAGAATCTCCAGATTATCCTATCCCTCATCTTACCACCCTCTAACCACATTACCCTGTTTTATATTGTCTTTATATTCCTAACACCATATTGATTTCTTTATTTCCTCTCTCTCTCCAATTTAAGTTCCAAGATAGCAGGACATTTTTTATTTATTATTTTATCCTTAGAGCCAAAAACTGCCTGTATCATAGCATGTTTTCAGTAATATTAGATGACGGATAAATAAAAATGTTTAGTTTTCTTGTTTATAAAATGGGAAATAAGACTTCATTGTTATAAAGATTAAATGTATCTATATATACAAAACATTAGCACCAATGCTAGCACATAATAAGTCCTTGATAAAAGTAAAAATAAAAACATGACCAGGGGAGGAGCCAAGATGGCCAAATAGGAACAGCTCAGGTCTACAGCTCCCAGCGTTAGCGACGCAGAAGACGGGTGATTTCTGCATTTCCATCTGAGGTACCGGGTTCATCTCACTAGAGAGTGCCAGACAGTGGGCGCAGGTCCAGTGGGTGCGCGCACCGTGCGCAAGTGGAAGCAAGGCGAGGCATTGCCTCACTTGGGAAGCGCAAGGGGTCAGGGAGTTCCCTTTCCGAGTCAAAGAAAGGGGTGACTGACAGCAACTGGAAAATCAGGTCACTCCCAACCGAATACTGCGCTTTTCCGACGGATTTAAAAAACGGCGCACAACAAGCTTATATCCCGCACCTGGCTCCGAGGGTCCTACGCCCAGGGCGTCTCGCTGATTGCTAGCACAGCAGTCTGAGATCAAACTGCAAGGCGGCAGCGAGGCTGGGGGAGGGGCGCCCGCCATTGCCCAGGCTTGATTAGGTAAACAAAGCAGCTGGGAAGCTCGAACTGGGTGGAACCCACCACAGCTCAAAGAGGTCTGCCTGCCTCTGTAGGCTCCACCTCTGGGGGCAGGGCACAGACAAACAAAAAGACAGCAGTAACTTCTGCAGACTTAAATGTCCCTGTCTGCAGCTTTGAAGAGAGCAGTGGTTCTCCCAGCACACGCAGCTGGAGATCTGAGAACGGGCAGACTGCCTCCTCAAGTGGGTCCCTGACCCGACCCCCGAGCAGCCTAACTGGGAGGCACCCCCCCAGCAGGCGCACAGTGACACCTCACACGGCAGGGTATTGCAACAGACCTGCAGCTGAGGGTCCTGTCTGTTAGAAGGAAAACTAAGAAACAGAAAGGACATCCACACCAAACACCCATCTGTACATCACCATCATCAAAGACCAAAAGTAGATAAAACCACAAAGATGGGGAAAAAGCAGAACAGAAAAACTGGAAACTCTAAAAAGCAGAGTGCCTCTCCTCCTCCAAAGGAACGCAGTTCCTCACCAGCAATGGAACCAAGCTGGATGGAGAATGACTTTGATGAGCTGAGAGAAGAAGGTGTCAGATGATCAAATTACTATGAGCTACGGGAGGACATTCAAACCAAAGGCAAAGAAGTTCAAAACTTTGAAAAAAATTTAGAAGAATGTATAACTAGAATAACCAATACACAGAAGTGATTAAAGGAGCTGATGGAGCTGAAAACCAAGGCTCGAGAACTACATGAAGAATGCAGAAGCCTCAGGAGCCGATGCGATCAACTGGAAGAAAGGGTATCAGCAATGGAAGATGAAATGAATGAAATGAAGCAAGAAGGGAAGTTTAGAGAAAAAAGAATAAAAAGAAATGAGCAAAGCCTCCAAGAAATATGGGACTATGTGAAAAGACCAAATCTACGTCTGATTGGTGTACCTGAAAGTGATGGGGAGAATGGAATCAAGTTGGAAAACACTCTGCAGGATATTATCCAGGAGAACTTCCCCAATCAAGCAAGGCAGGCCAATGTTCAGATTCAGGAAATACAGAGAACGCCACAAAGATACTCCTCAAGAAGAGCAACTCCAAGACACATAATTGTCAGATTAACCAAAGTTGAAGTGAAGGAAAAAATGTTAAGGGCAGCCAGAGAGAAAGGTCAGGTTACCCTCAAAGGGAAGCCCATCAGACTAACAGCGGATCTCTTGGCAGAAACCCTACAAGCCAGAAGAGAGTGGGGGCCAATATTCAACATTCTTAAAGAAAAGAATTTTCAACCCAGAATTTCATATCCAGCCAAACTAAGCTTCATAAGTGAAGGAGAAATAAAATACTTTACAGACAAGCAAATGCTGAGAGATTTTGTCACCACCAGGCCTGTCCTAAAAGAGCTCCTGAAGGAAGTGCTAAATATGGAAAGGAACAACCGGTACCAGGTGCTGCAAAATCATGCCAAAATGTAAAGACCATCGAGACTAGGAAGAAACTGCATCAACTAATGAGCAAAATCACCAGCTAACATCATAATGACAGGATCAAATTCACACATAACAATATTAACTTTAAATGTAAATGGACTAAATGCTCCAATTAAAAGACACAGACTGGCAAATTGGATAAAGAGTCAAGACCCATCAGTGTGCTGTATTCAGGAAACCAATCTCACGTGCAGAGACACACATAGGCTCAAAATAAAAGGATGGAGGAAGATCTACCAAGCAAATGGAAAACAAAAAAAGGCAGGGGTTGCAATCCTAGTCTCTGATAAAACAGACTTTAAACCAACAAAGATCAAAAGAGACAAAGAAGGCCATTACATAATGGGAAAGGGATCAATTCAACAAGAAGAGCTAACTATCCTAAATATATATGCACCCAATACAGGAGCACCCAGATTCATAAAGCAAGTCCTGAGTGACCTACAAAGAGACTTAGACTCCCACACATTAGTAATGGGAGACTTTAACACCCCACTGTCAACATTAGACAGATCAACGAGACAGAAAGTCAACAAGGATACCCAGGAATTGAACTCAGCTCTGCACCAAGTGGACCTAATAGACATCTACAGAACTTTCCACCCCAAATCAACAGAATATACATTTTTTTCAGCACCACACCACACCTATTCCAAAATTGACCACATACTTGGAATAAAGCTCTCCTCAGCAAATGTAAAAGAACAGAAATTATAACAAACTATCTCTCAGACCACAGTGCAATCAAACTAGAACTCAGGATTAAGAATCTCACTCAAAACCGCTCAACTACATGGAAACAGAACAACCTGCTCCTGAATGACTACTGGGTACATAACGAAATGAAGGCAGAAATAAAGATGTTCTTTGAAACCAACGAGAACAAAGACACAACATACCAGAATCTCTGGGACGCATTCAAAGCAGTGTGTAGAGGGAAATTTATACCACTAAATGCCCACAAGAGAAAGCAGGAAAGATCCAAAATTGACACCCTAACATCACAATTAAAAGAACTAGAAAAGCAAGAGCAAACACATTCAAAAGCTAGCAGAAGTCAAGAAATAACTAAAATCAGAGCAGAACTGAAGGAAATAGAGACACAAAAAACCCTTCAAAAAATTAATGAATCCAGGAGCTGGTTTTTTGAAAGGATCAACAAAATTGATAGACTGCTAGCAAGACTAATAAAGAAAGAAAGAGAGAAAAATCAAATAGACGCAATACAAAATGATAAAGGGGATATCACCACCGATCCCACAGAAATACAAACTACCATCAGAGAATACTACAAACACCTCTACGCAAATAAACTAGAAAATCTAGAAGAAATGCATAAATTCCTTGACACATACACTCTCCTAAGACTAAACCAGGAAGAAGTTGAATCACTGAATAGACCAATAACAGGATCTGAAATTGTGGCAATAATCAATAGCTTACCAACTAAAAAGAGTCCAGGACCAGATGGATTCACAGCCGAATTCTACCAGAGGTACAAGGAGGAACTGGTACCATTCCTTCTGAAACTATTCCAATCAATACAAAAAGAGGGAATCCTCCCTAAATCATTTTATGAGGCCAGCATCATTCTGATACCAAAGCCAGGCAGAGACACAACAAACAAAGAGAATTTTAGACCAATATCCTTGATGAACATTGATGCAAAAATCCTCAATAAAATACTGGCAAACCGAATCCAGCAGCACATCAAAAAGCTTACCCACCATGATTAAGTGGGCTTCATCTCTGGGATGCAAGGCTGGTTCAATATATGCAAATCAATAAATGTAATCCAGCATATAAACAGAGCGAAAGACAAAAACCACATGATTATCTCAATAGATGCAGAAAAAGCCTTTGAGAAAATTCAACAACCCTTCATGCTAAAAACTCTCAATAAATTAGGTATTGATGGGATATATTTCAAAATAATAAGAGCTATCTATGACAAACCCACAGCCAATATCATACTGAATGGGCAAAAACTGGAAGCATTCCCTTTGAAAACTGGCACAAGACAGGGATGCCCTCTCTCACCACTCCTATTCAACATAGTGTTGGAAGTTCTGGCCAGGACAATTAGGCAGGAGAAGGAAATAAAGGGTATTCAATTAGGAAAAGAGGAAATCAAATTGTCCCTGTTTGCAGAAGACATGATTGTATATCTAGAAAACCCCATTGTCTCAGCCCAAAATCTCCTTAAGCTGATAAGCAACTTCAGCAAAGTCTCAGGATACAAAATCAATGTACAAAAATCACAAGCATTCTTATACACCAACAACAGACAAACAGAGAGCCAAATCATGAGTGAACTCCCATTCACAATTGCTTCAAAGAGAATAAAATACCTAGGAATCCAACTTACAAGGGATGTGAAGGACCTCTTCAAGGAGAACTACAAACCACTGCTCAATGAAATAAAAGAGGATACAAACAAATGGAAGAACATTCCATGCTCATGGGTAGGAAGAATCAATACCGTGAAAATGGCCATACTGCCCAAGGTAATTTACAGATTCAATGCCATCCCCATCAAGCTACCAATGCCTTTCTTCACAGAATTGGAAAAAAACTACTTTAAAGTTCATATGGAACCAAAAAAGAGCCCGCATCACCAAGTCAATCCTAAGCCAAAAGAACAAACCTGGAGGCATCACACTACCTGACTTCAAACTATACTACAAGGCTACAGTAACCAAAACAGCATGGTACTGGTACCAAAACAGAGATATAGATCAATGGAACAGAACAGAGCCCTCAGAAATAACGCCACATATCTACAACTATCTGATCTTTGACAAACCTGAGAAAAACAAGCAATGGGGAAAGGATTCCCTATTTAATAAATGGTGCTGGGAAAACTGGCTAGCCATATGTAGAAAGCTGAAACTGGATCCCTTCCTTACACCTTATACAAAAATCAATTCAAGATGGATTAAAGACTTAAACGTTAGACCTAAAACCATAAAAACCCTAGAAGAAAACCTAGGCATTACCATTCAGGAGATAGGCATGGGCAAGGACTTCATGTCTAAAACACCAAAAGCAATGGTAACAAAAGCCAAAATTGACAAATGGGATCTAATTAAACTAAAGAGCTTCTGCACAGCAAAAGAAACTACCATCAGAGTAAACAGGCAACCTACAAAATGGGAGAAAATTTTCGCAACCTACTCATCTGACAAAGGGCTAATATCCAGAATCTACAATGAACTCCAACAAATTTACAAGAAAAAAACAAACAACCCCATCAAAAAGTGGGCAAAGGACATGAACAGACACTTCTCAAAAGAAGACATTTATGCAGCCAAAAAACACATGAAAAAATGCTCATCATCACTGGCCATCAGAGAAATGCAAATCAAAACCACAATGAGATACCATCTCATACCAGTTAGAATGGCAGTCATTAAAAAGTCAGGAAACAACAGGTGCTGGAGAGGATGTGGAGAAATAGGAACACTTTTACACTGTTGGTGGGACTGTAAACTAATTCAACCATTGTGGAAGTCAGTGTGGCGATTCCTCAGGGATCTAGAACTGGAAATACCATTTGACCCAGCCATCCCATTACTGGGTATATACCCAAAGGAATATAAATCATGCTGCTATAAAGACACATGCACACGTATGTTTATTGCGGCATCATTCATGATAGCAAAGACTTGGAACCAACCCAAATGTCCAACAATGATAGACTGGATTAAGAAAATGTGGCACATATACACAATGGAATACTATGCAGCCATAAAAAATGATGAGTTCATGTCCTTTGTAGGGACATGGATGAAATTGGAAATCATCATTCTCAGTAAACTATCGCAAGAAGAAAAAACCAAACACCGCATATTCTCACTCATAGGTGGGGATTGAACAATGAGATCACATGGACACAGGAAGGGGAATATCACACTCTGGGGACTGTTGTGGGGTGGGGGGAGTGGGGAGGGATAGCATTGGGAGATATACCTAATGCTAGATGACGAGTTAGTGGGTGCAGCACACCAGCATGGCACATGTATACATATGTAACTAACCTGCACAATATGCACATGTACCCTAAAACTTAAAGTATAATAATAAAAAAAAGAACAATGACCAATTAATATTCCAATTAGTGAAAATAAGATTTTTAAATTATTTATTTTAAAACAACAAATAATTCTATGAAATTTGATGCAGCTTCAGTTTTCAGTTAAATTTCTGCCATGAATTTCATCATCACATCTCTGAATTAATGTCTCAAGAGCACTGCAGAAATTATTTCCAAGGTAAAGTCATGGAGTAGCTCTACTTTCTAATTTTTTAAAATAAAACTTTAGTTACCTCTCATCTCATGATTTTTTTTCCTTTGAGTGTTTGCATTTTTAAAAATATACAAATGTAACTAATAGAAGAGTTTAAATTATAAGTCAAATTATTTTATTTAAAGTAGCAAATATTTAGCCTACTCTTCAGTTTCAAAATTATAATGCATAAGAGTCCTCTAAAGATCAAAAAATCAAAGATCTCAGTTTAAACAGTTAAGAAAAAATAGTTCCCCTTTATATAGTTTGAGTATCCCTTATCTGAAAAGCTAGGGACCAGAAGTGTTTATTTTTTTAATTTTAGAATATTCAAATACATATAATGAGATATCTTGAGGATGAGACCCAAGTCTAAACATGACATTCATTTATGTTTCATGTACAACTTATACCAATAGCTTGAAAGTAATTTTATACAATGTTTTTAATAATTTTGTACACGAAGCAGTTTGTGTTAAGTCCTTATGTCTGAAATTTTCCACTTGTAGTGTCATGTTGGTGCTCAAGAAGTTTTGGATTTTGGAGCATTTCAAATTTCTGATTTTGGGGGGCATTTAAAATTTCTGATTTTCCAATTAGGGATGGCCAACCTGTATTAACACTAAGCAAGATAAAATATTTTTAAATAAATTTCACATTTTATTACATGTGCCCGTAAAATGAAATGTTGAAAATTTTCTTTGTTTTTATAGCCATAGAAAAGGTTTTGTTTGGTATCATTTTGCACAAAACAATCAATTCAATTGAGGCTGAGATAGTTTGATGAAAATGTATTTTACTATTGACATTTTAAAAAATCTGTTTAGGGACTAAATAGTTCAGTTTTCTCTTGGTTCCTTTTGCAATGTTTTGCCACATGCTCAGGTTCAGCTTCCAGTTCACATAGTCATTTCATTAAGTTGCCTAAAATTAAATTATTAATCTATACACTAAGATAAATTGGCTGTAAAATTGAACAAAGTTTAACATGTATGTTTGTATAATCAAGGGCTTTAATATACAAGTTTTTAATCTGATGAAAGTTAAATAGCATCTCCAGAAATAAGCACACACACAATATTTTACAGAGAATTTAGGAAGTTCTGTAAGTGGAAAACCTCTGTAATTGTTCATGGAAACCAGGTTAAACATATGGCTAAACAGAAAGAAGATATGCAAACATCTTTATAAAATACCATTTACTCAATCGGTAAAATACCACATACTGTCCTAGACCTTTATACGTTTTATTTAATCCTAGCAAGAACCCCTGTAAAATAAGTGTCATCACTTTAAAGATAACAAAAATAAAGTCGATAGAGTAAATGACATGTACTATATCACGCAATCTGAAAAGATAAAGTATGATGTTTTTTCTTTCACATAATTCTTACACAGCTTTTCTAGGGTCGTGCAAAACATTAACTGTAGAATCATAATCTTATATCCCCTTGCATTTTTTTGAAAGTAGCTGAATTATACAATAGCACCAAGTTTTTCTACACAGGACACCAATTCTCATAAAGTAGAATGAATTGGAACTCAAAATGTGTCCAATTTTCAATCTGTACTCCCAAGAGTAATTAAAGCATACTAATTAGGTTACCGTGGGTTTCTGTGTTTTTTTAGATGTGTCTACGCTATTGCCAAAATCCCTAAAACAAATATGAATTATAAAAACATTAAAAATACATGGAAGCCATTTCACATTCCCTGCAAAAATTCAGTAGGATCTCAACAGTAAGTTTTATGTTTTCTCTCCATCAATGCTAGAATTATTCATGTTCATTCTTACAGTCTGTATATATATAATATATATTATATATATATATATTGTTTAAACTGTTCACCAAAGCTCATAAAGTTCACACCTTTAAGTTCTTGTTATGTGAACAACCTTGTACATGTTTCATAAACACTATACTCAGAGCCAACTAATCCTCAGGAATACCTAGCATTCACCTATTAAAGTGAACTATAACTGTTATTTTTTAACTTTTTTGATAAAACAACCAGGAACCTGGATTTTTAATGTTTTCCATCCACCCATTGAAAATTGATGATTACATACCTAATGTTAACAATGGCTAAACAGAAAGAAGATATGCAAACATCTTTATAAAATACCATTTATTCAATCTGTATCAAGAGATATTTCCCATGACTCCTTTGCTGGCCTTCTGAAGGGGTGGCTCACTTACTCAGCCCATGGTGCTCAAACCCCTTGCAGGAGAAGGAGCACGCAGGTGAGCAGGTGCAGGAGCCAGGGTGAGAGCCTTTGGGCACTGGCAGGAATGAACCCCTACCGGCCTGTGGCAGCATTGATGGGTTGCCCATGACCCCTGGAGCCCTAGAGGGCCTGTGTTATAGTGCACTCCTTTAGCTTTAACATCTATGGACGGCTTAAGCGTTAAACAGATCAGTGGAGCATCAGTGTGACAGTCTCTTGCATCCGTACCCGGGTCCTTGTCTGGTGTCCAGGAAGAATGAGGCTATGTGAACAAATTGAAGGGTGGCGTATGCAGAGGATTTTATTGAGCAGTGGAGGTGGCTCTCAGCAGAAAGGGGAACTGGAAGGGGGATGGAGTGGGAAGATAATCTTCCCCAGGAGTTCAGCTGTCCCTGGCTGAACTCTCCTCCAAAGTCCCACCGTCAAGCCGTCGCTCTGAAGTCAAGCTGCTTTTCTCTGATGTCCGACTGCTTCTCTTCTTTCCTTTTCTGCTATGCTGCTCTCCATCCCCCAGCAGTGGAGCTTGGGGTTTCTAAGCATACAGGGTTTGAGGCAGGATATGCCAGGGTGCTTTGGAAAAGGCAACATTCAGGTGGGAAAATGGGGATGTGAATTTCTCATTTAGGGCCACGGGTCCACGCTTGAGGGTGGATCCCTCACCAGGGACCCGGACCTTTTCTACCTAATATTTCCCTGCCTCCTGTCTGTATCAACAGCATTTGTAACATAAGTATAACGATTTATACTTCTCTTCATCCCTAGTACCACATGTTGCTAGATTGACAGCCATGTGTTATCTTATAATTTTAATGCATTCATCCTGTTTTGCTTTCAGATATAAATCATAAACTTAAACTAACACAGATCTACATTTCCATTAAGATGGACCATGAAAACTGCCCATCTTAATGAAACTCGACACCACATATATTATAATCAGAATGAACACGAAGTCTCCTGAACTTGCAAGAGATTAATTGTCCGGGTGATTAAAGATTATTCTCAACACTTTACAATACAAAACTAAGTCAATCAACTAGTATGACATTCAAGGATTACTTTTCTTGATGTACAGAATATTCATACAAATCTTTGAGAAAAAATACCAAAACTTCAATTAAAAAAACAAAAGCCAGGCCAGGCCCAGTGGCTCACACCTGTAATCTAGCACTTTGGAAGGCCGAAGCGGGCAGATTACAAGGTCAGGAATTCAAGACCAGCCTGGCCAACATGGTGAAACCCAGTATGTACTAAAAAAATACAAAAATTAGCCGGGCATGGTGGCACACATCTGTAATCCCAGCTACTCAGGAGGCTGAGGCAGGAGAATTGCCTGAGCCCAGGAGGCAGAGATTGCAGTGAGCTGAGATTGTGCCATTGCTCTCCAGCCTGGGTGACAGGCAAGACTGTGCCAAAAAAAAAAAAAAAAAAAAATGCCAAAACTCTAAGTAGGCCATCTCCTCCTCCGCAAGTATAAAAGATTAAATGTTTAATGTTAAGAATTTGGAAAGTATATATATGTGCAGAGAAAAAAATTAAGAAATTATAATTTAAGAGCCCCCAAAAGCATTGTTTAACTAAGTACAGAATGAAAATGCTATTGTATTTACAAATTTGTTTTCATTTTCCATTCATATTATGATCATTTTCTCATGTCATTAAACATTTTTTGGAAACATCCTATATACATATTTGAATAAATACTTTAGGAGATATTTAGGAAGTTTTATAAAGCAATATTCAAATGACTTTCTGTCACACAGATATTTTAGAACATAAGGGATTCTCTGTAGGGAGTAAGGACAAAGATTTTGTCCTCTAAAACACTTCCCTAGTCTTTATATAATCTTGTCAGTTGATAACTATTCTTCTTAACTTATGTCCTAGATTTATTTTTTTCTGAGTAAATATCATACTACCTATTCATAGTTCTGTTATTTAATATTACTGTCTTCAGAGAGCTCCTTCCTTGTGATTCCCCAAAATAAGTATTTCATAAATTAAATACAGACAATTACCAAGGTCTTTATAAGTTAACCAGGCAATGCCAAAAAAAAAAAAAAAATCTTATACAGGAAGTTCTCACCTAACATCCTGAATATGATCTTGGAAACTGTGATTTCAAGCAAAATTCACTATATAATGAAACCAATCTTACCATAGGCTAATTGATATAAACAAGGATATACATGGCAGGTCAGAAATCATCAAGCCCCATGTTGAAAATTCCCTCTCCTGAACCTTTCTCTAAAGCCTGGCTGACTTCCTTAGTTTTTTTACAAAAACCACACTTCTTCCTGTCCTTACAGTTTTGCATATGGATTCTATGGCCCATTGGCTCTATTTCATTTATCGAGTTCTAGAAAAGAACTAGGCCTTCAAGATCTATCCTCAAGTTCACTTCCTCCCTTAAACCTTCCCTGAACAAAGGGCTTTTGTTGTATTTGTCATACATTTTGGTGCTTGGTTATATTTAACTGATCATTCTTAGATCTTTTTACTAACTGTCGGACGAACATAAATTCTCCCTCTCTAGCAAGATGGCAAGCTACTAGAAGGCAATTTTAAAAGTACACTGAGATGCAGTCTAGTAAGGACTCAATATATGCTTTTTTCCTTGAGTTTTTCTTCCTAAACTGTCAGTACAGTCTGTTGCTGCAAATGCTACTGGTGATGTGGCCGGAAAAAGAAATGGAGATGTTCTGAATATTGACTAAAACGTAAACACAATCTAAATGTTTGAAATAATTTTTTTCATTTTCCTATACTTCAAAGGAGAAGTTACATAAATAAAATAAGTAACAAGAAAATTAGGAGTAAGAGTTTCCTACTTTTAATAGCTACCCTCATGATATAACAGTAAATATGCTTAAAAATTAAAATACAAAAATACTTATCTAAATCACTCAGCATTTAATATTAACAAGGGAAAAAGAATAGCCTCCAAACAATAGGTTTTGTGTAATGTTGTAAAAATATGCCTAGTCCTTAGCAAATCTCCAAATCTGTAATTATATGGTATTATGCAAACTGCTTCTTTCTACTAAATCATCTTTCCAACCATTCATGTATTTCCTAGGCACATCTCACATTGCAATATATCTACTCCAATTTTGACACTGTTTTCTCTCTTAGTTAGTGGAGAATATTCATGAAATAGCCAAGCTGGTTTCATTTTAGGAAAGTGTTAGACAAACAAAACTGTTACCGGAAAGGGGTCTGGATCCAGACCCCAAGAGAGGGTTCTTTGATCTCGCACAAGTAAGAATTCAGGGCGAGTCCATAGAGTAAAGTGATGGCAAGTTTGTTAAGAAAGTAGAGGGATAAAAGAATGGCTACTCCGTAGACCCCCGAGGGCTGCTGATTGCCCATTTTTATGGTTTTTTTATTATATGCTAAACAAGGGGTGAATTATTCATGCCTTCTGTTTTTAGACCATATAGGGCAACTTCCTGACATTGCCATGGCATATGTAAACTGTCACGGCACTGGTGGAAGTGTAGCAGTGTGGATGACCAGAGTTCACTCTTGACACCATCTTGGTTTTGATAGGTTTTGGCTGGCTTCTTTACTGAAACCAGTTTTATCAGCAAGGTCTTTATGACCTGTGTCTTATGCTGACCTCCTATCTCCCCTGGGACTTAGAATGCCTAACCACCTGGGAATGCAGCCAAGTAGATCTCAGCCTCATTTTACCCAGCCCCTATTCAATATGGAGTTGCTCTGGTTTGGACGCCTCTGACAAAACCATTGATTCTGAGTGCCAGCTAGACATACTCACTAGTTGAGTGATTCTCTTCAGGTACTAGTGTCACAGAGAACCTGACTCAAATTCTTTTACTAAAAAGACCAAGCATTTTCTGCATCACTGGCAAACAGTTGAAACCATGAATCTTAAATCTGTAAATATGAAGAATCTACCATATTTACTATATTGTTATGCAGAGAAGGCTACCATCATTCCATCATTATAAAATCTTCAACTGTTTTAAATATGAGTCCTTTGCCTGAGAGCAAGTAAAAATGCTATCTGAAGCTTTGTTTTCCAAGGCAGTGCAAGGCAAATGAAAAAAATACAACCTTATAGTAAGCACTCAAGGTCATTTGATTTACTCATTGTCCTACTAGACCATTTGATAATTTGAAACCTAGTTGCCTGTTTTTAAAAGTCAAAGGTGTTGATTAGCATCTTGTACCCATAATTTGACATGTATATTTTAACTGTTTCCAAGCCTCATGGAAAGGCTACCTTCCTTTCAGTGGGTATATATCAGCTCCTTGAGAGCAAAGTCTTCAGTTTCTTAATTTAACTATTCAAATAGCCTATTCCATGCTTTAAAAGCCACAGATGCTTGCATTTAAACTTGCCATGGTAGGTTTACAAGGTAGGAAATGTGGTAGAAGTTGCAAACCAAAAACCATCTGAGGTAGGTCTCAATCAATTTAGAAGTTTATTTTGGCAAGCTTAGGGCATGCCTGGAAGGAAAAAAAAAAAAGGAAAGAAGCATGGAATCAGAGAAAAAATCTGTGGTCTGTGCCTTTCTCCAAAGATGATTTCAAGGGTTTCAACATTTAAAGGGGAAAAGTGGGCTGGAGAAGAAAGAAGGAATGTATGATAACCCACATGCTGCAGGGGGAAAAGAACAGGTAGGGGAATAGTCAATTATGTATTCCTCTCATGCTCAGTAAATCAGCACTTTACATAAGATAGGGTGAATATAGAGTAGCTATCTGTGGAGGTATTTAACCTTGTATCTGTAGCTATCTGCGTAGAAATAAAAGGAAAGGCAGTTTCTTCCATGACTCAGGTTTCAGCTTTTTTTTTCCCCTTTTGGTATAGTGAATTGGGGTCCCAAGTTTCTACTTTCCTTTCACAGAGACATGGAAGAAACTCTAAGTTTGCCCAAGTTAAACATAATTTGAATGCCTACTAACATAATTCACTGCATACGAAGATTTTTTTGTTTTGTTCATTCATGCATCTTCAGTGCTTGGCACCTTATAAGCACTAAAATATTTGCTAAATGAGTGAATGAACAACTTGTTATAATTAACATGAGATACCTTAACAATGTAATTTATATTGCAAACAAGTTACTTATTTGCAAAAAATAAATAAAGGTTTATTTAATTAAACACTATTGGGTAAAAATCTTTATATCTTTTCTTGACTTTAATGAACTTACTAATATCCACAGTACCAGGAAACGGGAATAGTTTTGTCATTTTAAATTTATAAACAATACCTTTGTGAGACAAAGTAGCAAATGTAAGAAGCCATGTTTGTTCTTCCACTTGCCAGCATAAGGGCATAATTTCACAAAGCCCCTGACTCTGTGAGGACCTGCAGCTCTTCTGGAAGATGCTTTGAAGACAAAGCAGGATAGAACATGTGGTCTTCCACATTTTTTGCCTGAGTCACTAATTTACTTAAAAGATAAATTACCCTGGTCCTTGCCTTTTTCTACATATAACATGATGTCTAACGGGGTTAGTGATTGTTCTTCTGTAATCTATAACAGGACATACTCTTACATCCAAACGTTGATGCAATTCTGCTTTAATGCAACTTCTGAGCAACTCTGATGTGATTTTGCAAATACTGAGACCCCACCACCTGCTTATAAGGAGTGGGCTGAAGTACCATGCAGAAGCAGTCTAAAAAAACTCCCAGCCTGTAGGCCTCAGTCTATAGTCCTCAGTAAGATTTCTGAATAAAACTAACTTTAACTTTTTAATGGCTTGATTTTTCTCATTTAGTTGACACTTTCACACCTTTTAAACATCCTTCCCATTCATTCTTTAGTGCAGAGTGGCTAATTTAATGTAAAAAGCTCAAAAGTCAGTTGTAAAGACTCCATTAGAGAAATATGTATTGACTGAAAAATTATGACATTCATAAATTTGGAAAAGAAAATTTTATTTCTCATAAAGGATTGCAGCTGGCAGAATGGCCATTCTGGCAGACTGGGAAGCATAGCCTTTGGTCAGAAGTCAAAAACAGATACTTTGAGGAAGAGGCAAAGGGAACAAATATGCTGAGCAGGATAGCTGAATATACATATTTAATAAGCTATAGGAGGAACCATGAATATTTATGAAGAAGAAATGTGAACATGCACAACTGAGCTTCATGCCTCTTCATGGGTCCCATGTATAAAAAAATAGTGGCATTAGCATGATCCAAGGGTGGAGTTTTCACCCTGATGATGTCAAAAGGTGAAGCAAAAGATGCAAAATCCCTTACTGCACATTCTCTATAGATTGGGCAGAACAACACGTTGGTCAGTGGTACCATATCAGGCAAAAAAGGAAGGGTAGTGTCAGGCTGTTGGTTGGTATCAGTGGTGGAGTCTCTTGAAAGGCCTGGTTTTTGTTAAGCCCTTAGGGAAGAAAGGCTAATCATGATTAGCAAGGGTGGGGGTATAACAAGAGTGTCTGACACCCCATCCCATCGCAACTAAGAACTCAGTTTTCAAGATTATTCTGGGGGTCCCCTTGGCTAAGAGATGGTCGTTTAGTCAGTTGAGGGGCTTAGAATTTTATTTTTGGTTTACATTTGGGAACCTGAAAAGTAAGGAGTTATATTTTCTTCTATTTTAAGTCAGCTAACCACCATTGGTGGTTTTTAATATTTTAATCCAATTCTTCTGACATTATTTAGGAAAATTTTAAAATCATTTTATATTGCACCAACTACCAGAGGATATTTTTAAAATGCATTATTGTGGCTGGGTGTGGTGGCTCATGCCTGTAATCCCAGCACTTTGGGAGGCCGAGGCGGGTGGATCATGAGATCAGGAGATCGAGACCATCCTGGCTAACATGGTGAAATCCTGTCTCTACTAAAAATACAAAAAAAATTAGCCGGGCATGGTGGGAGGCACCTGTAGTCCCAGCTACTCAGGAGGCTGAGGCAGGAGAATGACGTGAACCCGGGAGGCAGAGATTGCAGTGAGCCGAGATCGCGCCACTGCACTCCAGCCTGGGTGACAGAGCAAGACTCCATCTCAAAAAAAAAAAAAAAATGTATTATTGCACTGGAGAATTCATATAAAGCAGTTAGAAAACAAGACACAACAGCAGACTTCTGAAGTTGTAAGACTATAAAACTGAGATTTAGTCTTTGGACTTTGTCAACATAAAGGAAGAAACTGAAGCAAAATTAACATAAATAGAGAGTTTATTTGGACCAAATTTGAGGACTGCAACCAAGGAGACACAGATTTAAGTTGGCCTGAATTGCCAGGCCTCTAATTAACAGCAGTTACAAGTGGTTTTTTGTTTTTGTTTTTGTTTTTGTTTTTTTTAAGAAGGAGTCTCACTCTGTCGCCCAGGCTAGAGTGCAGTGGCGCAATCTTGGCTCACTGCCAGCTCCACCTCCTGGGTTCACACCATTCTCCTGCCTCAGCCTCCCGAGTAGCTGGGACTACAGATGCCCCCCACCACGCCCAGCTAATTTTTTGTATTTTTAGTAGAGAGGGGGTTTCACTGTGTTAGCCAGGATGATCTCTATCTCCTGACCTTGTGATCCACCCGCCTTGGCCTCCGAAAGTCCTGGGATTACAGGTGTGACCCACTGTGCCTGGCCACAAGTGGCTTTTTAAAGAAAAAAAGAAGGAGCAGTTCTTAAGTTGATCATAAGCTATTGATTGGCTATACATTATTTTTGTATCAAAAATTTCAGGAACATAAAGATAATGAGTGAGGGTCACCTTGTGCAACTTATAATTGCATTTTAGGTAATTTATCAGCTAGCCTGAAAACTACAAGGAAGAAATAAAATACCTTTAAACAATTGCCCAGGGACACTGGTGCTAGCATGGGAGGGGTGACTGAGGATTTGTTCTCATATTTTTCTGGGCCTTATGAGTTTTTCATACCTCGCATTCTTCATACTCATTTTGAAACAAAGCAGGGACCCATCTTAGAGGACTTGGGCCCTCCTCAAAGCACAGAAAATAAGGAAACTCTTGAGTTTCTTCAAGAGAAATTCCAGGCAGCTAGCTAGCCTTGAGAAGTAAATGAGCAACTTGGTAAGCAAGAAGTTAATAATGGATTAAAACAGTAGCCAGGGAAGTCAGATCACAGAATGTTTGCTTCCCCTACAGAAATTAAAGGTAACATCTGAACATATATACCTGAATTGTTTTCAGAAACCTGGATCCCCACCTAGTGATCCTCTAACACATCACCTCAGATAAGAAGGAAACAACCACTGAACTCTGACCCTGTTTGATATGGTTTGGCTGTATCCCTACCCAAATCTATCTTGAATTCCCACGTGTTATGGACCCAGTGGGAGGTAATTTAATCATGGGGGCAAGTCTTTCTCCTGCTGTTTTCATGGTAGTGAATCAGACCTTATGAGATCTGATAGTTTTAAAAAGAGGAGTTTCCCTGCACCAGTTCTTTTGCTTTGCCTGTTGCCATCCATGTAAGACGTGACTTGCTCCTCCTTGTCTTCCACCATGATTGTGAAGCTTCCCCAGCCACATGGAACTGTAAGTTCAATTAAACCTCTTTCTTTTCTAAATTGCCCAGTCTCAGGTATGTCTTTATCGGCAGCATGAAAATGGACTAATATGTAAATTGGTACCAGTAGAGTGGGGCACTGCTGAAAATTTACCTGAAAATGTGGAAGTGACTTTGGAACTAGGTAACAGGCAGAGGTTGGAACAGTTTGGAGGGCTCAGAAGAAGACAGGAAAATGTGGGAAAGTTTGGAACTTCCTAGAGACTTGCTGAATGGCTATGACAAAAATGCTGATAGTTATATGAAAAATATGGTCCAGGCTGAGGTGGTCACAGATGGAGATGAGGAAGTTGTTGCAAACTGAAGCAAAGATAACACTTGTTATGTTTTAGCAAACAGACTGGCAACATTTCACCCCATCCTAGAAATTGGTGGAATTTGAACTTGAGAGAGATGATTTAGTGTATCTGACAGAAGAAATTTCTAAGCAGCAAAGCATTCAAGAGGTGACTTGAGTGCTGCTAAAGACATTCGGTTTTATAAGAGAAGCAGAGCATAAAAGTTTGGAAAATTTGCAGCCTGACAATGTGATAGAAGAGAAAAATCCCATTTTCTGAGGAGAAATTTAAGCTGGCTGCAGAAATTTGCAAAAGTAACAAGGAGCTGAATGTTAATCCCCAAGACAATGGGGAAAATGTCTTCAGGGCATGCCATAGGTCTTCATGTCAGCCCCTTTAATCACAGACCTGGAGGCCTAAGAGGAAAAAGTGGTTTCATTGGCTAGGCCAAGGGTACCCATGCTGTGTGCAGCCTAGGGACTTGATGCCCTGTGTCCCAGCTACTCCAGTCATGGCTAAAAGGGGCCAATGTAGAGCTCAGGCTGTAGCTTCAGATGGTGCAAGCCTCAAGCCTTGGCAGCTTCCACTTGATGTTGAGCTTCCAGTACACAGAAGTCAAGATTGGGGTTTGGGAACCTCCACCTAGATTTCAGAAGATGCATAGAAATGCCTGGATGTCCAGGCAGAAGTTTACCACAGGGGTGGGGCTCTCATGGAGAACCTCTGCTAGAGCAGTGCAGAAGCGAAATGTAGGGTTGGACCCCTCACACAGAGTCCCTACTAGGGTACCACCTAGTGGTAAGAAGTGGTAAGAAGAGGACCACCGTTCTCTAGACCCCAGAATGATAGATCCACTGACAGCTTGCACTGTGCACCTGGAAAAACCTCAGACACTCAATGCCAGTCCACGAAAGGAGCTGGAAGGGAGGCTGTATCCTGCAAAGCCACTGGTGTGGAGCTTTCCAAGGCCATGGGAACCCACCATTTGCACCAGCATGACCTGAATATGAGACATGGAGTCAGAGAAGATCATTTTGGAAGTTTAAGATTTGACTGCCCTGCTGGATTTTGGACTTGCATGGGGCATGTAGCCCCTTTATTTTCCCAATTTCTCCCATTTAGGATAGCTGTGTTTACCCAATGCCTGTAACCTCATTGTATCTAGGAAGTAACTAACCTGCTTTTGATTTTACAGGCTCCTAGGTGGAAGGGACTTGCCTTGTCTCGGATGAGACTTTGAAGTGTGGACTTTTGAGTTAACGCTGGAACGAGTTAAGACTTTGGGGGACTGTTGGAAAGGCATGATTGGTTTTCTAATGTGAGAACATGAGATTTGGGAGGGGCCAGGAGTAGAGTGATATGGTTTGATGGTGTCCCCACCAAAATCTCATCTTGAATTCCCATGTGTTGTGGGATAGACCCAGTGGGAGGTAGTTGAATCATAGGGGCAAGTCTTTCCCATGCTGTTCTCATGATAGTGAAAAAGTCTCACAAGATCTGAGGGTTTTACAAAGTGGAGTTCCTCTGCACAAGTTATCCTCTTTGCCAGCTGCCATCCATGTAAGACATGACTTGCTTGCCCTTGCCTTCTGCCATTATTGTGAGTCTTCCCCAGCCACGTGGATCTGTAAGTCCAATTAAACCTCTTTCTTTTGTAAATTGCCCAGTCTCAGGTATGTCTTCATCAGCAGCATGAAAATGGACTAATACACTGTTCTTTGTTTCTTCCTGAGGGGCCTGGAGGAGATCATGCCCTGGGCAAGAACTAATATTCTTTTCAGTTGATCTCAAATATTTAGACAAAGCTTTGCCTCTGAACCAGTATTAAATTGTTACAGTAGTTATCTAGTGACATATAAACAGGGCAGGAGAGGGCTTCCCCCAACACACCATGAGTGTTGGGTGACCATCAAGCAATGGTCAGGCAGTTGGTAACTGTTTTTCTAAAATAATAATTGGTCACAGCTGGCACTGGGGAAAGACGGGCTCCTGATAGATAGAAAACACCTGTAACTGATCAGCAGCTTCCCAATAAGATCTCAGGAGTGGGTGCAGTGGCTCATGTCTGTAATCGCAGCACTTTGGGTGGCTGAGGTGGGCAGATCACGAGGTCAGGAGATCGAGACCATCCTGGCCAACATGGTGAATCCCTGTCTCTACTAAAATACAAAAAATTAGCCGGGAATGGTGGTGCATGCCTGTAGTCCCAGCTACTCAGGAGGCTGAGGCAGGGGAATTGCTTGAACCCGGGAGGTGGAGGTTGCAGTGAGCCAAGATCATGCCACTGCACTCCAGCCTGGCGACACCATGACTCCATCTCAAAAAAAAAAAAAAAAATAGATCTCAGCAATGGAGAGGGAAGTAATAAAACCCCAAGTCAAAAGATCAAGCTGCACACTTGGTTTCTCAAATTGTCCACTTGGCCATCTTCCAAGCTGTACTTTCCTTCTTTTCTTCTTTTATTCCTTACACTCTAAAGCTTTTTAATAAACTTCCACTTCTGCTGTGAAACTTGCCTTGGTATCTTCTTCTCTCTTATGCCTCTCACTTAAATTCTTTCTTCTGAGGAGACAAGAATTGAGGTTGCTGCAGATCTGTATAGATATGCCACCAGTAACTCGAATCTTTTCCATGGTTAGCAAAATCAGAAAATCTTTGACTCCACCTATAATCTGTAGGTCTCCTTTCTGCTTCAAGATATGCCACCTTTTTAGTTCAAAATAATTTATAGCTGCCATATATTGAATTATGACTTTGCCTATAACCTCTACATCTCTGCCTCTGAAACCCCTTATCAATGAGCCATTAGGGAAGGGACCACAACCCTCAGACCACAGACTAATACTGGTCTGTGGCTCATTAGAAATGAGCCACACAACAGGAGGTTAAAGATGGGTAAGCTAGTAAAGTTTCATCTGTTCTTACAACCACTGCCCATCACTTTCATTACCACCTGAGCTCTGCCTCCTGTCAGATCAGCAGTGGCATTAGGTTCTCATAGGAGCACGAACCATATTGTGAACTGCGAATGCAAGGGATCTAGGTTGGACTCTTCTTATGAGAATCTAATGCCAGATGATCTAAGGTGGACCCAAGGTGGTGATGCAGCACTGGGGAGTGGCTGCAAATACAGATTAACATTAGCAGAGATTTTTAACTGCACAGAAACCATAATAAATCAATTGCTTGGAGACACAGATCAAAACCCTATCAGTGAGTAGCAAGTGGCATTTAAACTGCATCTCGTGGCAGCTTTATAGTGGCAAGTGAGTTGGTGTACTTCAATTTCACAGCTGCATCTGGTGGCAGGATTTAAGTCAGAACCTGATACTCATTTTTGTCTCGACATGGTCCACCCATTATTTTATTTACCACTTTCATCTGTGCCTCTTTCCCACACTGTGCACTTGCCTTAGTCACAGTTTTGGTTCCCACAAGCTAACTCTGGCCAAAATGAGTAAGAACCAAACATCACTGGAGAGCTTCTTTGAAAAGGGGTAAACACCCAATGATGAGACAGCAGAAGACTCTAAGACTGCCAACAAAAAGAAAGCTGCATTTAAAAGAAAACACCAAGTCCTACTTAAATTATGGGTTCATTGCAACAGGTGATTCACATTCTCCAAGGCCACTTTGTAAAATACGTGACAACTGGCTATCCAATGAAGCCCTGTAACCTTCAAAACTGCTTTGTCACATGGAGACCAAGGACCCTGCAATAAAAGACAAGCCTTTGGAGTTTTTCAAAAGAAAAAATGTGAACACAAATAACAGAAGCAGTTATTGAAGACCACCACTTCATCAAATGTGTCTGCACTGAAAGCATAATTCCTAGTGGCTAACTGCATTGCTAAAGCTAAGAAATCCTTTCCTATTGGTGAAGAGTTCATCCTGCCGGCTGCTAAGGACATTTGTGGTTAAACGTTAGGAGAGGCTACAGTTCAAAAGGTGGCACATGTTCCTCTTTTATCTAGCACCATAGCTAAATGAATTGATGAACTAGCAGAGGATATTGAGGCACAGTTTTTAGAGAGAATTAATGAGTCACTGTGGTATTTAATCCAGGTTGACAATTCTATAGATATTGACAACAAGGCAACAATGCTTGTTTGTTTTCATGCAATATATTTTTCAGGAGGATGTGCATGAGGATATGTTCTGTGCACTTTTGTTGCCAAACAACACCACAGCTGCAGAACTATTAAGTCTTTGAATAATTACATATTAGGAAAACTGTATTGGTCATTTTGTGTTGGTATATGCATGAACAGAGAGGCTGCCATGGCTGGATGGCTTTCTGGTTTCACTACTCAGATCAAAGAAGTCACTTCTGAATTTGAGTCTGTGCACTGTGACTGCCATAGAGAAATCTTAGCTACCCCAAAAATGTCACCTAAACTTAATGACATTTTGCAGGATGCTATTAAAACTATCAACAACATTAAAGTATATGCTTTTAACTCATGTCTGTTGGCGCAGCTCTGTGAGGAGATGGACACAGAGCACACACATCTCTTACACACAGATGTGAAATGACTTTCTAAAGGTAGATCACTGGCCAGAGTTTTTGAGTTATGAGAGCTGCTCCAGAGATATTTTTAGAAAAACAGTAACCACTGGCAGCACATTTCAGTGACACAGAATGGGTTGCAAAACTTGCTTACCTCTGTCACATATTCAACTTGCTGAATGAACTCAATCTGTCACTTCAGGGGAGAATGAAAGCTGTGTTCAAGTCAGCAGATAAAGTGGCTGCGTTTAAAGCCAAACTGGAATTATGGGGGCGACAAGTGAACATTGGAATATTTGACAATTTCAAACATTGGCAGATATTTTGAAAGAGACTGAGCCAAGGCCTTCTTTCTCCTAGCTGGTGCATGATCACCTATCTCATCTTTCAAAAGAGTTTGAACATTACTTCCCAAACACAAAAGACTGCCAAACTGGGAAAGAATGGATCAGTGACCCATTTGTGAGTAAGCCAGATGAATTGATTTTGCCTGTGCCAGAAGAGGATCAACTGCTTGAGATCACAAATGACAGTGGCCTTAAAAGTACGTTCCAGACAACTTCAAATCCTAATCATCAAGGAGGAATATCCTGTGATTGCCACAAAAGCACTGTAAAGCCTGCTTCCATTTCCAACATTCTTTCTTTTTGAAGCAGAGTTTTCTGCAGTGACAGAAACCACAATGAGATAACAGAGTAGACTGGACATAAGCAACACACTTCAGGTGTCACTGTCTCCCATCACCCTCAGATGGGACCGTCTAGTTTCAGGAAAACAAGCTCAGGGCCCCCACTGATTCTACATTATGGTGAGTTGTATAACTATTTCATTATATATGACAATGTAGTAATAATAGATATAAAGCGCACAATAAATATAATGTTCTTGAATCATCCCAAAACCATCCCCCACTCCTCAGTCCGTGGAGAAATTGTCTTCTGCAAAACCCGTCCCTGGTGCTAAGAAAGCTGGGAACTGCTGCATTAGGGAGTTTGAGTCTTAAGCATTTGCGTCTTAAGCATCCCTGGTGCCTGATTCTCACTGCTTGATGCCTTGCAATAGATGCGTCACTTCTAGCTGCAGTCCTGATGCCAATGTTTGTTTTTGCTGTGCTGGGTGAATGGATCCCAGTTCAGTCCAATAACACTCTCAGCTACTTTTCTTTCTCAACTTCAAGTCTAAGTAACATTTGGGTTAGTATTTTTTCTGAACATAAAGTACAGGACTTATGATTTTAAAACTCCAAACGCATTTCAATTTTTCGTAGTAACTAGGTAATAACTAAGATACAAAATTATAACTTAATAATTAAGGTCTATAATTGAGGTACAAATAGTGAGTGTAAGTAAATCTTGTCTGTATTTGTTCATTCTTTTTTTTTTTATTATACTTTAAGTTTTAGGGTACATGTGCACATTGTGCAGGTTAGTTACATATGTATACATGTGCCATGCTGGTGCGCTGCACCCACTAACTCATCATCTAGCATTAAGTATATCTCCCAATGCTTATATGTAACTACAGTACACTTTAAAATTCAAAACTTTTATTCATTTAAAGAAAGTATGTTGAAATTCCAGATGCCATCAATAAAATAAATAATTCTTATTCATATACTTTTTCTTCAGAGATAGGTTTAGGCAGCACAGGACTTGTCATCCATAAAAATAAATGTGTTCAGTTCTCTGAAATTTTTTTGAACATCTCTATGTGTGAGGCACTTTTACAGGAATTGGGGATAGAGTATTTTAGTGGAAAGACAAAGCCCTTCCTTTACGGGTTCTTCCTCTAGTTAAGGAAGACAAAGATAAGTAAACAAGTTGAATTTAACTGTTAAGTGAAGTAATGAAGATAAAGAGTGACTGAAAGGGACATAATTAAAGATAATAACTTCAAGTGTACATACATATGAGGGCCAAGTAAGGCTTGACTAAGGAAGTGGCATTGATACTAAAACTGAAAATGATCCATGTAAGAACAGAAATGAAGTAGTCACTCAACTATCTTGTTGAAGTGTTTTTGTAGCTAGAAGAGAAAACAAGTTTAAAGATCCCTAGATGAAGGATGCTTAGCATCATCCGGTTACAGGAAGAAGCCTAGAATTCCTGGGAAGTTCAAAACGTAGGGAAAAAGTTGTACAAAATGTCACTAAGAAAGACAAGTGAAGGACAAATTTTGTAAGGTATTGGAGGTGATCTTAAGGGCTAAGAAGCAATTTTGGTTCTAAGTGCAGTGGAAACCAATTAGTTTTAAACAGAGGTGTAATATTATTTGATTTATTTTTTTAAAAAAAATAATAAACCACAACTTAGTATGATGGCTAGGCAATTTGCTAAACGCTTTACAAGTGTAAATCCTTGTTGTAAATTCTGCCTTATTATTCCCACTTTACAGAATAGAAAATTGAGGTAGAGGGGGATTATGGGATCTGTTCAAATCACAAGTACTGAGGGAAGTATTCTAACCCAAGTTCCTCATTCCGAGCCTGAGCTCACAATTGTTCTATGCTCTTCAATGGTGCTGGGATCCCCAGGATACACACAATACAGGGCGAGTTATGGCGGCAGTTGGGGGTCGGGGGGGAATTTTCATACAAGATCGCAGAAGAGTAATCAGCTATGCAGTTAGAATAAAATATTTCTTGAAGCTAAAACTATAGTATATTTTAATTCTCATTATAAGTCATTGATTGTGTTTAATTTTTTGATAAATATTCTTAAATATGTCAACAATTCCTATTTTGTACTCCTTTTTTTCCTAAGGGCAGAATAATTACCTCAAACACTTTTGAATCTTCTACATTCTCTACAACAGTGCCTTACACTGAGAGCAGGAGTTTTAAAGTATTGGTTACAAAATAACAAAAAATGTTTCTTCAATGCTTGGCACCATGGGAAAACTTAGACCTAACAATCCACTGTTTCTGGTTGATACTGATGTTGGTTCTTAGTGAAACAAGTTCTCACTGAGTTCACTTTGAACTTGAAGCTGTACTTTGAGGAATCTTGAAAGCACCTTTAAAGTTATTCAAAATTTGGCATTAGATATTTTTTACTTTGTGCATTGTTAGATGTTTCCCTATGGAAGTTTAAAATATCAGGTACACAGTAGGTGCATTAAAGTCCCTGCCTTTTGTTTGCATTACCTAGAGAATTTCACAGACCCATTGTCCATTGGATAAATATATCTCCTCCCCTGAAAAATTTCTGCTGCCTTTTGAAACTCTCAGTAGGAATTGTAACAGTAACCCCTTTCAGTTGAATTCTGATCTTTCCTGGTAATTTCTTGTTTCTTTCAGGATAAAATGTAATGGCAATGGCTTTGATGTCTTTGTCTTGCTTTATCCTTCCTTCTTTAAGAAGCAGTTCTTGTTCATTCTTGGCTCTCAGGACATGCTTTATGTAACATCAGTATGAAAAGAATTAGAATAAAAATTATATCCCCTTTTGGAACTGTGTCTATTTACCTAATATAAAAGATACAACAGTTTTTCAAAAGCATAGCAGAACAATGCTGTACTCTTTTCAATTTCACAGTAGCATCTGAGCCATGACCAAACTATTTGACAAGAATGAATATTAAATCAGGACATTGGGAACAAAGATAATAAACACCTTTCTTACTGAGATAACAAATTAATGATAGATGTATTTTAAAATAAAAACTGATAAGTAATGAAAACATGGCTTGAAAGAGGATAAATAAATAACCAGGAAATAATTTGAAATGTTTCATTCTCCAGTCTTTAAAGGAATTGCTTCATTTTCTCAATGGTAATGATGCATATTTTCTTTTTTCTTTAATTGACAAATAATAATTTTTTATATTTATGGAGTACCATGTGGTGTTTTGATCTATGTATACATTGTAGAAAGATTCAATCAAGCTAATTAATATATCCATCACCTCACCAATTTATCTTTTCTTCTGTGTAGTGAGAGCATAAACAATATATCTTACCAGTTTTGAAATATGCAATATATTATTATTAAATGTGGTTGCCATGCAATGCAGTAGATCACTGAAATGCATTCCTACAGTCTACCTGAAACTCTGCGTCCTTTGATCAACACCTTCCCCACCATCTCTCCACCATCCCTCAAGCCTCTGGTAACCACCTTTCTACTGTTTCTACCAAATCAATTTTTTCAGATTCCACATATAAGTGAGATCAAATAGTATCCGTCTTTCTGCACCTGGCTTATTTCACTTAACATAATGTCCTCAAGTTCCATCCGTGTTGTAACAGTAACAGAAATTTTTCTTTTTTAAAGTTGTATAGTATACCATTGTGTATATATCACATCTTTATCCATTCATCAGTTGATGGACACTTAGGTTGGCTTTATAAGGTAGCTATTGTGAATAATGTTGTAATGAACATGAGAGTGCATCTATCTCTTTGATATACTAATTTCAATACCTCTAGATGTATACTCAGAAGTGAGATTGCTGAAGCGTATAGTAATCCTGTTAAGGAAAACTAAATATGGCCTGAGAAGGACTTTGTACTTCTATATTTGAGTCCTTGTGGATGAATTGTAACCTAGCTTAATAGTCAGACAAGAGTAAAACCTAAATTAGGAGTATGCTCCTGTAACAATGACTGAGTCTTGGCCAATCCAAATGGCCATACTTCAACCACTCACAGACTGCTAAATGTTCAAACTGTGTTCAAATAAGGCAAACTCCAACCTGTAACAAATCCACCTGTTTCTTTACCTCACTGCCAATTTCTGTACATGATTTCCCTTTTTTACCTATAAATCTTCTTTCACCACTTGGCTCCACTGGAGTCTCTGTGAATTTGCTGTGATTCTAAGGGCTGCCCAATTTGCACATAGTTCATTACTCAATTAAACTCCTTTAAATTTAATTCTGCTGAAGTTTTTCTTTTATTGATTTTATTTTTAGATTTATGAGGAACATCCACACTATTTTCCAATATGGTTGTATCAATTTACATTCCTACCAACAGTGTACAAAAGCTCCCTTTTCTCCAAATCCTCACCATTACTTACCATTTGTTTTTGATGATAGCATTCTCACAGGTGTAAGGTGGTAACTCATTGTGGTTTTCATTGACATTTCCCTTATGATTAGAAATGTTTAGCATTTTTTTCATATCTGTTTGCTATTCATATTTCATGTTTTGGGAAATGTTTTTCAGATCCTTTGCCCATTTTAATTGGGTTATTTGTTTTCTTATTACTGAGTTGAGTTTCTTATATATTTTGGATATTAGCCCCTTATCAGATGTATGGTTTGCCAATATCTTCTCCCAATTTGTGGGTTGTTTCTTCACTGTATTGTTTTTTGTTTTGTTTTGTGTTGGAGTGTGTTTTTGGTTTTTTGTTTGTTTCTTTTGTTTTGTTTTATTTATGCTGTGCTTTTTGGGTTGATGCAATTCCATTTGTCTGCTTTTGTTTTTGTTGCCTGTGCTCTTGGAGTCCTATCCAAGAAATCATTACCCAGAACAATATCATGGAGATGTCTCCCTACGTTTCCTTCTAGTAGCTTTACTGTCTCATGTCTTACATTTATGTCTTTCATGTATTTTGAGCTGATTTTTGAATATGGGGTGAGATAAGAGTCCAATTTCATTCTTCTGCATGTGAATATCCAGTTTCCCCATCACCATTTATTAAAGAGACAGTCCTTTTCCCATTGTTTGTTCTTGGCATCTTTGTCAAAATCAATTGACCAGGTTGGGTGTGGTGGTTCACACCTGTAATCCCAGCACTTTGGGAGGCCAAGGAGGGAA